>NC_000004.12:57246763-57573169 GCF_000001405.40 Homo sapiens
CAAAAAGAGCCCACATAATCAAAGCAAGACTAAGCAAAAAGAATAAATCTGGAGGCATCACATTACACAACTTCAAACTATACTATAAGGTCATAGTCACCAAAACTACATGGTACTAGTATAAAAATAGGCACATTTTATAGAATAGAATAGAGTCTGTTCTATAAAACAGAATAGAGAACAGAATAGAGAACACAGAAATAAAGCCAAATATTTACAGCCAATTGATCTTTGACAAAACAAACAAAAACATAAAGTGGAGAGGGGAAAGGACACTGTATTCAACAAATGGTTCTGGGATAATTGGCTAGCCACATGTAGAAGAATGAAACTGGATCCTCATCTCTCACCTTTTACAAAAATCAACTTGAGGTGGATCCAACACTTAAATATAAGACCAGAAACCATAAAGATTCTAGAAGATAACATCAGAAAAACCCTTATAGACATTGGCTTAGGCAAAGACTTCATGACGAAGAACCCAAAAGCAAATGCAACAAAAGCAAATATAAATAGATGGGACTTAAACCAAAAAGCTTCTGCACAGCAAAAAAATAATCAGCAGAGTTAACAGACAACCTACAGAGAAAATCTTCACAATCTATACCTCTGACAAAGGACTAATATCCAGAATCTACAAAAAACTCAAATAAATCAGCAAGAAAAAACAAATGATCCCAGCAAGAGGTGGGCAGATCGCGAGGTCAAGAGATCGAGACCATCCTAGCCAACATGGTGAAACCTTGTCTCTAGTAAAAATACAAAAATTAGCTGAGTGTGGTGGCACACGCCTGTAATCCCAGCTACTCCGGAGGCTGAGGCAGGAGAATTGCTAGAACTCAGGAGGTGGAGGTTGCAGTGAGCCAAGATCGTGCCACTGCACTCCAGCCCGGTGACAGAGTGAGACTCTGTTTCAAAAAAAAAAAAAAAAAAAAAAAAAAAAAGGTGGGCTAAGGACATGAATAGACAGTTCTCAAAAGAAGATATATAAATGGCCAACAAGCATATGGAAAAATGCTCAACATCACAAACTATCAGGAAAATGCAAATCAAAACCACAATGCAATATCACCTCAGTACTGCAAGAATGGCCATAATTTAAAAATCAAAAAATAATATATTCAGTGAAAAGGGAACACTTTTACACTGCTGGTGGGAATGTAAAATGGGGAAACAGAGGCTTAACAAAACAAAGACTAGGGAAAGTTAAATTATTTCCCTGGTACAGCTACTAGGGAAAACAGTGTGGAGATTCCTTAAAGAACTAAAAGTAGATCTACAGTTTGATCCAGCAATCCCACTACTAGGTATCTACCCAGAGGAAAAGAAGTCATTACACAAAAAAGATACTTGCACACGCGTGTTTACAGCAGCACAATTTGCAATTGCAAAAATGTGGAACCAGCTCAAATGCCCATCAATCAATGAGTGGATGAAGAAAATGTGATATATATATCATGTTTTATATATATATATAAAACATGGAATACTACTCAGCCATAAAGAGGGATGAAATAATGGCATTTGCAGCAACCTGGATGGAATTGGAGACTATTATTCTAAGTGAAGTAACTCAAGAATGGAAAACCAAGTATCATATGTTCTCACTCATATGTGGGAGTTAAGCTATGAGGACGCAAAGGCATAAGAACGATACACTGAACTTTGGGGAATTGGGGGAAATGGTGGGAGGTGGCAAGGGATAAAAGTCTACACATTGGGTACAGTGTACACTGCTGGGGTGATAGGTGCACCAAAATCTCAGAAATCACCGCTAAAGAAGCAACGCATAGACCGGTTACTTTGTGTATCACTGATGTAGAAGTCAGGCCACTGTCTGGGTAGGTAGGTCCTAGTGAGGCATTTGTGAGAAGATCCCTGGGCTTATAGGGGCCACAAGAAGGCTGTTCCTTAGAGGTGGGCAGGAAGGACAGAGGAGATCAATTTTGCTTACTTCACTTCATAGCTTTGCCTAAGGACTAGGCTTGACTTAAATGGAATGAATTTTTTTCTAAAAAAATTTGCTTCAGCATTTTGCCAAATGCTTGCTATAGGAGACACTCCACATATGTTGTTGTTCATCAGTGTGGAGCATTGAAAATAATCCGGAGTCGAACAGAAAAGAGTTCAAATCCACCGTTCTCTACTTTTAGCTGGGTGACATTGGGCAAGTTACTTAACTTTTCTGTTCCTTCATTTATAAAAACTTGAATGATAGAAGCCACCATATATGTTTTATTATATCAATTAAGTGCAGTAGCATCCCTAAAAGTAGATTTCCAGGCACTTGAGTGCTTTTTTGAGTAAACAGATTGAGTGATATCTTCCAGCATTATCTGATATACTCTTCTCCATGATTCTGTGAGGTGGCAACTATATGAGGCCCATTTTGTGAATGGGGAAACAGAGGCTTAACAAAGCAAAGACTAGGGAAAGTTAAATGATTTGCCTAAAGTTGGAGCCAGAGCAAAGATGACTCATAGATCAAAAGAACTGCTTGAAAGTAGCACCCACGATTTTCCTGCAGGCATTTTTGTTCTATTTGATACTAATGAGTTGGCTGTGTGGGCAGTGAGTTGATAAAGGAACATGAACTGAATCATTAAGCCTCCATTTTATTGTCTCCACTGTACAGATTTCACAACTGACTTGGGTGAGGAAATTCCACCAAAAACTTTAATATGGAAAAAAAGAGAAGGAAAAAAAAGGCAAGGTATCTCTAAATAGCTCTGCAAAGGTCAATGGGATTAATGTATCCTTTGAACATGGTTATTTTAGCTGAAATAAGAAAACAGCATGAGGGAACTTCACAGACTACTTGTGTAATAGAAATGTAATGTATTTGCCCCTTTTTTCTTCCTTTGTGGCAAACATGTGATTACATGAAGCAAGTTGGTAGAATAAATAAAATAACCAAGAAATTGTGCTCTGGAAATGTGTTCATTATCTGTAAATATTATTTTACATCCTCAGATTCATCAAAATCAGCATCTCAAGGTGGCTTGAAAAGAACAAGTAGATAATGGGCAGCTAAAAATGATGGATTGGAAGCCTGGAGACAATGTGTGCTCCTGGGGACTTTTGCGATTGGCTCCTATGTTCTGTATAATTTAAGAAAACGACCTCTAACTCAATGTATAGGTCAAACTTAATTTTTAACCTCCTGTGAGATGAAAATTAACCTTGAGGTAAATTCATAGAATTTCCCAAGTAGAAATTAGAGCCCTGGAAGACATTAATAAGTGTTCTTAGAAAAAAAGGTTATTTGGTTAAAAAGTTTTGAAGCCACTGGGTTCAGAGCTTCATAGAGGCCTCCAGCGCAGGACTTCTCAGAGCCTCTAATGTACTAATGCAGAATATGAGCTTCCCAGAGGGCTGCAAGCAGCATACAATTATTTAATTGTGGAAGCTCCCACTCAACATTTTTTAGCATCTTGTGGTTATTGCATTCTTTGGAATATACTTTGGGAAATAATGATCTTCTCTGACACTCCTCATTGTATAGTTTAGGAAATCAAGTTCAACAGAGTTTATGTACCTTATAGTTAACATCTTAATTTTGTGTCTGCCTATGAGATGTGACTGTAAAATAACACAAGGTTTGCTTCCAGGCTCACATGGTTGTTGGCAGCATTAAGATCCTCGCATGCTGTTGACTGAGGGCTTCAGTTTCTTGCTGTCTGTCAGCCTCCAGCCAGCCATCCCCAAGTCTTGCCAAATGGACTTTCCCAAAGTCTTGTTGTTTGAGGAACCAAGTCTTTGGTTCCAACAATGGAGAGATTACAATTAAAAATTTACAAATATAGAAATACTGCTTGGAGATGAGTGTTACCTTTCAAAATGGAACCCACTGCTGTGTTTACATGGAGTGTCTCCACAATCATGCTTCTATTCAAAACAATTTCACAGCTTCTCTTTTGGATATTGCTTTGTTTAGGCTACCACACTTGCCACACAAAACAGCCTGCTGACTGCAGAGCAACAACTGAACAATGATCTGATAGTAGAAAGAGTGCTAGATTAGGGCATCACTCTAGGACATTAGTTGTAGTCTCTACTGCATCATCAACAAGTTAAATGACATTATTTCTTAAACTCTTAGAGTCCCAGTTTCTTAGTCTATAAATCTCGTCGTTAGAATAGCTACCTCAAGGAGTCATTGTTTGGATTAAATGAGATAATGTATGTGGATATCCTTTATAGGAAAAGGGTTAATTGTGTAGTCTCTGGAAGTTGATTGCCTGAGTTAGAGTCTCAGCTCTGCTCTTTGGTAGCTTTTTGACCTTGGGAAAATTATTTAACTCAAGTTTTCCCACTTTTAGAATGGGAATATAAAAGTTCATACCTTTTGGGGTTGTGTGAATTATTAAAATAATATTTATAAAGTGCTTAGCACAGTGCCTGACACATGGTAGATGCTAGATGCTATTAATCTAAACTGTAAAATATTAGACAGATGAATAGTGGCTCTCTTTCAAGAGAATTCTTGATTTTGTTAAGAGTGACTAGATGAGACAGCAAGACAAGAGCAAGATAATTAAAAGCTGGGTGTGGTAGTATGTGCCTGTAGTCCCAATTACTTGGGAGACCAAGGCAGGAGGATTGCTTAGGTCCAGGAGTTCGAGGCTGTAATGAACTATGATTGCACCACTGCTCTCTAGTCTGGGCAACATAACGAGGCTCTGTCTCTTAAAAAAACAAAGAATGATATAATGGGTAAAAAAAATGCCTATAATATTACAAATTTTACTGACCAGACCTGGCTCAGAATAACTAATGTTTGTGTATTAGTTACCTATTGCTGCATGATAATATTAAAACTTGGCAGCTTCAAATAATCCATATTGTCTCACAGTGGCTGTGGGTCAGGAGTTTAGGCATGGCTTAGTTAGGTCCTCTGTAAGGTTACAAAGTATCAGCTGGGGCTGGGGTTTCATCCGAATGCTTGGTGAGGAAGGATTTACTTCCAAGTGCATGTGGTTGTTGGCAGCATTCAGATCCTTGCATGCTGTGGACTGAAGGCTTCAGTTTCTTGCTGTCTGTCAGCTCGCAGACAGCCACCCTCAGGTCTTGCCAAATCGACTTTCCCAAAGTCTTGTTGTTTGAGGAACCAAACACTTGGCCCCTCAAAGCCAACAATGGAGAGAGAGTTTACTAGCAAGATGGGTTACAGTGTTATGTTACCTAATCATGTGCATGTGATAACGTACAACCCATCATTTTTGCCATACTCTATTGGCTAGGAGCAAATCCCAGACTCCACCCACACTCAATGGGAGAGTATCACACAAGGATATGAATAGCAGGAAGCAGAGGTCAGGGGGTCACCCTAGCATTTTCCTGCCACAGATTGTTTCCAAAATCAAGCCCAAATTAAAAGAATGAAGGTTTTGACAGACTATGCCCCTGAAATCAATTTTAGAAGATGAGATTTTTGGAACAAAAGCAGCATGATTGGAATATGTATAGTCTCCCAAGATGGCCACTTTGAGGGGCAATACCTGTTTCAACCAGAATTTACATCTTATCCTGTTGTTCAATGCCAGACGCATTCTTTCTTGGTCAATTCTCATCTATTCTAAACTAGAAGAATTTTCCTCATAATCTACATTTGTTTGTATATTTTATGTAATTCCTTGATCTTCTGTTTTGTATGAACTTTCCCTTAAAGACCTGTCTAGGCTAACAAATAGATGAACTGAAAGTTGTTTTTATTATGTAATAAATCTTAAATATGACCTCTCATTATCTAAAGAGATCTGAAAAGATAAATCTGCCTTTATCTAAGTTTCCTTGATTTTGTGTATTCAGGGTTCTGAATTTACCACATAATAGCACAAGTATTTGCTTCTCTTTGGCTGTGTAGCCCCTTGGGAGTCTTTGTTAAATAGCTCCAATGTCGTTTCTTATACTCAGATACAATCACCAGGTATTTGGTATTGAACCTCACAACATGAGTGTGAAGCTGTGTCACCTGTGCTCACCTATGTAATAATCATCTTGAAAAGAATAACACACGCAGGCAGCACAAAGAAACTGAAGCTTGAGAAATACCTCTCCAAGAACAGTCTTGGGGCATAAGATCATCCTAACTGTGGGGCAAAAGAATGTTAGAACATTAAACAATCATAGGGTATAAAAATGTCTTAAATTAGCCTGATGAAGACTATTTTTAGGTTATGCTTGAACAAGAGAACATGAGGTTATAGCCAACCACATGAAAAATGGAAGGGAGCAGAAAGGGTATTGCTTAGTTTCTACTCCATAAAAATCACAGTGAGCCCATAATAAATGCATTTGGATGTTGTGGTGGCTCCCTGGAATAAAATATTCTCTGAAGATTTTTCAAAACTCTGATCCATTCCCCAGGGTTTGCCAGCCATGTTATTGATTCATTATTTTCACTTCATTTGAAGCATTATTCATCTATGACTTTGGTTTGTGGTTGAGTTCTACTGAGAATAAAATCAGCAAAGTGTTTCTACTTTAACTTCATTTTTCTTTGGATGTTCTTGATAGCACCAACAGAACCCTAAGTGTTTTTGTCACAAACAAGTATATGCTTGTTTGTATTGAAATCCGATATATCCATCACTGAAACTTTGGATTAGGGAGAACATGATGGCTGTGTAAGTCAACTTATAAGTAAACCCAAGGTTTCTTACAAATACTGTTTTGGCAGATTAATATTTATAGGCTTATACTTAAAAAAGTCATATTCCCAGAACAAGTCAGCTTGACCCATAGAGAAAAATTCAGACACTAGCTGTAACAATAGAATTGAACAACAAAATATCTCATCCTCACATTAGATTTTAGTCCTATGTCTGCCCTTAACTTGATATGTGACCTGGGGCCGTTCACTTAACCTCAGACTTCAATATTATGTAAAGGCTTTTGAGGTCTGGAATCCCATAACTCCTAGGGAGACAGAGAGGTGGCAACCTTTTACAAACAGAGTGTCAAATTTCTAACCTCTGATTTCTGGTATTTTCAAGAGATAGCTGAGGTCACTTTGTTTTGACTTCTGTGTACAGGGAAGAGAGAGGAAATACGGGGATGATAAAAGGATGAATAGTGAATCCCAAACTGTCAGAGGGAAAGTGTTATTGATACATTCAACTACCTTTATTGAGCATTTTGAAGTGTGGGACACAGTGCCAGGTATTGCAGAAGGTGTAAAGAGGATTAAGACATATTTTCGGCCTTAAAAAGCTTATAAGATAGAGGAAAAAATAAGAGTTGATACATAAATAAAAGAACCCAAGGCAAGGCAGGGTATGATTATGGCCACGAGGAAGATTCAGACCAGATGTGATTAAAGTTTACATGGAATGATCATGTCTAGTTTGCAGAGGATGAGCTCAGAAAAGCTTTCATTAAAAGCTGACATTTGAAATGAACCTTAAAGGGTGGAGAGGAGGTTTGCTGATGCAAATAGAGGGAGGAAAGCTCTAGGTAGAGGGAGATGGATAAGCAATGGGTTGGAAATGGAAAAAACATCATGGGCTATAGGAATAAAATTGAATAGCTGTATTTGGTGGAACAGTGGACAATTGTGTTGAAAAGTAGGCAGCGGGCTTATGATTTTATCGCAAAGTAATGGCAGCCCAGATAGGTTATATGATTGGGCATCCTGGTTTATGCAGCATGCTGGCCCTGTGAGACAAACTCATTTTCATCTTTATGACAACAGGATGTATTTTAAGGATACAACTCTTATTCCAACAATATCCTCTCTTTACACTGACCAGTATAGTCACACAACCGTTATTTGTGTAATGCAATGCTTTCTCATAGTATTACAGAAATGTATAACATCTTCATTATCCAACAATATAAAGCACCATCCAGCATTCATTTTGCCAGGAGCATTAAGAAAATCTTCAAGGCCTCTGTGTGGAGAAAACCACTCTCTGTTTAGCGTATCCTCTTGAACATCAAACTTGTCTGGTTCTCAAAGGGACGATTTCCAAACCAGGTTAAAAAATGTAGTACCTCTTTTATTTTTATCACCCTAGTGGCTATCATCTTCACATCCCTTTTGGGCTTAACTATCCTTTAAATATTTTTCTTGCCTTTCTTGGAGCATTTTTTTTCTAAGGCATTACTGAATTCCATGCCAGCTGTGCTATCAAAGAACACATAATGGAATGTATGGAATAAGCTGCTCTTATGCAATTTGCCTTGTCCTTGTCAATTGCAGGCATTACTCTCATGAATTATTTAAACTTCTACTGTCCTGGAGTGAGCCCAGTAGAGCTTCAAGTATTCACAAACAAGTCTCTTGAAGTATTCCTTAAAGAATCATACTCTCAGTGGTAGTGAGTGAAGTAAAGTGGCAGCAGCAGTTGTAGGATCAAAATAAACATTGGGCCAAAGTCCTGAACTGAGGCTCTTGGGAGATTTGGACATTTCTACAACTGATGCTCACTGGCATCTAACTTGAAAGCACTTTTTATTCAAGGAAAGAGGCTGGTCAATCAGGAAGCAAAGCAAAAGTGTAACAACAATTTTAACAAGAAACATTTTCTAGGTGCTTATGTACCATGAACAATGTTCATTCTGGAAAATCCCATGATATGTTTATTATTTTTATTTTTTGAGATGAGGAGACTGAAGCACAGAGACATCAAGTTGCCAAATTGAGATTACCCAGAAAGTGGTAGAGCTGAAACAGGCAGCGATTTTTTTTCAACCTGCATAGCATTCAACTTGTCGGAGCTGGGCATGGCAAATGTGGAGTAGATTTCTAAGGGAAAACCTGTGCTGGTGATGTGATAGATGCTGTAGGACTCTGCCAAGATCTCCTTGAGGGACTGAGATGCTCATTTCTCCAGCTCTTGGGAGTGTTGGCAGCTGGCGACTCTCAGCTGAGTTCTTCTCTGGTCATTGTCCTCAGCAGAGAAGAGCCAAATCACGTAAGGCCACATCCTGTTCCTGGGGCATCCAGAATCTAAACACTTGCCCAGGGGCAGATGGGAGTATAAAGGCCAGGCCCCTTTGCCTTAAGGCTGGACAACTCTGCAAGACCATCTCAGCTCCAGAGCACTATGCGGGATCCTGGGATCCGACTGCCTGTCTACATTTCTTTCCTCCCTCACCACTACTGAGGCCAAAGGCTCTTCCAGTAATCTTCTGCACACCCATCTTCAGCTCAGAAGACTGAACTAAGACTTCTAGTGTGGTGGAAAGAGCCTGGGTTTCAGAGTCAGAAGACGTGGCTTTCCCTCCTGGCTCCAACACTTCCTTCCCAACTGTAAGAAATTGGGTACAGTGTATTACGTTCCTGAGCCTCGGTTTCATTATCCATTCAGTGGAAATGATGATATTCCAGGATGTTTTTAGGATGAAGTAAGATCAATGTATAAGATATAGTGAATGAATCAACCCATGGTAGCCTCCACTCAGCACTGTTCATGGACTGATGAGGAGCACGGAATGCAATCTCAGCAGGAGCTTGGTTTAGAAAGGAGAGAAGCCAGCAGCTTCTCTGGTGAGGGCCAGTGGGGTAGTTTAGAAGGCAGTTGGCCTAAGCAGCATTCCCAGCCCTCTTCAGTGTGAGATACATAGCCATGATTGTCAGCCCGAGCAACTTTACTTAATGGCTTGGCTTCATAGACATTTTCTAAGCTTGGTATGTGCTAACATTTTCATGAATTTGTGTGTATATGTATATATTTATAATAGATAAATCTTCCCTTTTGATTTTCCCTTATAAAAGCACATGGGGTAGAGTGGAGGGGAAGAGAGAGTAAGAGAGTTAAGAGAGACAGTGAGAGAGAGAGAGAGAGAGAGAGAGAGAGAGAAAGACTTTAATCTAGGAGACCTTTTGACGATGACCATCAGTAAGAAGTACATTTTACCTTACTACTTGATACACACATACATACAAAGACACATGCAATCAAAATATAAGTTTCGGGAATGAGTGCATGCTTTTATAATGTGCAATGCACTATGTTTTTTTTTAAAGAATTTACTATTTATTGTTATACACATTAATAAAAATTGCACGGATGGTATGACTTGATTTTGACTTTGGGCAGTCCACTTTGGGACCTAGTTTCTCTAGAATGAAAAGGTTTATACTAAACATTACCTCTTAACATCCTTTTGCTAAAAAAAAAAAAACTTTTATTTTATATTCAGGGGTACATGTGCAGGTTTGTTACATAGGTAAATGTGTGTATCAGGGGGTTTGTTGTGCAGATTATTTTGTCACCTCGGTATTAAGCCTAGTACTCAGTAGTTATTTTTCCTGATCCTCTCTTTCCTACCACCGTCTACCTCTGATAGGCCCCAGTGTGTATTGTTCCTCTTTATGTGTCCATGTGTTCTCATTATTTAGCTCCCACTTATAAGTGAGAACATGCTGTATTTGGTTTTCTGTTCCTGTGTTAGTTTACTACGGATAGTGACCTCCAGCTCCATCCATGTTCCTGCAAAGAACATGATCTTTTTCTTTTTTATGGCTGTATAATATTCCATGGTGTATATGTATTACATTTTTTTTTCCAGTCTACCATTGATGGACTTTTAGATTGATTCCATGTCTTTGCTATTGTGAATAGTGCTGCAATGAACATATGCATTCATGTGTCTTTATAATAAAATGATTTATATTCCTTTACGTATATAGCCAGTAATGCAATTTCTGGGTCAGATAGTATTTCTGTCTTTAGGGCTTTGAGGAATTGCCACACTGTCTTTCACAATGGTTCAACTAATTTACACTCCCATCAACAGTTTATATGCATTCCTTTTTCTCCACAACCTTGCCAACATCTGTTATTTTTTGAGTTTGCAATAATAGCCATTCTGGCTGGGCACGGTGGCTCACACTTGTAATCCAGTGCTTTGGGAGGCTGAGGCAGGTGGATTATCTGAGGTCAGGAGTTCGAGATCATCCTGGCCAACATGATGAAACCCTGTTTCTACCAAAAAATACAAAAATTAGCTCGGCATGGTGGTACGTGCCAATAGTCCCAGCTACTCAGGAGGCTGAGGCAGGAGAATCACCTGAGCCTGGGAGATGGAGGTTGCAATGAGCTGAGATGGTGCCACTGTACTCCAGCCTGAGTGACAGAGTAAGACCTTGTCTCAAAATAATAATAATAATGCCATTCTGACTGGTGTGAGATGGTATCTTGTTGTGATTTTGATTTGCATTTCTGTAATGAACAGTGATATTGAGTGGTTTCATATGATTGTTGGCTGCATGTATGCCCTCTTTTGAGAAGTGTCTGTGCATGTCCTTTGCCCACTTTTTAATAGCATTGTTGGCTTTTTCTTGTAAATTTGTTTAAGTTCCTTATAGATGCTAGATATTAGATCTTTGTCAGATGCATAGTTATGAAAATTTTTTCTCCCATTCTGTAGCTTGTTGGTTTACTCTGTTGATAGTTTCTTTTGCTGTGCAGAAGCTCTTTAGTTTAATTAGATTCCATTTGTCAATTTTTGCTTTTATTGCAATTGCTTTTGGCATCTTGGTCATGAAATCTTTGCCCGTGCCTATGTCCTGAGTGGTATTATATAGATTATCCTCCAGGGTTTTTATAGTTTTGTGTTTTACATTTAAGTCTTTAATTTATCTTGAGTTAATTTTTGTATATAGTGTAAGGAAGGTGTCGAGTTTCAATCTTCTGTATATGGCTAGCCAGTTATCCCAACACTGTTTATTGAACAGGGACTCCTTTCCCCATTACTTGTTTTTGTCAGGTTTGTCGAAGATCAGATAGTTGTAGGTGTGTGGTCTTATATCTAGGTTCTCTATTCTGTTCATTGGTCTATGTGTCTGTTCTTTTACCAGTAGCATGCTGTTTTGGTTACTGTAGTCCTGTAGTATAGTTTGAAGTTGGGTAGCATGATGCCTCTAGCTTTGTTCTTTTTGCTTAGGGTTGTCTTGACTATTTGGGCTCTTTCTTGGTTTCACATGAATTTTAAAATAGTTTTTCTGGTGCTGTGAAGAATATCAATGGTAGTTTAATGGGAATAGCATTGAATCTATAAATTGTTTTGGGCAATGTGGCCATTTTAACAATATTGATTCTTTCTAGCCATGAGCGTGGAATGTTTTTCCATTTGTTTGTGTCATTTCTAATTTCTTTGAACAGTGGTTTGTAGTTCAGCTTGAAGAGATCTTTCACATCCCTAGTTAGCTGTATTCCTAGGTATTTTATTCTTTTTGTGGCACTTTTGTGATTTGGCTCTTGGCTTACCTGTTGTTGGTGTATAGGAATGCTAGCGATTTTTGCACATTGATTTTGTATCCTGAGACTTTGCTGACATTGTTTATCAGCTTAAGAAGCTTCTGGGCTGAGAGAATGGGGTTTTCTAGATATAGGATCATGTCATCTGCAAACAGGGATAGTTTGACTTTCCCTCTTCCTATTTGGATGCCTTTTATTTCTTTCTCTTGCCTGATTGCTCTGACCAGGACTTCCAATACTATGTTGAATAGGAGTGGTGAGACAGAGCGTCTTTGTCTTGTGCCGTTTTTCAAGGGGAATGCTTCCAGCTTTTGCCCATTTAGTATGTTGTTGGCTGTGGGTTTGTCATGGATGGCTCTTATTATTTTGAGGTGTGTTCCCTCAATATCTAGTTTATTGAGAGTTTTTAACATGAAGGGATGTTGAATTTTATCAAAAGTCTTTTCTGCATCTACTAGATGATAATGTGGTTTTTGTTTTTAGTTCTGTTTGTGTGATGAATCACATTTATTGATTCACTATGTTGAACTAACTTTGCATGCCAAGCATGAAGCCTACTGCATCATGGTGAATAAGCTTTTCGATGTGCTGCTGGATTAAGTTTGCCCATATTTTGTTAAGGATTTTTGCACTGACATTGCCTGAAGTTTTTTATTTTTTTATTTTATTATTATTATTTTTTGTATCTCTGCTAGGTTTTTGTATCAGGATGATACTGGTCTCATAGAGTGCGGTAGGGAGGGGTCCCTCCTTTTCAATTTTTTGGAATAGTTTCAGTAGGAATGGTACCATCTCTTCTTTGTACCTCTGGTGGAATTCAGCTGTGAATTCATCTGGTCCTAGGCTTTTTTCGGTTGGTAGGCAATTTATTACTGCCTCAATTTCAGAACTCATTTTCAGTCTGCTCAAGGATTCAATTTCTTTCTGGTTCAGTCTTGGGAGGGTGTATGTGTCCAGGAATATATTAATTTCTTTTAGATTTTCTAGTTTATGTGCATAGAGGTGTTTATAATATTCTCTGATGAGTGCTTGTATTTCTGTGGGGTTGGTGGTAATATCTCCTGTATCATTTCTGATTGGGTTTATTTGGATCTTCTCTTTTTCTTCTTTATTAGTGTATGTAGAGGTCTATCTATTTTATTAATTTTTTCAAAAAACCAGCTCCTGGATTTGTTGATTTTTTTGAATGATTTTTCATGTCTCTGTCTCCTTCAGTTCTGCTCTGATTTTGGTTATTTATTGTCTTCTGCTAGCTTTGGGATTTATTTGTTCTTGGTTCTCTAGTTCTTTTAGTTGTGATGTTAGGTTGCTAACTTGAGATCTTTCTAATTTTTTGATGTGGATGTTTAGTGCTATAAATTTCCCTCTTAACACTGCCTAATCTGCGTCCCAGAGATTCTGGTATGTTGTCTCTTTGTTCTCACTGGTTTCAAAGAACTTCTTGATTTCTGCCCTAATTTCATTATTTACCCAAAAGTCATTCAGGAGCAAGTTATTCAATTTACATGTAATTGTATGGTTTTGAGTAAACTTCTTAATCTTGAGTCCTAATTTGGTTATGCTGTGGTCTGAGAGACTGTTATGATTACAATTCTTTTGCATTTGCTGAGGAAAATTTTACCGTTGATTATGTGATCAATTTTAGAGTAAGTGCAATGTGGTGATGCAAAGAAAGTATATTCTGTTGTTTTGGGGTGAGGAGATCTCTAGATATCTATCAGGTCCATTTGGTCTAGGGCTGAGTTCAGGTCTTGAATATCTTTGTTAATTTTCTGTCTCAGTGATCTGTCTAAGATTGTCAGTGGGCTGTTAAAGTCTCCCACTATTATTATGCGGGAGTCTAAGTCTCTTTGAAGGTCTCTTAGAACTTGCTTTTTGAATCTGGGTGCTCCTGTGTTGGGTGTATATATATTTAGCATATTTAGATCTTCTTGTTGAATTGAACCCTTTACTCTTATACAATGTCCTTTTTTGTCTTTTTTGATCTTTGTTGGTTTAAAGTCTGTTTTGTGAGAAACTAGGATTGCAATCCTTGCTTTTTTTCTGTTTTCCATTTGCTTGACAGATTTTCCTCCATCCCTTTATTTTGAGCCTATGTGTGTCACTGAATGTGGGATAGGTCTCTTGAAGACAGCAGGCCAATGGGTCTTGGTTCTTTATCTAGCTTGCTACTCTGTGTCTTTTAAGTGGGGCAGTTAGCCCATTTACCTTTAAGGTTAATATTGATATGTGTGGATTTTATCCTGTCATCATAATCTTAGCTGGTTATTTTGCAGTTTTTATGTGGTTGCTTTTTTTAAAATTTTATTATTATTATACTTGCAGTTTTAGGGTACATGTGCACAATGTGCAGGTTTGCTACATATGTATACATGTGCCATGTTGGTGTGCTGCACCCATTAAGTCATCATTTAGCATTAGGCATATCTCCTAATGCTATCCCTCCCCGCTCCCCCAACCCCACAACAGTCCCCAGTGTGTGATGTTCCCCTTCCTGTGTCCATGTGTTCTCATTGTTCAATTCCCACCTATGAGTGAGAAATCATGCTGCTATAAAGACACATGCACACGTATGTTTATTGTGGCACTATTCACAATAGCAAAGGCTTGGAACCAACCCAAATGTCCAACAATGATAGACTGGATTAAGAAAATGTTGCACATATATACCATGGAATACTATGCAGCCATAAAAAATGATGAGTTCATGTCCTTTGTAGGGACATGGATGAAACTGGAAACCATCATTCTCAGCAAACTATCGCAAGGACAAAAAACCAAACACTGTATGTGGTTGCTTTATAGTGTCACTGGTCTGTGTACTTCAGTGTGTTTTTGTAGTGGTTGGTAACAGCCTTTTCTTTCCACATTTAGTGTTTCCTTTGGGAGCTCCTGTAAGGCAGATCTTGTAACAAATTCCCTCAGGATATAAAGGATCTTATTTCTCTGCTTATGAAGCTTAATTTGGCTGGATATGAAATTCTTGGTTGGAATTTCATTTCTTTAAGAATGCTGAATATTGGGTCCCAATCTCCTTTGGCTTATAAGCTTTCTGTTGAGAGGTCCACTATTTGTCTGATAGGCTTCCCTTTGTAGGTGACCTGGCCTTTCTCTCTAGCTACATTTTTCCTTTCATTTTGACCTTGGAGAATCTGATGATTATGTGTCTTGGGGATGATGTTCTCGTGGAGTGTCTTACTGGGGTTCTCCACATTTCCTGAATTTGAATGTTGGCCTATTTAGTTAGGTTGGGGAAGTTCTCATGGATATCATAAAATATGTTTTCTTAATTGGTTCCATTCTCCCCGTCTCTTTGGTAAACCAATCAGTCATAGATTCGGTCTTTATGTAATCCTATGTTTCTTGGAGGTTTTTTTCATGTTCACGTCTTTTGATTCTTTTTTCTCTATTCTTGTCTGCCTGTCTTATTTCAGAAAGACAGTCTTCGGGCTCGAGATTATCTCCTCCACTTGGTCTATCCTGCTATTAATACTGTGAATACATTATAAAATTATTGTATTGTGTTTTTCAGCTCTATCAATTCAGTTACAGTCTACTCTATACTAGCTATTTTATCTGTCAGCCTCTGGAATGTCTTATCACCATTTTTAGCTTCCTTGCATTGGGTTACAACATGCTCCTTTGGCTCAGTGAAGTTTGTTTTTATCCATATTTTGAATTCTACTTCTGTCATTTCAGCTATCTCAGCCTTAGCCCAGTTCCAAACCCTTGCTGGAGAGGTAATACGGTCATTTGGAGGCAAGAGTCAGCCACCTTGGCCCTAAATGGCCCACTGTATTCTTTCCTGTTCAGTCCATTCCACTCCACTCTGTTCCATTCTGTTTTGGAGGAGAGACCAATCTGAATGTGCCCAGAGACTTGTTTTCTTTCCTTTTAGCTTAGTAGAGAGCTGGCTCAGCAGATCTTAGTCATGCAATGAAAGAGCAGGGCTGAGCTCCATAGTCTCCTCATCATTTCCTCAAGCAGGCAGCCCCTGCAGCTACATGGTTCCTCAATGTAAGTATGCAGAGTGTCATGTGTGTCATGGGGTATATCTATAACTACAGATTCACTTGCTGGGTACATCCAGTTCAGTCAACTCAGCAGGATAACGAGAGCCTAGGAATAGGATCTCATGCACATTACTCTTTCTCTGCTTGTGCATTTTTTTCCCCGCAAATCCTATTTTGTATTTACGTTGCATGGTAATGGTGGGAGGTGTATTTGTGTCCCCTTTGCATGCCAATTTCATTTTAAGAAGGACTGTTAGCCTCATCAAATCAAAAGTGTTATATCCCACAGCTTAAAAAAAAAGCCCCTCTGATCCAGCTAGTTGTACCCTTACTGGAAGCAATATGACAAGAAAACCTGAAGCACTTGTTTGGAGCACAATTCCCTGGATGAGAAGAATTGTGCTCTTCCTTTACATTTGTTAATTCTCAAAAGGGAGCTTGGCCAATGGATCTTGTGGCAAAGAAAGCTTAATTTCTGCTTTTGGTCAAGCCAATCCACATACATTTTTGTTCACCTGCATGTGGGTCCAAGACTACATTTCAGTGAGCTCCTGTCATCTGAGACTCTCAGCTGGGGCAGGGCTGTGCATGCATAGCAAAGCCACCCGGGGAGATGCTTCTGCCTACACTTGTCTCACCAGGGGTAGGATTCAAAATATCTAGTAATGGGTCTGAAGACAGATGCTTGCTGGAATAATGGAGAAAGGCCTTGCTTTGCCAGGCATTCACGGAGTTCATTTGCTGGGTCATAGAAAAGTGGGAAAGGGGCTGCTGTCATGAGGGTGAGAGCTGGGAGCATAGGCTGTTTACCTTGCTGTCTCTCCTCCTGGGGAGCTTGTGCCCCACACACATCCTCCACCTCTGGCAAACTGTGAGACACATCAGAATTGGCTGGAGAGGGGTGTTAGGAAGAGGTTCATCAGGTGTTTCTGGCTTGTCCCTCCTGACTCCAGTGATGAGGACCCCCGTTGCAGAGCAATAAAACACTACCCAAAATGGGGAGAAGCCTTCTCCCACTCTGTAATTGGGTCGTCTTGGCCAAAGAATGTAGATTATAGTGTGGAATGGAGAAAACTGTGGGAATCAGTTGTGGCAGGTGAGGGTAAGGAAGCAAAATGAGAGTTTTGAAAAAAGTTCTTCATGTCCTTCTGCCACTTTGAGTCCTATGGTAAGGTACCTTGAAAATGTGTGTCTTATCCTCAGCACTACTGACATTTGGGGCTGGTAATTCTTTGTTGTTGGGGGCTGTCCTATGCATCATGGAATAGTTAGCAACAACCCTGGCCTCTACACACCAGTTGCTAATAATATTCCTCCGACTTCTACTGTGACAGTAAATAATGGCTCCAGGCTGGACGTGGTGGCTCATGCCTATAATCCCAACACATTGGGAGGCTGAGGTGGGAGGATGTCTTGAGGCCAGAGGTTTGAGAGCAGCCTGGGCAACACAGTGAGACCCTCATGTCTACAAAAAATAATTAAAAAAAATAAGCCAGGCATAGTGGGGCATGCCTGTAGTCCTGGCTACACCAGAGGCTGAGGCAGGAGGATTGCTTGAGCCCAAGAGTTTTAGGCTGCAGTGAACTATGGTTGTGCCATTGCACTTTAGCCTGGGACACAGAGCACAAACAACCCTTTTTCTAAATAAACAAGCAACCCCCCCTTTCCCTGCCAAAAAGCCAAAAAATGGCTCTAGAGCTTGTCAAATGTTCCCTGGGGGCAAAATCATCCTTGGTTGAGAATCAATCATTGCTTTAGATTATGAATACTTTCCTGTGTCCCCATCATTTTATTTTTTTGTCGAAGGGTCAAACCCTTTTGTTTTTCATACATAATAACATGGAAACACTTAATAATGTCCATACTTTTGATTTTTTTTTTTTTTTGAGACAGGGTTTTGCTTTTGTTGCCCAGGCTGAGAGTGCAATGGTGTGATCTTGGTTCACCGCAACCTCCACCTCCCAGGTTCAAGCAATTCTCCTGCCTCAGCCTCCCAAGCAAATGGGATTACAGGCGTGCGCCACCACACCCGGCTAATTTTGTATTTTTAGTAGAGATGAGGTTTCTCCATGTTGGTCAGGCTGGTCTCGAGCTCCCAACCTCAGGTGATCCACCCACCTTGGCCTCCCAAAGTGCTGGGATTACAGGCATGAGCCACTGTGCCTGGCCTGATGTATGTTTTATTATTTTGCTTTGCATCACTATAAAAAAATCCCTGGGCCTGGGTAATTTATAAAGAAGTTTAATTGGCTTATGGTTCTGCAGGCTGTACATGAAGCACAGTGCTGGCATCTGCTTCTGGTGAGGGCCGCAGGAGGATTACAATCATGGCAGAAGGCGAAATGGGAGCCAGCACATCACATGGTGAGAGCAGGAGCCAGAGAGGGAGGGAGGAGACAGGCCCCTTTAAACTACCAGATCTCGCATGAACTAACAGAGACAGAACTCGCTTATTTCCATGGGGACACATCAAACCATTCATGAGAGATCCAGCGTAGTAATTAAAGAGATGCAATTCTTTTTTTTTTTTTCTTTCATTGCCTTGGTAAGACCACCAGAGAGAAGACTGTTAGAAAGAGTTACTAGATGATGAAAAAATGGAGGTTCTACTGGATATTGATTAAAGAGCAATGCTTCGATGCTTAACTTCATAATTTATTAACAAATAAGGATCAACAGCAATATATTAAAAAGTCTTAGGTGTTTCCAAGGTCAGTGTTAGTGATGGAGTCCACACTGAGCCCTTTTCAGAAATGAAATATGGAAAAGTTTACATGGCCTTATTCAACACACTCTCAATTCAGTGTCAGCTTGCCCCATTCCTTGTCCTGTTCTTGGCTAGGTTTCTCTTCCCTCCTTCCAAACAATGTTTGCTGGGAGATGCAAAGTACTTTATCCTAAACAAAACATAATGGAGGAAAGGGAAGCAACTGGGAAAATAATAGTAATCAAATGACGCATTCCCAAGCTTTTGGATGCTCTGGTGTTTTGAATGATCATGCCCTGGTGCCCTCCTCTGGTAAGCAATTGAAAGCTGGCTGGGGGGAGGGCGTTTGCTGACCTTAGAAGCACAGAACCACTCAGAGAGAACGGAATGCCTTTTGTATCCAAGGAACAAACAGTAGTTAGCCTCTCAGCACTTAACAGCCACAGTGAGGTGAAGGTTACCAGAGAAAGCTGGAAAAAATATTGTAAGATTTGCTGGGAAACCTCAATTATCAAAGCTGTTTGGATTACACAAAAAGGAATTAATTTTTTTTCGAGGAGTGTGATTTTTCTTTCTTTCTTTTTTATTGGTACCCATTTCTTGTTGCTCCTTTCTTCTATTAAACATGTACATGCATGTGTGTATACACACACACACACACACACACACACACACACACTAATTTCTGCTGAATCTGCATTTTCTGTCCTGAAACGTAGGGAGATGGAATGGGCCAGCCTTTGCCCAAGTTCTGTCTGCTCAAGATGAGCTCTGTCTTATCAGATATTTCTGTCTACATATTACTTACTCCTGATATCTGCTACAAAAAAATAGGAATTTGAAAATATCTTTCAAAATATCTTTTTTTAAAATAAGACTGCGTAGGATTAATTTTCCCCCATAACAGAGTATTATATACCTGCCTACCTTAGAAAAACTTGAATTTAAACAAAAGAAAGTGGAAAGGAGAAAAAGAAAAGAGAGTGAATGAGAGACAGAGAGAGAAACAGACAGAGAGAGACTGAGGAGGAGCCTATGTAGGTTTCTACCATCTCAAGGTGACCGCCAATAGGCCTTTGATAAACGTTGTATGGTACAGAGTTTTGCAGTTGATATAACATATTGGAGGCTAACCTCATTTATCTTCGCTCCCTTTGTATTCTCAGCAGAGCCTAGTACAAAGTAAGAGCTCTATAAATATTTGTTGAATGTTAATTATTTTTACTGTAATTGTATGTTACTTAAAATGAACTAGTGAATAAAAGGAATTGGCCAGCCACAAGTAGGATCACAGAATGCTGTAAGCAATCATTTTGGCTAACTCTTCATTTATTGAGGAGGGGCATCAGGCGTGGAGCTCTTTAGATACTTGCCAAGGTCTAAAGTGGCAGAGCCAGTAGACAGACCCACCTCTTTGAATCCCAGTATTTTCATAATCAATCATTTATAATCTAAAATCCTTCTGATTGCAGCTTCTCAGAAATGCCAAATGATGTTTGTTTATTTAAAATCACTTTTATCCTTTAAGCTTCCAAGAAAGTTTGAAGATAAAGGCAACATTTGTCTTTGAATTTCCCTTTATCATTGGTTTTAAGGCCTTACAGCACATCCTATTCACTCTTGGGGATTAAAAAAATTCAGATGCCCAGGTCATTACCCACATTTCCTGAATCAGAATGTCCAGGACCCAGATACTGATATTTTAAGAAACACCTCCCAGGTGATTATAATACTCAGTGATTATAATACTCAGTGATGTTGGGAACCACTGCTCTGGATAGTAAACTTTCTTTCTTTGACAGTAGTTCCAAAGTCCACTTCCCACTGAGCTGAATTTGATGTTCTCACTCTTTGTGAAAATGTCATACCATCATAACATTCCATGACTTTCCATCAGGTTGGTACATTATTAGGGTGTATAAATGGAAACTTTCTTTGACTTTTTTGGTGAAGTCAACAAAAACCAACTTCCAATATTTATTCTCCTCTCTTTCTTCATGAAAGTTTTCTGCTGCTCCATGTGGCTGCTCCACAAAAAACCACACCTCCAGCCTCTTTTGTGCCTAGCTTTAGCCATGTGACTTGGTCTGGCCAATGGGATGTGAAAGAAAGTAATCTGTGTAAATTTGGATTGCACCTTTAAAAGAAAAGAAACTTGCCCTCCCTTTCTCTCATTCCTACTTGATTCATGCCAACTCTCATCGAGACTATTATGTGACAGAGAAATAAACATCTATCTTATTTAAGTCCCTGTAGTTTCGTCCCTTGTTGCAGCTCAACTAGTGCAACAGTCTGATAAAGTCTAAATTATAACTCTGGATTTCCTGGATCTCATTTCCTTTGTTTATTACCCATGACATAACACATAATGAAGTCTTTCAGGGCTAGAATCAAGTCTCTGGCATTTTTTTCTAGTTCTGAAAGCCTGACAATGCTAGCCACACCTATCTATCCAATAACTATATGTCAACCAATGCCAGTCTGTCTACACACCAAAATAAAAAAAAAGGGGGACATACAATTTCATTCTAAGACAGTGATATGAATCATAGAAGGACATCGTGACTGAGATGATCACTCAGTCATAGAAATCCATATTCTCTTCTTCTGGAGCACACAGTTGAATTACATTTCCCGGCTTCTCTGCATCTAGGGGTGGCCGCATGACTGAATTTTTGGTTCATTCTGTTAGATCAATATATCTTTAAATCTCTTTACCTGCATTCACATTGTTTACCACTCTAACTTCTGTTTCTATCTTTCTTCTCTACTTAGGTTAACTTCCCTTGGAGTCCACCAAAATTGGTGTTCTTAAAATCAACCTCATGCTTCCTCTAAATTGAGAAACGCTTTTCCCCACTGCGTCCTGTCACCCTATCACAATGTTCCAGCCATGTCCAACATTCATCTTTGGGTTGCATTTAGAGAGAAACTGTTGATTCAGAAAACTAAGTTCACACTAATGTGCGTGCTTTCTACTTCCAATTAATTTTTCGTTGTTCTTTTCTGCAGTATTGTTTTTATATACTTCTTATTTCCAGCCTGTCTTGGGCTGTATGCCACATTTCCGGCCTTGGGAAAAGTATGTCTGAAAGAGCATAGGAATATCTTTTACAACATTCTGCTTTCTCTGACAACATAATGCCAGCTGCAATCTTTGTTTCTGTTTGTTCTTCAATTGTCCTTAGAGTAGGAGCATTTGTGTATTTCTAACTTGGGTATTCTCTTCCATTGTCAGATGCCAATTATAGCGTATGTTGGTGGAACTAAAACTAAAACATGTAACCAAATCAATGAATGCTCATTAATAAAATGGAAAGTACAAAACTTGAAGCATAGGTATCATTTCTAGCAGCTTACTTCTTTGCAAAATAAAAGATCGACTGTGTAAGGAGGTACTCATGTTAGTGCCCAGCATACAGTTTTAAATGTCAGATGCTCATAAAGTGGCCTTCAAAACTCATTTTGCCTATATACAGACTAATTTTGTCAGAGTGTGAATTTACTTTGCCTGCTGCTAACAGAAGAAATCTCAACTCTTTAATGTGGCCCACCTCGATCTACCCCCACTGGGGTGTCCAGGCTACTTCCGCAACATTGCCTGGGTGCCTCTCTGTTCACCTTCACCTAAGGATACTACTGGTATTATTTAGGGTAACACAAGCTCCTGTCACAAGTAGACCCCAATGCAGAATGATTCAAACACAGTAGAAGTTCATATATGTTTTACTCACTAAAGAATCCAACGTAGGTGCTCCTGGTAGGCAGGAGAGCTCTCCTCCATGAGGTCTAGTCGAGAGTCAAACTGATGAGAGCTCTGCGGTCTTCAGCACGCAGCATCCAGAGCTGCCCTGGTCATCTTTGTTCCAGCCAGTTAGAGGGTAAACTGGACAGAAAGCCCATGTGAGGGGTTTCTGGGCCAGCCCCGTCAGTCATCACTTCTAATCATATTCCATTAGCTAGAATTTTTAGAAGGGTGGCCATACTGAATTGCACAGGAGTTTTAGGAAAGATAATCTGGCCAAGTGTAGAAGAAGAGGAAATGGATAATTGTGAACAGCTAGTAGCTTTTGCTACACACTCTTTTATGACTCTGTCCTTTTGCTCATACAACTTCTTTAGTCTACTTAGTTTTCAAGATCTAGCTCAAAAGCAACCTCTTTGTCTAAGCCTCCTAGTTGCAATGACTTGTTCCTTCCTCTGTCTTCCATCTTGAACCTCTGTTATGGCCACTTTTGAATTCTACTTTGTGCTCTGTTAGTTTTTTATACATTGGCCTTACTCACTTAACTGTGAGCTCCTTTAGCACACCACCATATTGCGGTGGGGGAAAGCAGAGGTGTGGGGGTCACACAGGAATGGCTTTAAATCAGCTGTGCTACTTTTTAGCTGTGAGACCTTGATCAAGTCACTTTCTCTGTCTTCTCATTTTCCTCACCTAAAGAACGTGAGTAATACTGCATAGTGTGGTAGGAAGGGCTAACTGAGATAATACTTGAAACTTCCCGATGGGATTTCGTAAGAATAAATTCTCTGTAGATGTTAATGTTGCAGCCCTTTGCCTCTTCTATAGTGATTTTTCCCTTCATTGGCATTTAAAAAGATGCAGCTGAATTGAGCTCTGAGTCCTCTGCCTTCACAGCACTACAGTAGCAGAGGTTCAAGTCAAGAGCATGAACTACTAGTATATCCAGCATGGGCAATAGAGGCGAGGACAGAAGGAAGCCACTTGGAATAGCGTCAATATGTTAGCTATGTAGGCGTTCACTCAGCTCTGGAGGACTCATCGCCTGCTTAACGAATTGTGTTAACTCCAGCCAAGCTTGCAGCTGCCTCTGATGACCTTTGAGAATTGCTGTACACCAAGCAGCGGCTGCTTCATTGCAGATAAGGCCAGAGGCAGCAAGCAGAGCTCAAGCCAGGGCTGCCCCAGGTGACCCATTTAAGCCTCTGCCAAGAGCTACTGGGGCACTGGAGTGAGAAGAGAGGGGTTAGGGGAAACTAGATACCAAGAAAATGGCAGAAAATGCGTCACAGATGATTTTACCCAGTATTGTTTACTCTGATGCCTATCCCTGTTCAGGCGCTTTGGAAAGTACTATTTTAGCCTCAGGCATTTGCCTGGGTGAGGTGGAAAAAAGAAGACGAAAGGATGTAGACCTTTGCTGGCTTATTGTTGTTGCATCTTTAATTTTCCCCAAGTGAGATATTTCAGTATTATACTGGAATAGGTATCCATCCCGAGCTGAAGAGCCATGTGGAGCAGTGGTTAAGAGCAGGGCAGTGGAGCCAGGCCACCTGGTTTGACTAGCATCCTCACAACTTTTTCCCCCAGCTTTTCTGTGTAATTGACAAATAAAAATTGTATATATTCAAGGTGTACAAAGTGATGTTTTGATATATATGTACACTGCATACATATATAATACATACACTTATTTATGAATACATATACATACATTCATGCATACATCATGAAATGATGTATACAATCAAGCTAATTAACATCTCCATCACCTCACATAGTTAGTAGCTTTTTTTATGATGAGAATCCCTAAGATCTTCTCTTTTAGTAAATTTCAAGTGTACAGTGCATTATTATTAACTATAGTCACCATGCTGTACATTAGATATCCAGAACTTGTTCATTCTGTCTGACTGAATATTTGTACCCCTTTACAACATCTTCCCATTTCCTCCACTCCCAGCCCCTGGAAACTGCCATTATACTCTCAGTTTCTATAAGTTTAACATGTATATATTCCAAATGAATGAGATCATGCAGTATTTGTGTTTCTGTGTCTGGCTTATTTTACTTAGCATAATATTGTCCAGATTTATCCGTGTTGTTGCAAATGACAAGATTTCCTTCTTTGTAAAGGCTGAATAATATTCTAGTGTGTTTGTGTCTGTGTGTATACATACATATATATACCACATTTATATAGACACACCACATTTTCTTCATTCATTCATTCATTCATTCATTCATTCATTCATCTATAGGCATTTAGGTTCTTTCCATATCTTAGGTATTGTGAATAATGCTGCAATGAACAGGGGAGTGCAGAGATTTCTTTGACATACTGTTTCATTTCCTTTGGATATATACCCAAAAGTAGGATTGCTGGTTCACAAGGGAGTTCTAGCTTTAATTTTTTGAGGATCCTTCATACTGTTTTTCATAATGGCTGTACCAATTTACACTCCCACCAACAGTGTGCAAAGTTTCCCTTTTCTCCACATCCTCACCAACACTTGTTACCTCTTATGTTTTTGATCATAGCTTTTCTAACAGGTGTGAGGTGATGTCTCATGGTGGTTTGAATTTGCATTTCTCTGATGATGAGCGATGTTGAGCACCTTTTCATATACCTGTTAACTGTTTGTATGTCTTTGGAAAACTGTTTATTCAGGTTCTTTGTCCATTGTAAAATCAGAACATTTGTTTTTGCTTTTGCTTTTGCTATTGAGTTGTATGAGTTCCTTATACAGTTTAGATGTTAACCCCTTATTGCACATATAGTTCGCAAATATTTTCTCCTATTCCGCAGGTTGCAAACTTACAGCTTACATGTTGTATAACTTCGCATCACCAAATTGCTCTGTGCCTCAGCTTCCTCATGTGCAGAGTGGGCCTAATTAATTATCTGATGGAACTGTTTTAGGATTGCATGTGTTAATATATATAAAAGACTTAGATCAGGGCCAATGGTAATTGGGGTATAAATGTTTGTTAGGTAATATTTATATGTATACGAACCAAACAAAAAAACATTTCTCTCCTTTCCTCATCATTTTCCACAGCTAGTTTTATTACACTTCCTGAAGATTAAGAGCCTCCAAACACTTCAGTGGTTACAACAGTTGATTTGACTGTCCCCTAAAAATTCATGTGGAAATTTAGTGGCCAATTGACAGTATTGAGAAATGGTGCCTTTATGATTTGATTAAGTCATAAGGCCCCACCCTTATGAATGGATGAAGGTCATTATCCTGGGAGTGGGCTAATCACCTCAGGAGTGAGCCCCTGATAAAAAGGATGAGTTCAGCCTGATTTCCTGTCTTTCTATCCCACATGCTCACTTCTGCATTCCACCTTTCTTCCATGGGATTGCCCTTGCCAGATGCTGGCACCATGCTCTTGGACTTCTCAGCCCCTAGAAATGTGAGAAATAAATGGATTTTCTTTATAAATTAACCGATCTGTGGTATTCTGTTATAGCTGGACAGAAAGGACTAAGACAGGTTCAGACCTGTTTGGTGGATTAGATGTGTTTATGGCTGTGTAAAGGAATCTCAAGAGGGTTTTTGTCGAGGCAGGGAAGAAAGTTGAGAGATAACTTACCACATGGAAGCCAGAGTCTGGCTTGACTAGAAGATGAATTTTTGAGGTTCAGAGAGGAGTAGATTCCAGGTACAGGGTGGTGGCTGTACTCAAACCTATTCTGTCTGGCTATTGTGGCAGGGGGAGAAAACCACCTATTTGTAAACCGAGAGATACATCAGGGCCCAATGAGTCCTCCTTTGGTATCTGCTGATGGAACGTACTGCAGAGGAAGGGAGGTCCTTCCAGTGTCACAGGGGACTGCTGAGTACTCACAGGGCACTGAGGGCTGAGGGGCTGGTTTCCATGGTGACCAGCAGAGATGTGGGTCCAGGCTGGGGAAGATGGAGGATCCTGCTGAGCAGTTGAGACCCACTTGGCCAGCTCAGTTGCTAGTGGTAGCCAGGATGCATTCATGTCACATGTTGGCTTGTCTGAAAGCAGATGCCAAGATGGAGATTGGTCTGCAGGATATTTACTAGGAATCAACAACTTTGGAAGGACAGAGGGGAAGAAGCAGGACTGGGCAGACAGAGAAGTTAAATAAACTTCAATACAGGCCCAATAATAACTCGACCAGCCCCTTTGGGAGCTCTGGACTGCATGTGCCTGCCAGAGTTGTTCCGAGTGAGCTAATATGGTTGGACCTTTACATCCACCCCCATCAGTCACTGGGTGTGGGCTGTGCCAGGAAAGGAGCATCTCTCTGTAGCTAAGGCAGATTTGGAGGGAGCTAAGCACTGAGATGAGTACTCCCTTTGAGGGGATCTGGGTGTCAAATTTCCGTGTCCACCACAGCTCATCCAGCCACAGGAGGGGAATCTCAGTGATGCTGGAAGAGGGGTGGGAACTCTTCCAAGGCCTGGTGTTCCTATATTAGCAAGTAGGGTTTTGAAGCTGATGAAATGTGTGCGATTAATATTATTGTGACCTTGTTCATACCCATGCCCTGGTGTGGTATGGAGACATTCCAGTTTTTACATGTTAACTGCACACTTTATAATAAAAATAATAGAAATAATGAAAGAAATGACCTAAAATCTCACCATCCCCTCTAGTGATTTGCTCCCTTGTAGTTTTTTTCTCAGATATGCCTGTAACTTTTATAGAGTCTGGTTTTATTTTGTTTTTATGCTAATTTAAAGTGTTAGATCAAAAGTCTAGACACTGTGTGGGTAAAGTGGTCTGGGTGGTAATGAAAGGGGTGTAATGTGGACAGCATGGGTGAGGAGATACAGCATACATCACTGCGCAGCCCAGGCATTAGGTAAAGAATTGGATGGAGGAAATAAATTCTCTTATAGCTCTGACCACCAGCTCCACCCCCCTTTTTTAGAGAAATTAATCTTTATGATTAAATGGGGGCGTTGCTATTGAGAGCAATATTCTTAATATCTTACAGCAGCCTGTTTTTTCTGAGTCATCAGTACAATTTCCCTGAGCTTGTTAGTTTTTGCATGTTTGCCTCATAACAGGCAGCTGCATTTTGGGTTGATTATTTGCATTTTAAAAAATAGGCTGCTCACACTGCATTAAATTTTTATAGCTACTGTGTTCATTGATCAGATCACTCTGTTAGCGGTTACTATTCCAGCTGTATATTTTAATTACACTTGAACAATCAGGCTTTCTTAGTACTTGAATAATTTGCTGAGTTTACTTTTTCCCTTTGTCTAATTCTGACTTAAATTATTTCATTAATGTTGGCAGTCCTGTATTACACACCCTTCCTGGTCTTTTTAAGTCAATTTCCTGGGGTTTTAATTATGTAGAACAGTCAATAAAAGTTGATGCCAACAAAAAAACTATTGAGGCAAACGATCATGAAGGATATATGCCCACAAGATATATTTTATTAACGAACATCCTTGACATTTATGCCAAAACATTAATTAATTCATACCATACCGTATGAGAATGGTCAGCGATTTTATTTTTCATTTAGCTAATGACAAACTGCGGCACAGAGAAACCAGGCAAACTATTGAAAGCTGCACAGCAAGACAGAGGAAAATGATTAGGTATTTCTAGATCAAAGAAATGTTAAAACAAATGAGTTACTTGAAAGCAATCATAATATATTAGACTCTAGTGAAAACACTGACTTCTGGTAACCACATATTTTGTTTTCATATTCAAGAAATTGTAGAAGAAAGGGGCCTAAGCATCTAGTTCAGACGTATTATACTATCTGACTGTGGGCTACATTTGACTCACAGAACTGTCTTCTGGGGTCCACACCATTTTAAATTTTAAATTTGAATTTGAAAGCCTTTAAAAGGGACCTGAACTCTCCAGCTGCTCACC
This sequence comes from Homo sapiens, assembly GCF_000001405.40. Classification (NCBI taxonomy): domain Eukaryota; kingdom Metazoa; phylum Chordata; class Mammalia; order Primates; family Hominidae; genus Homo; species Homo sapiens. The sequence continues at coordinate 57,275,330 of NC_000004.12, forward strand.
CCTGCTTATGGTCTTGTATTTGGCCTGCTTTACACATATTTGTTACCTTCCTGATTCTACCAGGCACTTGAGTTTGCTATACCTGATTGTTGTTCACTACCCTTTCTTTTAGCTAGAAAACTGAGATCCAGAGGGCTGAAGTTGGAAGATACCCATAAAATTACTCATAGCGATCAGTCTAGAACCTTAATTTCATGGATCCAATCCAGTATATTTTCCATAACACCGAGCAGCCTCTCTAAATTTCCTTCAGAGAATTCAAGCAAGACAGGTATTTCATTACCTCTTTTTGGATTATGGAAATAAGGCCTTTCAGCTGTAATATAGATACACAGAGCACATCAGCAGTTTCCCAATGCTTAAAAAGCATGTTAGCTTGGTGTGGCATAGAGAATGTTAGCTTCGAGTCAAAAGACACAGTTCCAGTCTCAGCTGTGTCACTAACTAGAGGCTATTTGACTCCACAGGCTTTAGTTTCCTAAGGGTGTTAGAGTAGATGAGCTCTAAGTTCCTTTTCAGACCTAGGATTCTATGATTCTTTCATGAACTCCAATAAAAGCATACACAGGAGGAAGAGACAGACAAACCATCCCACTAAAACGCCACTGGGCCAGGCAGTCTGTTTTCTTCTGGGAGCACTTTTGAAACTAAGTTTTACCATCCTCACTCAACTTTTCACTAGGATAGAAAATTCAGAACTATATTCTGTATTAGTCTGTTTTCATGCTTCTGATAAAGACATACCTGAGACTGGGTAATTTATAAGAAAAAGAGGTTTAATGGACTCACAGTTCCATGTGGCTGGGGAGGCCTCATAACCATGGTAGAAGGTGAAAGGCCCATCCTCACATGCAGCAGACAAGAGAAGAGGGCTTGTGCAGGGAAACTCCCCGTTATAAAACCATCTGATCTTGTGAGACTTATTCACTATCACGAGAACAGCATGGGAAAGACCTGCCCCCATGACTCAATTACTTCCCACTGGGTCCCTCCCAACAATACATGGGAATTAAAGATGAGATTTGGGTGGGGCACAGCCAAACCATATCATATATCATCTAGGGAAGTACTTATTAGTAAATATGTATATTAGTACTTAAAAGGTCTCTGGAAGAAACTAAATGGATAACCGAGGGGTCTTCAGATTCTTTGATCCCTTTGAGGAGGGTATTCCTAAACTATGGACTGTCATTTTAACTATATCATGAGTTCCTTGAGTAAAAGGGTTTGTTTTTATTTACCTTTGTTTTCTGGGTGCTTAGGACATCCTCTGGTATATAGCAGGTGTTCAATAAATATTTAATGAATTTCAACATGCAGAGGAGGACCATGGAATCTTAGTGCTGGGAGGGGCCTCAGAAATCAAATTCAGCCTCCTTGCCAATGCAGAAATTCTCTGTACAGTACCCTAGGAGGATGCTCACCAGCTGCACCAGTTTACTTGGCCATTTATTCCATGAGTATTCATCCAGTGTCCCCTATGTACTAGGAATGATTTTGGGATGCAGTAGTGAATCAAGGAGATATGGTCTCTATACTAAGAAGCCTGCTGCTTCTTCCTGAACATTACCAGTGACTGGGATACATAAACTATGTGGACAGATCTGCATTCCACCAATGGCCAACTCTTGGCACTAATGATCTTCCTCTGGGAAAGAAACCCTTATAAGGCGATACTAGTATTGGTTCTTGCATGTGTCCCCGCAGATTGTTTTAAGACCTTCAGTATTTCTGAGCCTGTCTGCATTTATGAGAGGATGCCATCTGTCTGTCATCCAGACTTCGTCTTGAGCTCAGTCTCAGCCACCATTTAAAATCTCTTAAACTACTAGGATGTGGGAACTTATCTGTGCTAATGACCACCTACCTTCAGGCCAACTAGGGTCATGCTTGGTCCTGGGAATGGGGGAAGGAGATGACACTCTGCCTGATCAGCCAGTAAAATCAACAGTGGCCTGCCATGTTTGGAAAGATTGCCTTGTGGCCTGACTTCCCATAAAGTTTTCTTGCCCAGGTGACAGAGGCAGTTCAGTCTTTTCTCCAAAGCCTCAATATGTACGTGGTTCAAAACTTATTTTTCGAAATATGAATTAAGAAAATCTGAGTGAGCATGGATGGGAAGCAATATTGCTGGAGGACAGGCTGGGCCTCAACACAAAGTTATGAAACATGCCCTGTTTCAGGAATGCTCTGTTCAAAATCTTCAGTTGCCACATGTATCCCCTGCAAATGCTTATTGAGCCAAATAAGCTCATTAGCATGGCAGCCTCTATTCTCAGTGGTTTGCTTATGACTTGCCTTTCTAACTTCACCTCCTATTAGTTCCCCTCATAGATATTTTGTTTAGTTAAACTGAGCCTCTCACTATTTACTTAAGCATCCTCTATATTTTCTTCCTTCTAGTTTTTGCTTAGGTTTTTCTTTCATTTTAGAATTCCCTTCCCTCTACCTAGAAGACTCTACCCTCCAATCTGTGCATGCCAAAAGCCTACTCATCATTTAAGGTCCATGAAGTATTCCTTAATTCATGATGGTTCTTCCTCTCCCTCAACTTCCTCCCTAGCTGGAAGTATTTTCCCTCTATTTCAAGCTTCTTTAGAACTTGAAGTATGCTTCTCTTCCAGTATCTGTTTTAAATAGAATATAATTATAATAGCCATTAAATGGTAATTACATCAGGTTAAGCTCTTTCAAAACAGTGTCCTTGTCTGATATCTTTGAGTTTTCTACAGGTCAAGCTGAGTGTTTTGCATTCAACAATATTGAATAAATTGAATCATTTACTCTCAGAAGATGCCAAAGAGGTACAAATATCTAAACATAACCATTAAAAATGGAGTCACTATATAGGCTGGTCTCAACACTATATAACATTAAAAAAAAAAAAAAGACACCTGTTTGGAATTCTGAGCCTGTTTAGAGTTCTAAAAAACTTGAACAAGCAACTTTCATCTTTAAAAACGTAGTCTTTCCAAAATATAGCAAAACAAATAAGCAAATGAAATACAAACAAAGCTGAACAGAAAGGATTTACAGTCACAGTATATTCTCAACCTGTTAAAAATCATCTTTTCCCCCTGCCTCTTTAAAAATGTCTCAAAGGCGTCCTCTATCTCTGCCTGAGCACCCCACAATCTCCTACCCTCAGCTTTTGCAGGTTCCCCGGGCTCCCTAGTGCCTTCTCTCTGCTCTTGCCAGTAGAAACTCAACTATTCTTTTTGGTTTTTCCAGTTTTCCCCTCATCAGTGCCCCCATCAGGGTCACAAAAGCATACCAGTTGGGGGATCTTGGTAAGCCAGAATTCCTCTGGGTGGATGTAAGTCAGGGATTTTGTGGGTAACCCCCTTCTCCACTTATAGAAGCTGTTATGGTGCATTTAAATTCACTAAAGACAGCCTGAAATGGGTGTTCCGCTGAGGATTTCTGAGACAGGGAATTGCCATTACTTCCTAACTAAAAAAGAGCATGTAAGAGCTTGCTCTGGGGTTAGTTCCTGACAGCCTCTTTTTGAGTTGGGCCTTTGGACCAAACAACCTCCAACCAAGGCCTGTGGGACAGTGGTCAGCTAAGAGGAAGCCGGCCTTGCTGCTGGTTGGCAGACATCGACTCCCAAGCCACACATGAGAGTGTGAAGAGCCGGCACCTTCAAAACCATTTGTTACCCTCGATGACAGGAGGCTGCCCCTTCCCGGGGTATGAGTTGACAGTAAGCATTTTTCAGCTTGTGCTTTCAGAATGTACCTAGTGTGGTATTTTTTATTCCAATGCTGCTTGACTTGCTTCATTTGCTTTTATGACAGTGCTTGGGTACGATTAAATGACAATTTAATGCATATAATAACTCATTGAAAGTTTTAGCGAGGGCTTGAATGAAGGTGATGGGGCTTGAGCACATTTTTGAGCAGACTCTACAGTGTAAGCCTAAGCTAGGGGGTAACTTAGGGAGATTTCTTACCTTAGAACAGCTTGAATTTCTACACCTTTCTCTTTAATTCAGCAATTTTTTCATGGCATTTAGTCCTGTATCTCAGTTGTGTAAGAAGGAACACAGGGGGTTTTGGGCTTAATCCCTGCCTCCTGTTCTTTTATATCTTCTCGTGATTCATAAGACATCTGAAAATTATCTTTGGTCACTGAAGTTCCTCTTAGCCCCAGGCTCTACGAACCAGGAACAGTTTGGAGGGCTTTGAGGTTTAGGACACAAAGGCTCCAGCCTCTTGTTCTTTTCCTGTCAGAACGTGAAGGGAATATACCTTGTCATTTATTTGCCTCATATGTGTCTTCTGAGGATGGTCAGATGATGTTTGGTGACTTATTTTGCCGCCATCCAGTGAGTAGCTGGTGGAGGAGAGGGAGGATGGGAGACAGGTGAGTTTTCTTTCTTCTGCAGGAGATCCCAGCCTGGACCCAGGGACTTGGCAAAAGGGAACAGGCACTGCTATCCCTAAGCCGATGGTGCACTGTCCCCACCAACTGCTGCCTTCTGGGGCTGACTGCTGTGCTTGTGGCCCAGGAAGGGTAGAAAGTGATGGAAATCCTCACCCAAGGGCTATTTCCAGCTTTCGGTATCCTCCTCCAAGTGAAAGTGGGCTGAGTGGGTTGGAGAGTGGCTTTTTCCTAGGACCAAAGCTTTTGGACCTTAAGCTCTTAATAGTCTGCTAATGACCAGAAATTAATTTGAAAATTAAAGTTTTTTTTTCCTTTACCTTTTCAAACTTCGAAATGGCAATTACAGAGCACACCAGTTTTAAAATAGTTTATACGTAACTAACAGTATTTCTCCTTAGGCCCAGAGCTCAGCTTGCTAGGAACCTAGGGCGCCTGCTCCCCAGGAGGAAGAATTGCCTAAACTTCAGCACAGACTGAAGCAAAACTGCTGAAATTTGAGAGCCACTGCTTTTCACTCTAGATGTCCTTAATCCTGATTCCAGGAACCTTGAGTTGTCTGCCCCTAGAAGACATTTTTAGATTCCTTGACTCTTCTTAGCTGCTTTGTACTGGAGGGTGTCTAAGCTGTGCCAAACTGGCACGGACAGAAATGGCCCAGTTTCTAGAAATGTGACCTATCACGATGTCTTTTTTCCTTTTAAATTATTACGTATTAAAGTTGTGTTTTAATTCTTAAGTTAGTCCTGGGTGTCATTTTGGGGAAAAATAGCTTTCTTTCTCTTTCATAACTATCTCTTGCCTCCAGACCAATCAGTAATCCCAGTGTAATGACTTTAGCTTGACCACCAGTCTCTGCTTTATTGCCAAGCAGAGTCTTGCAAAAAGGACAGAAAGTCAGGTTTCAGCAGCTCATTTCCTTCTTCTCTGAGAGGCATCTGAGCAGAAGTATCTTAGCACAGCTGACTGTGAAGGGGCTGTTGAGAGAGGCTGAGTGGAGTGTGAGTGGGCAAAGAAAACAAAGCTTGGAGTCTCTTACTGGGGAAACCTTTCGAATCCAACTGGAAATACATGTCTGAATTACAGAAGCTTTTGTTTTATTTGTTTTGCTTTTTCTTATATAAAGAGGCAGTTAGTTTCTACAAAGCACAACAATCGTGTTTTGGAATGTCATATTTGACATTCATTTGGTTTGTGTTTCAATGCTTATTTTCAAAACAGGTTCAAGAGATCTATTCTACAGCATGATGACTGTAGTTAATGACAATATATTGTATTCTTAAAAAACACTAAGAGAGTGGAATGTTGTGTTCTCAACACAAAAATGATAACTATGTAAGGTAATGCATTTGGTAACTAGCTAGATTTAACCATTCCACAATGTATACATACTTCAAAACATGATGTACATGATAAAAATCATACCTACGATTTTATATGTCAAAAAATAAAAAAGAATGGATTAAAGACAGACTTATTTTGAAATGTAAAAGAAAATTGTGAGAGAACAGAAACACAGAAAAAAGCAACCAAACAAACAAAAAAAACACAACAAAATAGGGGCAAAGAGAGTGGTTTGAACATTCTGAGAATAACAGGGTAGCCAGAGCAACAGTGGGGATGCCACGTAATAGGGCAATCAGAGGGAGAGCTGAAATCACAACCTCTCATTTATCCACTGGTAATAATGCCCCCAGAATTACAGGGTGTTTTACTGGAAAGAACATTTGTTTCTATAGAACAGGACTAGATTTGAAAATGCATTTTGGGTTAGCAACCCCATTTCCCCCTGATGGGGGGATAAGGGACGTGAATACCACTTTTGCACTCACTGGCTGATCGTGTGTGTATGTGTGCACCTACATGTGTGGTGGAGGGATGGGAGGGATGGGAGAAGGCCATGCAGGAGGAACGTGAGAAATAAGAAGGAACATAAATATTCTCCCAGTCCTTTGGAAAATGCTTTTGTTTCTGATTTTTACCCTTGGTGCCCAATCCAAGCAGGAGTGAGGAAAGAGAAATGGGCACTGAGTGGGAGAATGATGAAAAAGATGGAGGACCAAGGGGTGCATTTACTCTTTGTCTTTATCACTAGCATCTAATATTTGCCTCTGAAGGCTAAATTTCAATTCTTTAAAAAATATTCAACCTTGTAATCCCAGCACTTTGGGAGGCCGAGGCGGGTGGATCATGAGGTCAGGAGATCGAGACCATCCTGGCTAACAAGGTGAAACCCCGTCTCTACTAAAAATACAAAAAATTAGCCGGGCGCGGTGGCGGGCGCCTGTAGTCCCAGCTACTCGGGAGGCTGAGGCAGGAGAATGGCGTGAACCCGGGAAGCGGAGCTTGCAGTGAGCCGAGATTGCGCCACTGCAGTCCGCAGTCCGACCTGGGCGACAGAGCGAGACTCCGTCTCAAAAAAAAAAAAAAAAAAAAAAAAAAAAAAAAAAAAAAAAAAAAAAAAAAATATTCAACTTAATTTTAACTTTTATCTTAGAGGACTCAGCTGTACGCCACATATTTAATCTAATCAAGATTGCGCTCAGCACTGCTTTCAGTCCTTGCTGAGAGCTCTATTGAGTCATTTATTAACTCGATGACTTAAATGGAATTCACAGGCCAGACACAAATCTAAGAGAGAGGAGGAGGCTAGGCTCAGGAAGGAAAGGGGAAGAGAGTTGGCTTATTTCACCTTGGTAATAGAAGGCCCTGGACAATATAACAATGGTCTCGAGACCCAGGAATGTTTGTTATGAAAAGGATGGAGACCACTGTTTGCCATCAGTATAGAGTGGACAAATAGTTCATTGTTTTATTTTGTTGAATTTTAACAGTCCCTTAGAGGCTGCTCCTGATCAAGGAGAGCTTGCCATTTGGGGGATGTGTCTCTTTGTTCCAGTGGAAGCCTCTGAAGACAGGACGTCCCCTTCACTACTTGCTGCAGTAGCAATACCTTGCCTGCTCACTGATGAATGGCTTGAATGCTCAACCTAGCCATTCAGGCCTACCGAACAGGGAGGTGTGTCCCAGAAAACCCGGCCCAGTTCATCTCAGACATGAAAGTGATGCTGGGACTCCAGCTGCTGGCATGTGAGAAGATGTCTGGTTCATACCAGGACAGTACTCAGGTGACTTCTACAGGTCTTATTTTCCTGGTAGTTCTTTTCCAAGCCTGTTACTGCTCCTAACCAGTTGGAGGTGGGCACATCTGTATGTCACACCCTCTGCTTTCCACTTCTGATATCTTCCTCTATTTTTTATGCTCTCCACTGTGTGAAGGAACAAATAGCAAAGACCCCCTTTTCTGTGATAGGTCTATAGCCTTATCACAATCAACATTCTCCCATGCAGCCACAGTAGCCTGTCTGGATTCCAAGGTGAGATGTGATAAACTGGACGTGGTAGCTCCTGAGTCACCCAATCAAACACTGTGGCCCATATAAGTATCTGATTATAGCAGTTACATTCTCAGCATAGCTTTGGGGCCTGTGACCCCCAAAACAGGAGCTGAGGTACTGGATGTTTCTACATTAGTCTGCAGCAGCAGACACATATCCTTCAGTTTCATCTAATCAACTTCTTTTTTAGCCAAGTAAGCTGAGTAGTTGTTTTCAGTTCAGAATGAAATGAGAAATTCACAAACCATTCCCTAAGCTTGGCAGCTGCTTCCTAGATTCCCTCAACAAGGCCCTCAGACCAGGTCTAGGTGAGAAGACTATGGAGATGGGTGGCAGAGTGCAGCTGTCATCTTCTGTGCTGGAGGACAGAGCTACACTACAGTTCAACAGTGAAGAGTAGGGGGTGAAATTTAGCCTGTGTCTCAAGGCAATGTCAGCTTTCAGGAAGTGGTGACTTGTTTTTTTCCCCCAATTTGCAAAAAGACACCGTCTGTTTGCCAAGCCCTGCATGGAGTGACTTTTTCTTTTTTTGCACACAGATCCTATATATTAGTTCCCCCTTATTTGCGGGGAATATGTTCCAAGATCCCCCAATGTATGCCTAAAACCATGAATAGTATTGAACTTCTTATACCTATATAAATTATTATTTCCTGTATATGTGTGTGTATATATGTATGATATCATAAAGTCTAATTTATAAATTAGACACAGTAAGAGAATAGTAATAAAATAGAACAACTACAACAATATATTGTAATAAAAGTTATGTGAATGTGGTCTCTCTCACTCTCTCTCTCAATATTTCAGTATTTTTGGACCGTGATTGACTGTGGGTAACTGAAACTTGCAGAAAGCAAAACCACAGATAAGAGGGGACCGCTACATGCTGCCACCCTTCTGCATCTAGCATGCCATGGGTCCCATTGCACATTGCAGAGCCAGCACAGGGGCTAAAGAAAAGGTTTAAGGCGATCCATTAACTGTCAATCCACCCAGCTTCCCCCAATAGAGTCATCATACTTACCAAGAGCAGTATTCCATTTTTTGAGATCACAAAGAATATTCTAAAGGCCTGCCCCTCCCAGGGGTCACATTATTTCATTAGCAGCAAAGTATTTGACACAGTTGATTACGAAGGAACGTAATCATGTTATGGGATGGCTCAGAGGAAGTAGGACAAGTGGAGGCAGAATGGAGGACTCTCACTTTCCCTTTTTCTTTTGTATGCAGCTCTCGTTGTCTAGTAAAGGGAGGGATGCTGAGTTACGAAGAAAAGTAGAGTAAATTTCAGGGTATTGATACACTCCCACAAAAAGAAATGCAATGTAAAATGTCCCCAAATATAAATGCAAAGCGTGGAGTTTGTCTTTGGGCTGTCTTCAAGAAACGCGCTTAAATCCAATTGCTATGGTTGCACAAGACTCATCTGATCCACAGGCCTTCAGTTCCACAGGGGCTAGAACTGTTTTGTTTTCAAAGGGGAAATGTATCTGTTTGCCCTCCTTTGCTTTGTAAAATTGAATTGCAGAGAACTCATGAATAATAGAAAGAACACTAAGGACTGTGAAATTAACACTGGCACGAAACAGAATTTCTAAAAGGGTAAAGTCTGAAGGAAGTCTCACTTCACCCTCCCCTAGTCAGGGGCTTGGAAACTGGGGCATCTTAGCATGGGAGGGTGGAATAGGTTGTTTAGAGGTCCACTTTGGTTCCTGCTCTTAGAAGGGTGAATATTTTTAAATCCTTTAGGTTGGATTGGTGGTTCTTGTCTAATGAAGATCTTCAAGTGTGGGAACTACGGTGATTTATGACTCCAATGAGAACCATAGATCAAATGATGACATATGCCCATGGGAGCCATCACCTTACTCTTTAATAATAAAGATAGCTAACTTGTATGCACTAACTGTATGCCAGGCACTGTACTTTACACACATTTTCTCGCATAATTTCATAACTACCTAGTGAGGGAGGTAACAATGATCTCCATTTTATAGATGCAGAGACTGAGGTTCAGAAAGCTTAAGTCACACAGCTAGTAAGAGATGGGGCTGGATGCCAACCTAAGCCTGAATGACTATTGATTACCTCTTTAACCAATCACAGCAGCCCTTCATCTTTATGTGTCATCTTAGCCTTTTGTCTGCAAAGCTGTCCTGCAACCTACAGGGAAGGCCTAGTGACCTCTCTTTTTTCTCCTTTCTGCTCCCCACCAGGCAACTCTCTGCCCTGTGGATGCTTTGTGTTCTGGATCTTCTCCAGGTTGTCTTGGGGTCCTATAGAATAAGCCGTGGGGAAAAAGAAGCATCCTACAAAAGTGTACTTTTTGAGACAAATAATGCTGTGGGCTGTTTCAACTCTGAAGTCACCACAGCATATGGGAACGTGCTTAAAAACTGTGAAACACTGCGTAAATGCCCATGGAGTCTGAACTTTGGAATCAGACAGACCTGGGGGTTTCATTCATTCATTCATTCATTCATTCATTCATGTGTGGATTGTTAATTGACCAGCTGCTATGCGCCAAGCACTGTGCTAAATGCTGAGTTTGAATTCCAGATTCACTACTTACAGCTATGGACTTTGGGGGATTTACTCAACCTCTTTAATAAGAAGAATAATAGTTATGTCTGGGCGTTCTAAGCTTAGGAGCTGGCACATAGTAAGAGCTCAATAAATGGTATTGTTAATAAAAGGATAAAAAGTGATGTAGTTGGGCCAGTGCCCGCTTATATTACTTTCCTTTGGGACCATGCTTGCCAAGGTTTCAGCTAGCTCGTGTGCATCACCAGGGCCTGGGAAGTTAATGTGCTAAACTAAGCTATTAGCCTTTGCAAAGGCCTTTTAGAGAGATAATGACTTAGTGCAAAGCAATACCTAATTCTGGGCACTTGGCAGACTCAATGGGAGTCATTTCAGCAAGGGACTTGTGTATCAAACCATCAAAACCCTGGTTGGTTCTTTGCCTTTAGTAACTGCTTTCTTCTGACAGATAAGAAGCTTTCGTGTGTATGATCAAAGGAATAGGTAGTGCTTAGGAAATATGGATACATTTGTTTTAAATAATGAAAGAATTTCCATTTGTCCTTCTAGGTGCTATCTCACCTCTATTTAATGCGTAGTCCACTGATGTTAGCACTTGAGGTTTTTCAGATGTCCTCAATAACACTACTTGGCTAATCTAATGTGATTCAGCTAATGGGTTTTCTATCAGCATTTATGGACCATCTCATCTATCCACTCTCCTGCCAGAGAAGTGTGTATATGCAGCAGGCCCAAGATATCCTCTATTCTAAAGCAGCTAAATCTGTTTGAAGATCAGTGTATAGAATTTTGGTTTCCATTGCATGTTCTTTGAAACAGAACAAAAGCCATTTTCCTTTTTCTCACAAGTTCATAAAAGAGTAAAGAATGAGTCTTGAAATAGTCTACTTTTTAGAGGAAAGCTGTTTTATTTTCCCCACAAAGGCTAGTGGTTACTCATCATAGCTGTTCTAGGATGATTTAAGTTATTAGTAGGAAATAAAGCAAGATCAGAATTAATGCAGGAAGATTAGACTTGATAAAATAATTCCATTGTAAACCTTTTATTCAGAAATGATACAGACTCACAAGACATTGCAAAGGTAGTGCAGAGAGGCTCCCTGTATCGTAAACTGTTTTCCCCCAGTGATGCTATCTTACATACAGTGTTCCACTCCCTGAGACCCCAAAGAATATTCTAAAAGCCTGTTCCTCTCAGGGGCCAGGCCGGAGGTGAGTGCCTTGCTTCTTAGCCACCATTTCTTACCTGGGTTCATGTGGAGGCTTGTTTAGCAACCTCTGCTTACAATTCAATTCTCAGGACAGCAGTCAGAGCATGTCCTCACTTTTCTCCCCAGCAGCCTTCAGTGGCTTCCACCTCACCCAGAGTTCCAGCCAGCCAGAGCTCTGCCCTGGTTGCAATGCTCTTTCTGGCATTCCTTAACTCCTTTTTCTGCTTAATTTTCCATCTTAGTACTTATCCCTATCTCACATACAACATATTTTCTTTTTCTTTTCTTTTCTTTTTTTTTTGAGATGGAGTCTCGCTCTGTTGCCCAGGCTGGAGTGTAGTGGTACCATCTCAGCTCACTGGAACCTCCGCTTCCTGGGTTCAAGTGATTCTCTTGCCTCAGCCTCCCGAGTAGCTGGGACGACAGGTGCATGCCACCATGCCTGGCTAATTTTTGTATTTTTAGCAGAGAGGGGGTTTCACTATGATGGCCAGGCTGGTCTCGAACTCCTGACCTCGTGATCCACCCCTCTTGGCCTCCCAAAGTGCTGGGATTACAGGCGTGAGCCACCGCACCCGGCCCATATTTTCTTATTTAATCATTTATTATGTCTCTAATTTGTCTCTGTCTTGTTCACTGCTGAGTTCTCAGGGCCTAGAAAAGTACCTGGTGTGTAGTTGGCACTCAGTACATACATGCTGAATTCGTTTGACCATGGATGGATTCTTTAGTCTCTAGTTTGTTAAATCTCACTAATCTCACTCTTGGTTGTTAGGATAGAACAACAAAAATTATACCTCACTGTTGTATAGAGACTTAGAGGTTCTCAGAAACTTTTGTACCTAAGCTATTGAAAAGCAAATATTCAAAATATATCCAGAGAGCAGCAAAAGTCTATTTGGGATTCCAAATAAGTCAAAATTTGGAAGTTGCTATAAAGCCAACTGAAAGCAGAAATCTACATCCTAAAAGAAATCTACATATAAATGAAAGGCACATTAAAGACCCAGATCAAAGGACTAAAGGAAGCCCAGGAAAAGAAAGCAATTGGCTTGCAATCTTAGCTCCTTTCCTAAAATTGCCTCTGACCTAGAGGCAATTTTTCTAACCTCTGGGACTCGTTATTTTTTTCTAGAAAGAGATGAAGTTCCCCCCTTTCTTTACCTTATCATATTTTATTGTTTCAGTCATTTGCTTTGAGATCTTTAAGCTGTAGCATGTTATTTGTAATGCGCCAAGGAAGGTACGTTGACTCATTTGAAACTTTCATTATTGTTAAAACTAATGCAGTGAAGTTGAGCCCTCTCCTGGGGCTCCCCTATAGCCACTGCTTGCTATCAGTAAATATTCATAAATCTGCTATCATGGAAATTAGGTAGAATGCCTCAAAATTACTTTGGGGGCATAAGGAAGGCCCTGAAGAGTGAACTGGGAAGATGCATTTCATCTGCAGATTTGGAATGAAGAAAGTGTTCTTTTTGTCAGTGGATGACATGCTCTACCCTGGAGAAGAATTCCAAGGAACCCAACACATTCCTGTAACACTTATGCAGTGGGTACAGCAGTTCCTATCCACACCAGAGTGGATCCCTCCCGAGGGGCTGGTGGCAGCTTCTTAGGAATTCTCATCAGTAAGGACTGTGGCACCGACTACATTTTAGGTTACACTTTCTTAAGACTCCTTGTGCTAATTAGAGGATTTTCTTTAGGACAATACCCACTTGCTGCCTTCAGTAGAGAAGGTGCCTCAGCATAAAAAATCTCATGGAAGCCCAGCCTCAGGTGTAGAGTTGTTAAATTAGGGGACTTCTGATGGGACCATGCTGTTAAGGCACATCTTACTGCAGAGTTCAATCATCCCCTCCCTTCCCCCTTTCATTACACTCTGTGGTCAAATCCAGGTTCTGGGGTCAAGGGCAGAATGATTGGGTGATTCCGGTGAATTGAAGAAGGTGGTGGGTTTAATCAGAGGCTGTTTCCAGAGACAGACTTCTGTTCTTTAGAATCACTTAAAGGAGAACTATCATTAGGAAATTAAAAGCATCAGCAATATTTGCAGTTGTGGAACGTCAAGGTCAAGAGAAAAAAAAAGTCTGAGAGGGTACTCTTGTCACTGATTTCAAAGGAGCTAATTCTTAGGGTTATTAGCTGCCTCAATTTATAACGCTATGTACTCTTGAACACCAAATGCTCATTATCAAAAATTAAAGAAGCGTGGAGCTGAGATTTGAATTATATTTTAGATAATAGATTTTGGAACATGCTTCATATTGTGAAGACTGACCCGACCTTACAACTAATAAAGGCTTCCAGTGGGCATGGAATCTCAGTATTTCCATGAGTATGAGAAAAACAAGGAAGACGTTCTTTGGTTTTATTTCCAATGTGGTGCCTAGTAGCAGGCAAAATTGTGTAGGAGGCAAAGCTTGGCTTCAGAATCCACAGCCTGCACTCTCCTTGGGTGCTCTGTCCTCAAAGTTTTAATTGTCTACCCCATCTTAATTTTTCCTTGGACAGAAACTTAAGGATCCTCAGTTTTGAAGGATGGACAATAGCTTATTGGGTGTTATGGGTTGAATTGTGTCTCCCCAAATTCATATTTTGAAGCTCTCACCTCCAGTACCTCAGAATGTGACTGTATTTGGAGATAAAGCTTTTAAAGAAGCAGTCAAGATCAAATGGAGTCATGGTGGGGGCCCTAATCCAATATAACAGGTCTCCTTATAGGAAGAGATTAGGACACAGACAACACACACAGAGGGAAGACCATGTGGAAACGCAGAGAGAAGATGGCCATCTGCAGGCCAAGGAGAGGGGGCTCGGAAGAAACCAACCCTGCTAACACCTTGATGTTGGATTTCCCAGCCTCCAGAGTTTGTGAGAAAATAAATTTCTGTTGTTGAAGCTGCCCAGTCTGGGGTATTTGTGTTTTGGCAGCCCTAGCAAACTAATACAATGGGTTTATAGAGTGTTGGAGAAAACCGTTCTAACAGTAGACGTTTAGGCTTCTGCTATCTCTATGGGGGAGTGGGAGGGGATGGTTACATGCCGAGTTGATGTGTGAGGCTGGCTCACTGCACTCCCTCTCTAGCTGGTTTTCACACCCTTGCTCTTCTCTTACTCCAAGGCAACCAACAATTCTGTAATCAAGAGTGACTGCCCATTATATACTGTCACCATCACAGCCCCTTTGTCTGACTTCCGTAGTCCTTTACTGATCCTTGAATTCTTTTTCTGTCAAGAACCTTCTGGGCCTTCCATTTTTATTCTTAACAAACACACTTCTCATGATTCCCTGGGCTTTATTCTTCAGCCAAACAAATTATTGTCATGTCTTGGAGTTGCTTATAATGACTTCTGTGCCTCAGCCCTTGATATTTTACCTCCAAAATGTTTTTTGTCTCCTGTCCCACCAGGCCGTGTATCTTTGCTCAACAAAATTTATCTAAAAGCTCGTTTCTCAGCTTGAAACATTCTGATGGCATCTCTGGAGAAAGAGACTCCCCAGCCATTTTTAATAATTTTTGAAAGTATTTCTGGCCAAAAATATCTTTAATTTATGTCTAAATTAAAGCCCTTACTTTATGATTTAAACCCATTTGCTTTCTTTTTTCTTCTTCTGTTTTCTTAGAATTATGAGAAAAAGGCTGCCATCCTCTTCCATTTAAGAGTGCTTCATAAATTTAAAGCTTGTTATAAAATTGCCTCTTAATCTGTTCTCCCAGCTAAGTACTCTCAGTTAAAAAAAAATCTTTTTCTTATGGGATGTATTTTCTAAACTTTTAATTATTATCTGTAATTTTCTTTTCATAACAAATCTAGACAGAAATATTTTATTTCTTCAATTCTAGGATGCACCTTCTGGTCACATTTTAACATATTAAATTTCAACATTTAATAGGATTCATTTTATAATCCATGACATCTTATTGTTATAAATGGTGGTACTGTTTTTTTCCTTAGTGATAGTTAAAATGAAGGTGTAGCTTGAATGATTAAAAAAAAAAGTGTGTGGGGGGTACTATATTGAAAAAGACTAAAGAGACATGACAATCAAATGCAATACATGATTTTCAATGAGATCGCACATTGAAAAAAGCAAATAGCAATAAAAGAATTTTTTTTCATAATTTGGAGGAATATGAATATGTACTATGTATTAATATGCTCTGGCTGCCATAACAAAACACTACAGACTGTGGGCCTTAATCAACAGAAATTTATTCTCAGAGTTCTGGAGGCTGGCAAGTCCAAGATCAAGGTTCCAGCAGGGTTTGGTTTCTGGGGAGTCTCCCTTTCTGGATTGCAGATGACTGCCTTCTTGCTATGTCCTTACATGTCCTTTTCTCTGAGCAAGGGGGAGAGAAAACAGAGAGTGGGAGACAGAAAGAGAGCTTGGTCAGGCTTTCTGGTGTCTTCTCCTAAAAGGACATGAATCCTATCCGATCAGGAGCTCATTCTTATGACCTCATTAATGTCTCCAAAGGCCCATGGTATGAGTGGTTCTAGTAATTCTTAAAGAGTAGGGAGCACTATGGCCTGAATAGACATTCCCAGTGGTGTCTCCCACATGACTTCAGGAAACCAGCAGAAGAAAAACAGGCAACTTGCTTTCTGGAAAGACAACAAAATATTTAAACACATCTCCTGCACCTGTTGTGTGTACTACTAAGGGAGTGCCTCTCTCAGTCTGCTCTGTGGGATGCTTCTTCTTACTTTATTGTCCCTGTTCTCGATACCACTCAAACCACCAAAACCCAGTACCCTTTTCCTAGAGAACACCCAGTGAAGCAGAGCTAACCCAGAGGAATGGGTTACTGCAGGGGATGTTTTAGTTATCAGTAGGAAAGAGATTTGGGCCATGAGGTTGAGAATGGGGAGTTAGGAGGAGACATGAAAAGACCTGTTAAGTTCCAAAGTGGTGCCTTCTGGGCAACCTTGTGTTTTAATTATAGTCAAGGCTCAGTCCACCTCTTTCCAACAAACTTCATACATAACTAATTCCTGAAACTTGGAATCAGCATTCGTTAAAATTCATATTAAATTGCTGTTTTTTCTCCTTCCTATTTCAGCTAGCTCTTGGCCATTTTTTGCAACTGTTTTTCTTTTTCCTTGAAGGATTCTCTCCTGAGAGCCATTTCTGACCCCAGCCCTGTGGGACACATCATAGACAGGAAGGCCTCACTCTCTATGTTGGAATATTTTTGTACCTCCCCTGTTTCTCCTCTGGCTTCTCTTTCCACGAGGCTGATTCACACATAGAGCTCGCACTGACTTCAAAGGGCTCTGAGGTAAAGTGAGAAATGACTCACAGAAATTTCCCAAAGATATTTTGGATTTATGAAAAAGCAATGGTAATGTTTTAAAAAAGAGTGGAATATTAGTTCTGGAAAATGAGTGAATATTATGAGTGCCAGCGAACCAAAGTCAAAAAATTCTCCTCTGATAGTAGAAAAAAAGCTCTTATAAATTAGTAATACTTGGCAAATGCATTCATCCTTCTGGGGAGAAATTTTTAGGTTTTGTTGTGGTTTCAAAAGCATAAAGATGGAATCTTTTATATCCAATCCCTGCTTTACAAATGTCAAATATCTATCACATTACCTTCGTAACATGAATGTAAAAACTATAAACTATTTTAAGAAAGATATATGGCACATATAATTTAAAGTAGATAGTTTCTGAATTTTTATAAACTTCAAATTTCTCAGGAAAATTTACTTTGCATTTCAAGCAGGATCTAGCCAGTGACTAGTTGTGTCTAATGTCATTTCACAGTTTGGAGAGCATCGCACACCTGTGTTAGGCTGCGACTAAGACTCACTCAGACATCTTCAGAAAAAAGGAAACTTGTTCTAAAGATACAAGGGTACATGGGGGCAGGAACTGGCAATAAAGACAATGAGGCTTTGGGGGCTGGCTCTTTGCTGTCTCTTTGAAAAATTGACCTCAAAAACTTCTCTTGTGCTGTTGTTTACCTGCTTTTTCCAAAGTATTTTCCCTCCCACCTGGCCAGTTGGGACTTAAAGAAATACTCTTGTTCCTTCATTCTGAACAAATGTCCCTGGATCTAGGTTTTTTTTTCTTCCCCAAGCAAATTTAATTAATAATTGCCCTTTTAGAAAATTTGTTTTGAAAGTCAGTCATGTATTAATGTCAATAAGAGACTTCATCTTGAGGAAAAGGGTTAGGCTCTGAATATGTCACTGGAGAAAAAGCATCTAGGATAAAGGCTGTCCTCTGAAAGTCAACCTTATTATATTTTGTTGGTTAGCTGGCAGACATGTCTGACATGTCAATTCAATATTCTTTTTTTCTGTTTTCCAGAATGTTCTATTTCCTCCACTGGAACAGCAACTCTGGCAGAGCAGGGGAGAAATGGTGGGTGTCCTGGATGCTCTTCTCAATGTGGAAACAAACCAAAATAGATGACATTGAGAGTAGAAAAGAGAAAAAAAGCCCAGGATTCTTGCCTATGGCAAGGATGCTGTGAGAAGGGAAAGCTGGCTTAGCTAGCATGATAAAGAAATGTCACAGAAGTCAAAGAAATAGGGTTCTCTGGTTAGGAAGTGAGTGGATGGATATTTTCCTTTGGTCAAAGAGAACTGTCATTTCTCTGCTGCCTCAAGCTTGGCATTCTTTTTGTTGGTCATACGTTCAGTCACACTGAATAACCACTACCTGCCTGCACTGCACCATGAAGGAAAAGAAACAAGATGATTTTATGATAAATTAGTCACTAATGTCTTTTGTTTCCATAAGCCCCTGACTAGAAGTTCATTGGCAAAGTACACATCTGACCTTGAGCTCCTGAATTAGCAGGTAAGTATTTAACATTCTCACTACCAGGTATGTAGCTTCATTGGCATATTAAGAAACAACATTTCATTGGGAAAATATAGCACCTTTTAAAGGGAAGAATACATAATATCTTCCCTAAGTTAAATGGAGAGCATGATCTTCATGCTCTGTGTCTATCTACTCACTAACTCTTCCTTATCAGGTATTATATATTCCTGTTGGCAGTTCGATTTAATTGGGCTTGTGGTAACTGATTCAAGTGAGTACTTTAATTAGGTAATTATTTTGTTATAAGAGCCACTTTCCAGCTTGCTACAGAGAGGGAATTTTCCATTTTTCTCAAGCTAAAAATGGAACCTGTATTCTTTTCTTTTATGACAAAGTGGAAAACGATCAGATAAAGAATTAGGCTGAGATTGTGCTGTAGAACAAAGAAAAATAACCTTGACTTATGTATTGATAAAAGACAAGTGTGTTTTTGAGAAATAAAGATACAATTAGAGTTTCTCAGATTGTGAGTACTGCCACCAGGTATGATCATGCTTTTGAATAGAGTGATTACTCATCCTCTACCTCAGTTTCCTTCCAGAAGTGTAGATTTCTTTCTCAGACCCTATGCAAGAAAATAACTGCAGGGAAAAAAACAAGACATAAAGAAATATTCTTGTCATTTTATTCTGAACAAATGTCTCTGGATCTAGAGTTTTTTTTCCCCAAGCAAATTTAATTAATTATTTCCCTCTTAGAAAATTTGTTATGAAAGTTGGTCATTTATTAACTTCAGTAGGAGATTTTGTCTTGAAGAAAATACTTAGTCTCTGAAATTATTGCCAACGACTAAGAATCTAGGATAAAAGCTATCCTCTAACTCCCACATACTTGTGAGGGCGAACCTTATTGTCTTTTGTTGGTTGGCAGGAATGATTGTAAATAATCTAAGGATACTTCAGATCAAACAAACAATTAGAGTTGACACTAGAAAAGCCAACAAGACCCTAATTAATTGATTTGCTAATAGCTATTTTCTATTTACAGACATTAGCCCAAATTGTTTTTAAGTTGTGACAAGGGCTGCAAGATATGCATTTTCTTTCTCTGAACTCCTGATTACAAGATAGCTTCCCAGTCTCACCGGAACTCCTGATTACAAGATAGCTTCCCAGTCTCACCGTTAACTAGTCTTGGAAATTGTTGTTCCATAAAGGGTTGAGGCTAATTCTAGATAGCTTTCATCTGAAACATAATATTCACCTATCAGCTCTTTGTAGAAGGGTCAGTCAACATAGTAATTATGGTTTGCTTTGAAATATTTCAGCTTTACCTTTTCATCAAGGAAGAAAGAACAAAAGAAAACATTTCTCAATTAAATCCTTTAAACAAATGACGTTGCAAGTAAAACTTTCCCCAATTAATGATAAGAATCATCCTGTTCCAGAAACCCAGGGGCCAGAGAAGGGTTGTGTTCTAGTTATTACTGTGCAATAAACCATCTTTAAATTTAATGGCACAAAACAGCAAACATTTTATTTTCTGTTACAACTTTGTGGGTTGACTGGGCTCAGCCAGGCTATTCTTCTCTTCTATGTGATGTCATGTCATCCGGGCTGCAGACATCTAGGGACCTGACAGGGCTGAAACGTGCAAATTGGTGTGCTTACACTGCTGGCAGTAGGTACTGGTCATCTACTTGGAGCTTAGCAGTTGACAGGAGTGTCTTGGTTTTCTCCATGTGCATTTCTTTTTTTTTTTTTTAAATTATACTTTAAGTTCTAGGATACATGTGCACAACGTGCAGGTTTGTTACATAGGTATATATGTAGCATGTGGTGTGCTGCACCCATTAACTCGTCATTTAGCATTAGGTATATCTCCTAATGCTATCCCTCCCCCCACCCCCCACCTCACCACAGGCCCTGGTGTGTGATGTTCCCCTTCCTGTGTCCAAGTGTTCTCACTGTTTAGTTCCAACCTATGAGTGAGAACGTGCGGTGTTTGGTTTTTTGTCCTTGTGATAGTTTGCTGAGAATGATGGTTTCCAGCTTCATCCATGTCCCTACAAAGGACATGAACTTATCTTTTTCTATGGCTGCATAGTATTCCATGGTGTCTATGTGCCACGTTTTCTTAATCCAGTCTATCATTGTTGGACATTTGGGTTGGTTCCAAGTCTTTGCTATTGTGTATAATGCCACAATAAACATACATGTGCATGTGTCTTTATAGCAGCATGATTTATAATCCTTTGGATATATACCCAGTAATGGGATGGCTGAGTCAAATGGTATTTCTAGTTCTAGATCCTTGAGGAATCGCCACACTGTCTTCCACAATGTTTGAACCAGTTTACAGTCTCACATAGGAACAGGGTAAAAGTGTTCCCATTTCTCCACATCCTCTTCAGCACCTGTTGTTTCCTGACTTTTTAATGATTGCCATTCTAACTGGTGTGAGATGGTATCTCATTGTGGTTTTGATTTGCATTTCTCTGATGGCCAGTGATGATGTTGGCTGCATAAATGTCTTCTTTTGAGAAGTGTCTGTTCATATCCTTTGCCCACTTTTTGATGGGGTTGTTTGTTTTTTTTCTTGTAAATTTGTTTGAGTTCTTTGTAGATTCTGGATATTATCCCTCTGTCAGGTGGGTAGATTGCAAAAATTTTTTCCCATTCTGTAGGTTGCCTGTTCACTCTGATAGTAGTTTCTTTTGCTGTGCAGAAGCTCTGTAGTTTAGTTAGATCTGATTTGTCAATTTTGGCTTTTGTTGCAATTGCTTTTGGTGTTTTAGACATGAAGTCCTTGCCCATGCTTATGTCCTGAATGGCATTGCCTAGGTTTTCTTCTGGGGATTTTATGGATTTAGGTCTAACATTTAAGTCTTTAATCTATCTTGAATTAATTTTTGTATAAGGTGTAAGGAAGGGATCCAGTTTCAGCTTTCTACATATGGCTAGCCAGTTTTCCTAGCACCATTTATTAAATAGGGAATCCTTTCCCCATTGCTTGTTTTTGTCAGGTTTGTCAAAGATCAGATGGTTGTAGCTGTGTGGTATTATTTCTGAGGGCTCTGTTCTGTTCCATTGGTCTATATCTCTGTTTTGGTACCAGTACCATGCTGTTTTGGTTACTGTAGCCTTGTAGTACAGTTTGAAGTCAGGTAGAGTGATGCCTCCAGCTTTGTTCTTTTGGCTTAGGATTGACTTGATAATGTGGGCTCTTTTTCAGTTCCCTATGAAGTTTAAAGCAGTTTTTTCCAATTCTGTGAAGAAAGTCATTGGTAGCTTGATGGGGATGGCATTGAATCTATAAATTACTTTGGGCAGTAAGGCCATTTTCATGATGTTGATTCTTCCTATCCGTGAGCATGGAATGTTCTTCCATTTGTTTGTGTCCTCTTTTATGTCATTGAGCAGTGGTTTGTAGTTCTCCTTGAAGAGGTCCTTCACATCCCTTGTAAGTTGGATTCCTAGGTATTTTATTCTCTTTGAAGCAGTTGTGAATGGGAGTTCACTCGTGACTTGGCTCTCTGTTTGTCTGTTATTGATGTATAAGAATGCTTGTGATTTTTGCACATTGATTTTGTATCCTGAGACTTTGCTGAAGTTGCCTATCAGCTTAAGGAGATTTTGGGCGGAGATGATGGGGTTTTCTAGATATACAATCATGTCATCTGCAAACAGGGACAATTTGACTTCCTCTTTTCCTAATTGAATACCCTTTATTTCCTTCTCCTGCCTGATTGCGCTGGCCAGAACTTCCAACACTATGTTGAATAGGAGTGGTGAGAGAGGGCATCCCTGTCTTGTGCCAGTTTTCAAAGGGAATGCTTGCAGTTTTTGCCCATTCAGTATGCTATTGGCTGTGGGTTTGTCAAAAATAGCCCTTATCATCTTGAGATATGTCCCATCAATACCTAATTTATTGAGAGTTTTTAGCATGAAGGCTGTTGAATTTTGTCAAAGGCCTTTTCTGCATCTATTGAGATAATCATGTTATTTTTGTCTTTGGTTCTGTTCATGTGATGGATTACGTTTATTGATTTGTGTATGTTGAACCAGCCTTGCATCCCAGGGATGGAGCCCACTTGATCATGGTGGATAAGCTTTTTGATGTGCTGCTGGATTCGGTTTGCCAGTATTTTATTGAGGATTTTTGCATCGATGTTCATCAGGGATATTGGTCTAAAATTCTCTTTTTTTGTTGTGTCTCTGCCAGGTTTTGGTATTAGGATGATGCAGGCCTCATAAAATGAGTTAGGGAGGATTCCCTCTTTTTCTATTGATTGGAAGAGTTTCAGAAGGAAACCAGCTCTTCCTTGTACCTCTGGTAGAATTCGGCTGTGAATCCATCTGGCCCTGGACTTTTTTTGGTTGGTAGGCTATTAATTATTTCCTCAATTTCAGAGCCTGTTATTGGTCTATTCAGAGATTCAACTTCTTCCTGGTTTAGTCATGGGAGGGTGTATGTGTCCAGGAATTTTTCCATTTCTTCCAGATTTTCTAGTTTATTTGCATAGAGGTGTTTATAGTATTCTCTGATGGTAGTTTGTATTTCTGTGGGATCAGTGGTGATATCCCCTTTATCATTTTTTATTGTGTCTTAATGATTCTTCTCACTTTTCTTCTTTAGTAGTCTTGCTAGTGGTCTATCAATTTTGTTGATCTTTTCAAAAAACCAGCTCCTGGATTCATTGATTTTTTGAAGGGTTTTTTGTGTCTCTATCTCCTTTAGTTGTGCTCTGATCTTAGTTATTTCTTGCCTTCTGCTAGCTTTTGAATGTGTTTGCTCTTGCTTCTCTGGTTCTTTTAATTGTGATATTAAGGTGTCAATTTTTGATCTTTCCTTCTTTCTCTTGTGGGCATTTAGTTCTATAAATTTCCCTCTACACGCTGCTTTAAATGTGTCCCAGAGATTCTGCTATGTTGTGTCTTTGTTCTCGTTGGTTTCAAAGAACATCTTTATTTCTGCCTTCATTTCATTATGTACCCAGTAGTCATTCAGGAGCAGGTTGTTCAGTTTCCATGTAGTTGAGCGGTTTTGAGTGAGTTTCTTAATCCTGAGTTCTAGTTTGATTGCACTGTGGTCTGAGAGACAGTTTGTTATAATTTCTGTTCTTTTACATTTGCTGAGGAGTGCTTTACTTTGAACTATGTGGTCAATTTTGGAATAGGTGTGTTGTGGTGCTGAAAAGAATGTATATTCTGTTGATTTGGGGTGGAGAGCTCTGTAGATGTCTATTAGGTCTGCTTGGTGCAGAGCTGAGTTTAATTCCTGGATATCCTTGCTAACTTTCTGTCTCATGGATCTGTCTAATGTTGACAACGGGGTGTTGAAGTCTCCCATTATTATTGTGTGGGAGTCTAAGTCTCTTTGTAGGTCTCTAATTGTTTCCAGAATTGGTGGGTTCTTGGTCTCACTGACTTCAAGAATGAAGCCGCGGACCCTGGCAGTGAGTGTTACAGTTCTTAAAGGTAGTGTGTCCGGAGTTTGTTCCTTCTGATGTTTGGACGTGTTCGGAGTTTCTTCCTTCTGCTGAGTTTGTGGTCTCGCTGGCTTCAGGAGTGAAGCTGCAGACCTTCACGGTGAGTGTTACAGCTCTTAAGGTGGCGCGTCTGGAGATGTTTGCTCCTCCCGTCCAGAGTTCTTCATTCCTCCTGGTGGGTTCGTGGTCTTGCTAGCCTCAGGAGTGAAGTTGCAGACCTTTGCAGTGAGTGTTACAGCTCATAAAGGCAGTGTGGACCCAAAGAGTCAGCAGCAGCAAGATTTATTGCAAAGAGCAAATGAACAAAGCTTCCACAGTGTGGAAGGGGACCCAAGCGGGTTGCCGCTGGTGGCTCGGGCAGTCTGCTTTTATTCCCTTATCTGACCACACCCACATCCTGCTGATTGGCCCACTTTACAGAGAGCTGATTGGTCTGTTTTACAGAGAGCTGATTGGTCCTTTTTGACAGGGTGCTGATTGGTGCGTTTACAAACCTTGAGCTAGACACAGAGTGCTGATTGGTGCATTTACAATCCTTTAGGTAGACACAAAAGTTCTCCAAGTTCCCACTAGATTAACTAGACACAGAGCACTGATTGGTGCATTTACAATCCCTGAGCTAGACACAGAGTGCTGATTGGTGCATTTACAATCCTCTAGCTAGACATGAAAGTTCTCCAAGTCCCCACTATATTAGCTAGACACAGAGCACTGATAGTGCATTTAGAAACCTTTAGGTAGACACAGAGTGCTGATTGGTGCATTTAGAAACCTTGAGCTAGACACAGAGTGCTGATTGGTGTGTTTACAAACCTTGAGGTAGACACAGAGTGCTGATTGGTGTGTTTACAAATCTTGAGGTAGACACAGAGTGCTGATTGGTGTGTTTACAGTCCTTTAGCTAGACATAAAGGTTCTCCAAGTCCCCACCTGACTCAGGAGCCCAGCTGGCTTCACCTAGTGGATCCTGCACCAGGGCTGCTGGTGGAGCTGCCTGCCAGTCCCGCACCATGTGCCTGTACTCCTCAGCCCTTGGGCAGTCAATGGGAATGGGAGCTGTGGAGCAGGGGGCAGTGCTCATTGGGGAGCCTTGGGCTGTGCAGGAGCCCATGGTGGGAAGGAGGCTCAGGCATGGCAGGCTGCAGGTCCCAAGCCCTGCCCCACGGGCAGGCAGCTGAGGCCCGGTGAGAATTTGAGCACAGCGCAGGTGGGCCAGCACTGCTGGGGGACCCGGCGCACCCTCCGCAGCTGCTGGCCTGGGTGCGAAGCTCCTCTCTGCTCGGGGCCAGTGGCACGGGCCGGCCACTCTGACTGCGGGACCTGCTGAGCCCATGCCCACCCGGAACTCATGCTGGCCCGCAAGTGCCGCGTGCAGCCCCAGTTCCCGCCCACGCCTCTCCCTCCACACCTCCACGCAAGCAGAGGGAGCTGGCTCCAGCCTCGGCCAGCCCAGAGAGGGGCTCCCACAGTGCAGCGGCAGGCTGAAGGGCTCCTCAAGCATGGCCAGAGTGGGCGCCGAGGCCAAGGAGGCACCAAGAGTGAGCGAGGGCTGCCAGCATGCTGTCATGTCTCATAAGGACTTGCTTTATGAATCTGGGTGCTCCTGTATTGGGTGCATATATATTTAGAATAGTTAGCTCTTCTTGTTGAATTGATCCCTTTACCATTATGTAATGGCCTTCTTTGTCTCTTTTGATCTTTGTTGGTTTAAAGTCTGTTCTATCAGAGACTAGGATTGCAACCCCTGCCTTTTTTTGTTTTCCATTTGCTTGGTAGATCTTCCTCCATCCCTTTGTTTTGAGCCTATGTGTGTCTCTGCATGTGAGATGGGTATCCTGAATACAACACACTGATGGTTCTTGACTCACTATCCAATTTGCCAGTCAGTGTCTTTTTTTTTTTTTTTTTGAGATGGAGTCTCACTCTGTCACCCAGGCTGGAGTGCAGTGGCCCAATCTCAGCTCACTGCAAGCTCCACGTCCCAGGTTCATGCCATTCTCCTGCCTCAGCCTCCCAAGCAGCTGGGACTACAGGCGCCTGCCACCACGCCCGGCTAATTTTTTGTATTTTTAGTAGAGACGGGGTTTCACTGTGTTAGCCAGGATGGTCTTGATCTCCTGACCTCATGATCCGCCCATCTCAGCCTCCCAAAGTGCTGGGATTACAGGCGTGAGCCACTGCGCCTGACCCAGTCAGTGTCTTTTAATTGGAGCATTTAGCCCATTTACATTTAACGTTAATATTGTTATGTGTGAATTTGATCCTGTCATTATGATGTTAGCTGGTTATTTTGCTCGTTAGTTGATGCAGTTTCTTCCTAGCTTTGATGGTCTTTACAATTTGGCATGTTTTTGCAGTGGCTGGTACTGGTTGTTCCTTTCCATGTTTAGTGCTTCCTTCAGGAGCTCTTTTAGGGCAGGCCTGGTGGTGACAAAATCTCTCAGCATTTGCTTGTCTGTAAAGTATTTTATTTCTCCTTCACTTATGAAGCTTAGTTTGGCTGGATATGAAATTCTGGGTTGAAAATTCATTTCTTTAAAAATGTTGAATATTGGCCCCCACTCTCTTCTGGCTTGTAGAGTTTCTGCCAAATCAGCTGGTAGTCTGATGGGCTTCCCTTTGTTGGCAACCCGACCTTCCTCTCTGGCTGCCCTTAACATTTTTTCCTTCATTTCAACTTTGGTGAATCTGACAATTATGTGTCTTGGAGTTGCTCTTCTCGAGGAGTATCTTTGTGGCATTCTCTGTATTTCCTGAATTTGAATGTTGGCCTGCCTTGCTAGATTGGGGAAGTTCTCCTGGATAATATCCTGCAGAGTGTTTTCCAACTTGGTTCCATTCTCCCTGTCACTTTCAGGCACACCAATCAGACGTAGATTTGATCTTTTCACATAGTCCCATATTTCCCATATTTCTTGGAGGCTTTGTTCATTTCTTTTTTACTGTTTTTTCTCTAAACTTCTCTTCTCGCTTCATTTCATTCATTTGCTCTTCAACCACTGATACCCTTTCTTCCAGTTGATTGAATTGGCTACTGAAGCTTGTGCATTCATCACGTAGTTCTCATGCCATGGTTTTCAGCTCCATCAGGTCATTTAAAGACTTCTCTACACTGGTTATTCTAGTTAGCCATTCATCTAATCTTTTTTCAAGGTTTTTAGCTACTTTGTGATGGGTTCATACTTCCTCCTTTGACTTGGAGGAGTTTGATTGTCTGAGGCATTCTTCTCTCAACTCGTCAAAGTCATTCTCCATCCAGCTTTGTTGCATTGCTGGTGAGGAGCTGTGTTCCTTTGGAGGGGGAAAGGCACTCTGATTTTTAGAATTTTTAGCTTTTCTGCTCTGTTTTTTCCCCATATTTGTGGTTTTATCTACCTTTAGTTTTTGATGATGGTCACGTACAGATGGGGTTTTGGTGTGGATGTCCTTTTTGTTTGTTAGTTTTCCTTCTAACAGTCAGGAACCTCAGCTGCAGGTCTGTAGGAATTTGCTGGAGGTCCACTCCAGGCCCTGTTTGCCTGGGTATCAGCAATGGAGGCTGCAGAACAGCGAATATTGCTGAACAGAAAATGTTGCTGCTTGATCGTTCCTCTGGAAGTTTCATCTCAGAGGGGTACCTGGCCGTGTGAGGTGTCAGTCTGCCCCTACTTGGGGGTGCCTCCCAGTTAGGCTACTTGGGGTTCAGGAATCCACTTGAGGAGGCAGTCTGTCCATTCTCAGATCTCAAACTCTGTGCTGGGAGAACCACACTCTCTTCAAAGCTGTCAGACAGGGACATTTAAGTCTGCAGAGGTTTCTGCTGCCTTGTGTTTGGCTATGCCCTGCCTCCAGAGGTGGAGTCTACATACAGAGGCAGGCAGGCCTCCTTGAGCTGCGGTGGGCTCCGTCAATTTGGAGCTTCCCAGCTGCTTTGTTTACCTACTCATGCCTCAGCAATGGCGGGTGCCCCTCTGCCAGCCTCGCTGCCACCTTGCATTTCGATCTCAGACTGCTGTACTAGCAATGAGCGAGGCTCTGTGGGCGTGGGAACCTCCAAGCCAGACGTGAGATATAATCTCCTGGTGTGTCGTTTGCTAAGACCACTGGAATGTGCAGTATTAGGGTGGGAGTGACCCAATTTTCCAGGTGCCGTCTGTTGCAGCTTTGCTTGGCTAGGAAAGGGAATTCCCTGACCCCCTGTGCTTCTGGGGTGAGGCAATGCCTCACCCTGCTTCTGCTCATGCTCGGTGTGCTTCACCCACTGTCCTGTACCCACTGTCCAACAAGCCCCAGTGAGATGAACCCGGTATCTCAGTTGGAAATGCAGAAATCACCCATCTTCTGCGTTGCTCATGCTGGGAGCTGTAGATTGGAGCTGTTCCTATTCAGCCATCTTGGAACTGCTGCCCCCATGTGGGTTTCTTAAAGCACAAACACAGTGACTGGGCTACAAGAGGAAATGTTCCAAGAGGAGACAGGAGATGAGCAGAGGTGCCAAGGAGAGGTGCAGATCTCTCAGTCTTGAAAGATACGTAGCTCCCTTCTGCCACATTGTAGCAATTAGAGTGATGCACAGGGCCAGTCCAGATCCAGTGTGGTTGTACCAAGATGTACAAGGAGGTTTGGTCACTGGGACTGTCTCTGGAGATTAGCTACCACAGCATCTAATCAGAAATGAGAAAGGGGTGGAGAGAGGCTGGTCATCACATACAAAGTTCCACTTAGGAGAATTGAGTTCTGGCATTCTATTGCACAGTAGAGTGTCTATAGTCAACAATAAAATATAGTATATGTCAAAAGAACTAGAAGGTAGCATTTTGAATATTCTCATCACAAAGAAATGATAAACATTTGAGGTATGTATATATGTATCAAAACATCACACTATACCCATAAATACATACAATTAATATGTATTGATTAAAGAGAAAAAAAACTTGAAAGCAAAAAAGGAATTTCATCAAAGTGTTCTAGAGAAAGCTCGGTCTTATTCTTTCTCTGTGACTATCTTCTTTGGTTGTTATGGTGACTTCAACTGGAATCAAGGATATATATTCAGGGCTATCTCTCTCTCTCTCTTCTTTTTTCTTGAGACAGAGTTTCACTCTTGTCACCCAGGCTGGAGTGCAATGGTGCAATCTTGGCTCACTGCAACCTCTGCTTCCTGGGTTCAAGCAATTCTCCTGCCTCGGCCTCCCAAGTAGCTGGGATCACAGGCACCTGCCACCATGCCCGGCTAATTTTTGTATTGTTTTTAGTAGAGACGGGGTTTCACCATGTTGGCCTTGAACTCCTGACCTCAGGTGATCTGCCTGCTTTGGCCTCCCAAAGTGCTGGGATTACAGGCACCTGCCACCATGCCCAGCTCTCTCTCTTATTTTAAATTGACTTTTATTTTAGATTTAAGGAGTACATATACAACTTTGTTACTTAGGTACACTGTGTGATGCTGAGGTTTGGAGTATGGTTTATTCTGTCACCCAGGTAGTAAGCATGATACCCAATAGAGAGGTTTCTCAACTTTTGCTCCCCTCTCTCCCTTCCCTCTCTAGTAGTCCCCAGTGCCTATTGTTGCCATCTTTATGTCCGTGTGTACCCAAAGTTTAGCTCCCACTTATAATCGAGAACATGTGGTATTTGGTTTTCTGTTCCTGAGTTAATTCGCTTAGAATAATGTCCTCCAGCTGCATCCATGTTGCCATAAAGGACATGATTTTTAAAAAAAAAATTTTTATGGTTATGTAGTATTTCATGGTATATATGTACTGCATTAAAAAAAATCCAATCCACACTGATGGTCATCTAGGTTAATTCCATGTCTTTGCTGTGTCTTTTCTATGATTATGAATAGTGCTTCCATGAACCTATGAGTGCATGTGTCTTTTTGATAGACCGGCTTACTTTCTTTTGGATGTGTACCTAGTAATGAGATTGCTCGGTTGAATGGTAGTTCTAAGTTCTTAGAGAAATCTCTAAACTGCTTTCCACAGTGACTGAATTAATTTACATTCCCACTGACATAAGCATTCTCAGGGCTATTAAACAGGAATAGATTTGAGGTAAAAGTTGTTACAAGATAAAGCAATGTTACCTCTCTTTTGAATTTTCTTATGTATTAAGTAGAGCTGACAGGTGACAATCTGCACTCTTTTTGTCTAGGAAAGTTTTTCCAGGTATTTCTCATTTCTCCTTGCTGCTATAGTGGTTGAATGCAGGCTCTGAAATCAAGTTTCTTGGCTTTGAATTTCAGCTCCTTCAATAACAAGTTATGTGAATCTTGGCAAGAAATTGGTAGTCACAAGCCCCAGTTTCCTCATCTTTATAATGGGGATATTCATTCTACTGTATAGACTGTGAGAATTGAGATAATGCATATAAAGTGCTTATCATAGTGCCTGACATGCAGTAAGGTTCCGGGAATTGTAGCTACTTTTATGCAATAAATAATGAGTGCATGGGAGAACCTAATACCAAGGAGTTGAGCATAAAGGCATATTATGGGGAGAGGTCACAACCAGATAGGAGGAGATCCCCTAAGCCAAACATCTTTGAAGTAAGAGCAAATATTGCTGTACCAAATAGATCTCCTATTCTTTGCTTTCTTTCTTTTTCTTTCTTTTTTTTTTTTTTTGAGATGAAGTCTTGCTCTCTCACCCAGGCTAGAGTACAGTGGTGCGATCTCGGCTCCCTGCAACCTCTGCCTCCCAGGTTCAAGCAATTCTCCCACCACAGCCTCCTGAGCAGAGATTAAAGGCACCCACCATCATGCCTGGCTAATTGTTTGTATTTTTTTTTTTTTTAGTAGAGATGGGGTTTCACCATGTTGGCCAGGCTGGTCTTGAATGCCTGACCTCAGGTGATCCGCCTGCCTCGGCTTCAGGCGTGAGCCACCATGCCCGGCCTGAATTCTTTTAAACGATGTCATGGCTCCTGCAAAGAAAAGATTGGGTATTAACTACCAGATGCTTATCAGAAATGAAGGTGATAATTTCCATGAATTGTGCCATCTGGAAAAGCAAAACTTGCATATTTCATTTTTTTTTTTTCCTATTTCCCCTATTCATTTGCCATTTACTGTACTGTGTCCCAGTGGTTGGAACAGAGAAGCTCATCAAGGATTTGCCTGTCATGGGGATTTCTCCTTTCTTCTGGCCTTATTGATTGCATGTGCAGGGACCTCTGGCCTCTTGTCTCACCCATTATTTTTTATGAGTTACATCAGTAGCATGCACTGGTCTCTGATTCTTAAGTGAAGAAAAAGACCCCAAATCCCGGAATATGTTGTCTTATTTATCTTTTGTACTACTCTACATAAAATGAGAAAACCCTTGCTGCAAGTGGCATATCTTCCTGCACATGGCTTTCCCAAGGTCTAGTGTGGGGGTGAGGGGCAGGAAAGGGTCATAAATTATTTGAGTTACAGATTGAAAGACTGATATGGTTTGGCTCCGTGTCCCCACCTAAATCTCATCTCAAATTGTAATCCTCATGTGTCAGGGGAGGGGCCTGGTGGGAGGTGATTGAATCATGGAGTGGACTTCCCTCTTGCAGTCCTCGTGATAGTGAGTTCGTTCTTCCGATATCTGGTTGTTTGAAAGCATGTGACACTTCTTTCTTCACTTTCTGTCTGTCTCCTGCTCTGCCATTGTGAAGATGTGCATGCTTCCCCTTCACCTTCCGCCATGATCGTAAGTTTCCTGAGGCCTCCCAGTTACACTTTCTGTTAAGTTTGTGGAACTTTGAGTCAGTAAAACTTCTTTTCTTTATAAATTACCCAGTCTCCGGTAGCTCTTGGTAGCAGTGTGAAAATGGGTTAATACAAAGGCCAATCTTTCAATGGGCCTGCCGGTGCTGATACCATAATTGTCAATGCATCACCTTTATTTATCCATTGGTCCTAAATCAGGAGAAAGAAGAAAAGGGTATTATGTATATTATGTATTAACTCTCTACAATTCCAGCAATGACATTTTCCAGCCTCCACTTGCTGGAGTTATCTGAATGATTGAGACCAATGTGATTCAAGTGAAGCCATATACATTTTTCTTAAAAGAAATGAATATTTCTTTAGTGTCTATATATGAGCGGTAAAAACCTTTTTTTTTTTTTGAATAGCAAACATTTACAGAGTTCTGAAAAAGCATTGCTTCTTGCATATTCACAGTATTTCAGTCAGTGAGACAGGAGTGCTTCTCTTTACCTATTCAACAAATATTTATTTAGCACCTTTTACATGCCAAATACTGTCTTAGATGTTGATGCTATCTCTGGGAAGCAAAAACAGATGAGGCTCCGACTCTTCTTTTTGATCTTATATTCTTCTAGGGGAGACAGGCATGAATCTAAAAATAAATAACACAAACTATTGTATGCATAAGAATATGCAGAGACCAGTGTGATGAAGCAACAGTACATGATTCTTTGAGATTGTTTAATAAATGCCCTGACCTAGACCATGTGTGGGATTGGGAGCCTGGAAAGTTATCTCTGAAAAAATGATGCTTGAGCTGAGGATAATCACAAATAAATAAACAAGTGAGTTGAAGTTAACTGTATGTGTATCTATGGAGAAACAATTAACTGGCTCTCTAACTTTTTATTTTACCATCTGCAGTATTATCTTAAGCCTTTCTGAATAATATCCAGATATGTCAATGAATTCTACCGTACTTTCCAATTACCTTGGCCAGATTTCCCAAACCTAAAATGAGAACACATGACCTGACAGAATATTATTTCCTGAGTTGTCAATTTATTTTTGTTTACTCACTCACTCTTCTCATTAACTCATCCACTCATCCACTCATCCACTTTTCCACCCATCTACCCATCAACCATTTATCCATCCAACCATCCATCCATCCATCCATCCATCCATCCAAATACACATTTATCAATTGCCTGCATGTGCCCAGCATCATGCTAGGGAATGAGGTATAGAAAGGTCTAAGAATGAATTATTGGTTAATTGACATTAACTATATGTTTGGGCTCCTACACTACTGTGCTTCTCTCTGCCCTTTCAAGAATTGTGTTTATTAATTTCTGTGTCTGTCTCCTTCATGAGACTCGGCTCCTCAGTCAGGTACCACTTCTCATTTATTTCTGGGTTCCCAGTACCTAATACGGTGACTGATGCACAGTTAGTATTTAAGAAATACTTGTTAAATAAATAAATGTACTGTATTACTATTATTGAATAACATAACATTAAATATCAGATTGATGATCAGTGTTGTGTGAGCTAACATTTGAGTAACTTGTTTGATGCTACAGTGTAAACTAATAATGTCACATCTTAAAAGAAGTAGATGGCTTCTGGTGAGACAGTGACACGCATGGCCAGGAGCCATCCATACTGGTTCGTCTGCTATTCTCTTATCTGATCTCTCAGCCAAACACTTTGTTTCTCAGTGCCTCAAGTCTTGGAATCTTTCAGGTACCAAAAGCAGTAACCACATTACCCTGCTCCTTGGGAAGGTTAATGACATGAGATAGGTTGAGAGATTCTATTCCTTGTACACAAGGATAAACCAAGGTTTTTAATAATTATAGCAACCTATGACTTGGCCTATCTTAATCACACCACACTACATTGTGTCTCGGGATTTTAGAAGAGTTTTGATGAAATAGTGAAAAGCAAAAGGTATTTGAACTTTCTTCTTAGCTTCAGAAATAATTTCTATAAATTTCACAGTTGAGTTCTCTTAAAGTGAAGGCTGTTTGAGAAGAGTGAATTAGGTACCTCACACAGATCTCTCAACTCTCAAAATAGACCTGTGAGATTCAGATGTAAAAAGGGACCATAATTTCTTCTCTCACAGGTGCAGTGCAAATCAAATGATTTCCATTTGTTTTTCTTGTCGTTTTAGCAACCACTATAGCCTTTATTACATCTTTGTGTTTCCTCCTCTTTGCCCTCTGAATTCCTCCTAAGATTTTCCACACTTCTCAGCTGAGAAGTAAACTTATAAATTACCTGACAGTGAAGTCAGTGGATAAGTAAATCACTATCCAGTCTGATCACAAAATCAAAATGTTTGTGATATGTCAAACCTTTAACAAGTCAATTGCTGCTTTTGAAAAATGTGTCTGTTCTCCTACATGCTGAGATCAACCGAGTCATTCCACGAATTTTGCTCTGTGTAAGACTGAAGTCGTAATGTCTTCAGACTACAAGTTACCTCAAACACCTAACAAAATGACTAAGCAGTATTCATGTCTTTTTTAATTTTTAAGAATCTTATTTCATAGTTTAATTTCCTAAAATACAGAGTTGGGCTCTGTATCTTTGGTAACTCAAGTAGATAATGTATAATCTGTCCCGAAGTTTCAGGGAGGAAAAGTTTCATCTATAGGCCCTGAGCCACTTATGCCCATATATGCCGTCCCATTAATGTCACCAGACATTTTCCAACTGGTCTTAAGAATGATGCTATGTATGTTATGTATATACATACTGTATGTATATGTGTGTGTGTGTGTGTGTATATATATGTATATATATAACTTCCTCCAATCTAAGCATTGTTCATCAGACCCCAATGTGTTAATGGCTATTGTTCCTATTTGACTTCAATTTATCTCACCCACAGATGACAAACTGGGAAGATTTATAGCACATCTGTCAAATGCAAGCTCTTTCAAAGTCAAAATAAAGGTAGAATTCAAAAGATTTTGAAGTGTTTGGACATTAAGGTTGAGCAAGCATTTCCAAATCTTCTGAGTCACTGCAAACTCCGGGAACACTGAGCCTTGAGGAACTCAAACAGGGCTCTCAATTTCCAGGTGAAAATTTCATACTTAGAAAAGTGTCTTGGCTTTTTATATATAGAAACCCATTTCTGAGAATGATCAATAACTGGAGCCTCAGAAAAACACAGTTTCTTGAAGGCAAAAATTGTCAAAGAAAACATTCCTGAGCCTTTCCAAATAGTATAACTGGTAATCTGAGATGTAGGATGAATACTCTTTGCCAAATGTGAAAATAAAGCAAGAAATGTGCTCTGTTTCTTTCCTTCATCCTTTCTCATACACACACTTGAACATACACAGTATACACACATGTAGAGCCCACATAATGCTTTTCAAACTTAGGTATAAATTTTTGTGGATGAAAGTTTCTGAACAAAATATTGTGGGCATGGAAAGAACTGCAAGATCTTTTATTCTTGAACTTGTTACCACCTCTCATTTTGCTTCCTATCTCAAACAACTATTCTCTAGGTTACTAATAAATCCAAAACACAAATTCCATATTTTTGAGTTGTCCAGCCAACTAATAATCATTTATTTTTCTTGCTCATATGTGTCATTAGACAAAGTTGCATAATCCTCTCAAAAATCAGGTCTATCTTGACATTTTTTTTTTATTTTTTTTTCGAGACAGAGTCTTGCTCTGTTGCCCAGGCTGGAGTGTAGTGGTGCGATCTCGGCTTACTGCAACCTCCGCCTCCCGGATTCAAGCGATTCTTCTGCCTTAGCCTCCCGAGTAGCTGGGACTATAGGTACATGCCACCACGCCTGGTTCATTTTTTTGTATTGTTAGTAGAGACAGTGTTTCACTGCATTAGCTAGGATGGTCTCTATCTCCTGACCTTGTGATCTGCCCACCTCACCCTCCCAAAGTGCTAGGATTACAGGCATGAGCTACCGTGCCCATCTTGACGGTGAAAGTTGGGAGCGTTCCGTGGTTGTAGCCTGGGAGACAAGTAGTCTTGTAACACCCTCCATTTATAGCCTCTATTATCATTTTTCTCCTACAATTAATCAGATCATCTTGGATCTCATTAGCCAGCCCTCTCAATGGCTTGGCCTGCTTCAAATGGACCGCTAGCTGCAGATCATGCGTGCTCAAATATCTCATCAACTCCACATAATTCCCCTAATTGAGAAACTTGTACTTTCATTGCATCCTCAAAAAGCAATTTCCTAATGACTTATTAAAATAATGCCATTTGCCAGCCTTTTAAAAAGTACCACTTTTGTATGGTGTCATGCTATAATTAGTAATACGGTATCAGTGATTAAGCTGAATACCAATTTGAGGCACTTGCACAACCTTAACAGAGTTCTGTCACTAATGGAGTATGGCACTTTGATTGTTCCTTGATACCTGAATGCTGCAGCAATATCTAGATCTTGGGATTACCTTGAAATGTTGATTTCAGACTCTTGAAACCATGGCAACATTTGATTCAAATGAATCCCAGAGCTTTAAAGACCAAGATTTTGTTGCTGAATTTCTTTTATTATTTTTTTTAATCCCCGGTTCACAAAACTCATGGGAAAATAGTTATAGCCAGACTTTGTATAAATGTGGGTATCCAACCACGTTTCTATAGGAAAGGGCAAAGCACAGGGATGATTCTCTTCCCACAAGGGAAGGGAAAACCTACATGTGGACCCTTTAGGTGGCGGTCTAAAGCAGCAGTCCCCAACCTTTTTGGGACCAGGAACTGGTTTTGTGAAGACAATTTTTTCCATGGACAGGGCAGGGGTCAAGGGGGATGGTTTCAGGATGATTCAAGCGCATTACATTTATTGTGCACTTTTTTCTATTATTATTACATACACACCATGATGTAGAATCAGTGGGAGCCCTGAGCTTGTTTTCTGACAAATAGACGGTCCCATCTGAGGGTGATGGGAGACAGTAACAGATATCAGGAATTAGATTCTCAAAAGGAGCACGCAACCTAGATCCCTGGCATGTGCAGTTCACCGTAGGGTTTGTGACCCTAAGAGAATCTAATGCCACCACTGATCTGACAGGAGGCAGAGATCAGCTTCGCTCACTCACCCACCACCTATCTTCTGCTGTGTAGTCAGGTTCCTAACAGGGCTGTACCAGTCTATGGCCTTCGGGTTGGGAACTTCTGTTGTAAAGGTTACATGATAATTAAATGGTAATAGAAGGTAGCAAGAAAATAGAAGGGTATTTGCATCCACCCCATTGCCCAAACTTTGGAAATTACACTTCCCAAATCCACTTGGATACCTCCAAATTCTACTGACAAAATAATTTTTGTATTTCTTCCATCCTATTGCTTCTCATTACCACTTCCCTAATCTAGACAAGAGTTCATCAACCCAGCTCCTGCCTGTCATCTGGCACCTTTTCAATCCATCGTCATGGCTGAGTGATGCCTGAGTGCTCTTGTTGCTTGAGAACCTGTGATGGTTCTCCAGAATCAGAATAAAATCAAATTTTTGACATGAATATATGGCTCTCTATTCAACAAACTGGCTTGGTCTACCCTTCTAAGCTTATCACTCTTTGCTTTTCCTCACACACACAAATTCTAGACATACCAGATTACTGATGTTCCCTGAGCAAGGTCTGTCAACTCCTTTGTTTCTGACTTCGTTTTTCCTGTCCTCCCAGTTCTCCTAGAGAATGCCCTTTCCTTACTGGGTCTGTCTGATATCCCATCAATACATTTTTCAAGTCTCAGTTCAAATGTCCTCTCCTTCCTAAATTTCTCTGACATCTCTGCCCCTTCCTCTATCACCCAGCAAAATGCCAGCCATGTTAAATTTCACTTAAATTGATTGTACATTTCTTCTTTCTGCTGTATTATGAATTTGTTGAAGGCCAGAAACTTGCCATATTTACTTCTTTATTTTCAGCATTTAGCACAGTGCTTGCCACATGAGAGTCGCCCAGTAAATATTTATTGAGATGAATTGAATTGTTGCTAAAACTGATTCTATGTCCATTCCTTATTGAAATAGCTCAAGACAAAATGGTGAAAAAGTACAAACGTTTTTTTTTTGTCTTTTCCATTTTTCTCAGACCTGACCCTTTTTCACCATTTTAAACCTACTTATCAGTCTAGTTTTAACATTGCTTTTGAAGCTTGACCAGCATACAGACAGTCCCACTCTATTTGACTCCTTCAAGACAACATCCAAAGTTTTCTCCCAGTCCAAACAAATGCCACAGAAGAGGAGACCAAGGCAGAGGTTAGGGAAGCACCTAAAGACAAGTCTGGGTTGGTATTGGGTTGCTAGGATTGGACTGAATGCCTGCCCCTCAAGGGCCCCTGCCTTATCATCCTCCTTACCACCTCTCCTCTCCCTAATATCCTTGACAAACACAAAATTTCATTTCTTTACAGACTGTTACACTCAACAACTCTCTCAGACTCTGCGGATATTCTTTTCTCTTCTCCATTTTGGAGAAGTCTTTCCCCATCGCTGCCTGGATTTCTGATGCCTCCTGGCAAATAGGTAAGTTACTATGATCACTTGAGAACAGTAGGTGGTCATGGTCCAATACCAGTTATCTGACCTCCAATAGCATCTGAAAATAGGAGAGATTAAACTCCAGGACTACATTTTTTCCCCTTGAGAAGCTGCCTATATATACTTATTAAAGAACCTCAATCATTTCACCCTGAAATCCCCAGTGCTATATTGACCCATCTGAAGGGTCAGAAAGTTGTCCAGCAGCAGCAGAAACTATTTAAAACTCTTCCCTGTTTGTGATTTTTTATGGCTGATTGACAAAAGGAGGGCAGAGAACAGCAGGCGAAGTGAATTCTGTTTGTGATTGGGGTGGGGGCAGGGGTAGTAGAGACACTTCACTTAGTTTCTTCTTATTCTCTTTCTTGTCTCTATGCTTCTTTAACTCTTAAAACCATCTTTTCCTATTCCTAGTTTTATCTTTCCTGCTCATGGGTTCCATCACATTTATTTAAATATTTCTGCGTTATTTCTTGAATTCATTCATTCAATCAATCATTTTAAACAGATTTAATTGAATACCTAGGATATTTGTTAGGGTAAGTAATGCTAACAACATTCTCAGGAGTTTTGCACAACAAAGGTTTATTTCTGGCTCACTTAAAGCCTAAAGTTCAGTGTGCATGTTCCTGCTAAGGCAGTTCACCTCCCATGGGTGAGGCAGAGATTTGATCTCTTTCATCTTGTGGCATAGCCATATTCAAGGCTGTGGGAGTTTCCATCCAGCCATATGGATAGAGAAAGAGCCTATAAAAGTTTGAGATGTTTGATAGCCAGGTCTGTTAGTGCAATATATTGTTCATTCATGTTCCATCAGACAGAACCCTGCCATGTGATTCCATGTTCCAGGCTGGGAGTGAGTGGATGCAGGAGGACAAAAACATGTATTAAATTTGAATATTGGCTGCGCGTGATGGCTCATGCCTGTAATACCAGCATTTTGGGAGGCCGAAGTGGGCAGTTCACCTGAGGTCAGGAGTTCAAGACCAGCCTGGCCAACATGGTGAAACCCCGTCTCTATAAAAATACAAAAATTAGCTGGGCATGATGGTGGGCACCTGTAATCCCAGCTACTTAGGAGCCTGAGGCAGGAGAATCGCTTGAACCTGGGAGACAGAGGTTGCAGTGGGCCAAGATCGTGCCATTGCACTCCAGCCTGGATGACAGAGTGAGACTCCATCTCAAAAAAAAAAAAAAATTAAATAAATAAATAAATAAAGTTGAATATAGAACAAGGAGGACTGATAAACACAATGCCAGGCATTTTGCTAAGTATTGGGAATTAAACAAAAATAAATAAGAAATAATGCTTAGCGTCAGGAGCTCAGAGTCCAGGGGACCAGACACACTGTGGAGACTAAAGCAACTCTATCTTGGATGCTAATCCACCATGCTGACTTTTCGTTAACCCCAGTTCTGGGAATGGATCTGAGATTTCTACTTTCACGTACTTACCATAAATCCTGCCCTTAGGTCAAACAATCTTGATGTTATCGTAAACACATACTTACCATAAATCCTGCTCTTAGGGAAATTTCCTATGGTATATAAGCCCTGGGTCTGGAAGGTAGCAATGCGGGAATCCACCATCTCATTTCAAGGCCACCTGAGACATGGCTTCTGTTCATAAATCCCTATTAAATGTTTCTTTCTGAGAAATTGGATTTGCCAGCCTCTTTCTTCCACTTCTCAGCTTCCTTAGCCTTTGGGGGTAGGTGTGTATAGACCTACTCGCTGTAATACACACATAAACAGAAAATAATTAAATATACTACAGTATAAACAATTATTAGAGCTACTCACTGTGGAATACACACATAAACAGAAAGTTAAATATACTACAGTATTAACAATTAACAGTATTAACGAGACAATTAATTTATGCTCTTAAATTAAAATAGCTTCATGACGTAGGTACTTTTATTCTTATTTTTATTTTATTTTTTTTAGACGGAGTCTCTTTCTGTCACTCAGCCTGGAGTGCAGTGGCACGACCTCAGCTCACTGCAACCTCTGCCTCCTGGGTTCAAGTGATTCTCCTGCCTCAGCCTCCTGAGTAGCTGAGATTACAGGTGCATGCCACCATGCCCGGCTAATTTTTGTATTTTTAGTAGAGATGGAGTTTCACCATGCTGGCCAGGCTGGTCTCAAACTCCTGATCTCGTGATCCTCCCTCCTTGGCCTCCCAAAGTGCTGGGATTACAGGCGTGAGCCACCATGCCTGGCCATTATCTTCACCTCATACACGGGAAACTGAAGCACGAAAGTTTAAGGAACTTGCTCTGGGTCACACTGCAAACAAGTGACCAAGCCAGGATTGAAACCTCGGTAGTCTATCTCTAAAGTTTCAATGCTGAACCATTACATTATACTGTAATGATGAAGAGATGTACACAGTGTCAGGGGACTGCAGGGGAGACCTGGCTGGGGGTGGGAAGAATGAAGAGTATTCTGCAGTTGATGATCCCTGAACTGAGCTATAATGGCCAAGCTGGAGTTATCCAGTTTTGGGGCAGGAAGAATTCTAGCAGAGGAAACCGGATGGGAAAAGGTAGAACAGTGACAAACATGTTAGTATTTCCCAGGATCTACAAGTAGTTTGATATTATGGGTCAAGGTCCAGGCTGAGAGTAGAGAGAGGCTGGCTGTAGAGGTAGATGGGGCCAGGTCATGGAAAGCATTTTATGGAACAGTGAGGGGCCCAGACTTTATCCTAAGCCATGAGAGCCTTTGAAAGGTTCTAATTTGGATAATTTTCATTTAATCTATATTCCACTGGTGGCTATGTGAAAGATGTCTTGGAGCGGTCCAAGAACACTGGCTGAAGGATCAGTTAAGAAACTTTTAAAGTAGTCCAGGAAGGCTAAAATTTAAAATATCTTTTTTCTTTTCTTATGGAACAAATAAAATGATAGCAAATTCTTGAATGTTATTTACTATGTGCAAAGTAGAGCCATCGATTTATCCTCACAACAATCATGTGAAAAAGATATTGTTATAATCCCCGTTCTATAGATGAGGGAACAGAGGCACAGATTGTTTGTGTAAATGGGTAGTAATTGACAGCACTAAGACTCAACCCTCTGCAGTCTAGTTCCAGAACCTATACAATGAACCCCTAGTGTGGATGGTCTCCCTATAGGAGGTACTGAAACACTTTATAGAAGATACAAAAAGCTGGGTGAGATATGCGTGTGAGGAAGAGGACTTGAGCAGCAGGGTCAGCAAGAGGTGAGCCAGTTGCTGGGTACAGAGACGGCCTCCTGAGGAGGCAGAAAGAGGGGGGTCTTGGAGGCAAGATCAGGAGGTTAGGTGTGCCTCATTTTACAGATAAAAAAATCGAGACACAGAAAAATTTCAGGAACTCACCTAAGATCCAAATAGCTAGAACGTGAGTCGCAAAGAGCGAATGTGAAGCAGGTAGTTATTTCTGGGTTCATATTCTTAATGCTTTCTCAATGCTTTAAATTACTACGCATTATTGACCCTATTTGTTCCAGACCCAGTCAGTTATTTAGAGTGAAAAGTATTTTTCTGCAGTAGGAGGAAATCTTGGATCAATACAAAATTTAGAATTGCTCCAACCCACTTTCACAATGATCAGTAAACACCTTTTATCAATCACAAAATAGAGAGCCAGTCATGATTTGGCTCATGCTTGTAATCCCAGCATTTTGGAAGGCTGAAGCAGGTGGATCACTTGAGGTCAGGAGTTCAAGACCAGCCTGGCCAAAATGGTGACACCCCATCTTTACTAAAAATACAAAAATTAGCCCAGTGAAGTGGTGCATGCCTGTAGTCCCAGCTACTTGGGAGGCTGAGGCAGGAGAATCGCTTGAACCCAGGAGGTGGAGGTTACAGTGAGCCGAGATTGGACCACTGCACTCTAGCCTAGGTGACAGAGCGAGACTCTGTTAAAAAAAAAGAAAAAAATCACAAAATAGAGGTAGTTGTAAAATATATATCACTTTGGTAAGGGTGAGAGCCCTTACCTAGCAAACTTTGTTCATGGTTTGCTAATGAGTTGATGCTCACAGATATTATGAGGTCATTTTAAATCTATGTACGTCAAATCTGGTGGTGTTGGGAAGTGTCTTCATTTACTTAAAGTTCTCTTGGGGCCTTCCTGCCTTCATTTTCTATTATCCTGAAGTATGCAGCCCCCACCCCAGGGCTACCACAACAGGGCTGACTACATAATTTGTGGGGCCCAGAACAATATGCAAATGCAGAGTCCCTTATTCAAAAATTAGTAAAGATTTCAAGATGGCAACGACAGAGCATTTGACCAAGTGACTGATCTTGAGGCCCTGCGTGACTGCATTAGGTCACATAACCATGATGGTGGCCCAGGTGCTGGTCCTGTCCAATACTTAGCTCAGTGGTTTTCTGAAGGCATTGTTTGTAGTTTGTAGTTCTGCTGATCACTAAGTTTACAGTATTCGTGTCTTTAAATTGCTAAATCTGCTCATTGGTGGATTCCTTATGTTTAAGGCTTTTTAGTTTCCCTCATTGTCCAGGAGCTTACAAGTAAATGACCCGGAAAGAATCCTATTCCTTTCCCTGCAAGGCACTCTGCCCATCTCAATCAGGTCCTGTCTCTCTGCCTCATGGCATCTGGGTGCACAGGTAAGGCTACTGGCCAAAGGGAAACAGTGGCCTTTTTGGTTTTAAAACAGTGACAAAAGGGTAAGAAAACAAGAAGATATTTTTGATACATGTAACTATCACAAGATTAGTTTCAAGAACATATTTAAAAAACCCCCTATAAATCAATAAGAACAAGACAACATAAAAATGGGCGAAAGACTTGATCAAGCATTTCACTTAAATTATGAATAGCCAATAATATTGTGAAACTATACTCTGTCCATGAGTAATTAGGGAAATGCAAATTAGAACTACAAAGATACCCTTTGGTGTTTGTCAGTTGACAAGGCAAAGCTTGTTAATACCAATTTTTGGTGAAAATTTGGATCACTGGGAACTTGAAAATCGGTCCAACAACTTTGGGAAAAGATTTGGTTTGGTCCAGTAAAGATGAACACGTGTATATCCTATACACCAGTGTACATCCCTTAGCTGAGCACCTGTGTTCAAAGAGTGGTCCCCCAACTAGTAGCCGTGGGAGGTGGTTACCTGGATGTTTGCTGCAAATGCAGTGTCTCAGGTTCCAGCCCAGACCATTGAATCACGATCTGCAGGTGACTTATGTGCACACTACAGCTTGAGAGGATCTTTTCTAGGACACTATTTC
The DNA here is from genome assembly GCF_000001405.40 of Homo sapiens. Taxonomy (NCBI): domain Eukaryota; kingdom Metazoa; phylum Chordata; class Mammalia; order Primates; family Hominidae; genus Homo; species Homo sapiens. The sequence goes on from NC_000004.12 coordinate 57,318,638, forward strand.
TTTTACATTCTTGACACAGACTTATGTTAAGAAAGTCTTAAAGTAAGAAATACATTCTACGACACAACATAGCCTCCCACCCCACAAAGTGAAACAAATGTTTCATGAAACAGTATTTACCAGGTGACTCAACGTTACACTCTGATCTTTTAAATTATAGTCTACACTGGTGGTTGAGACTTGCTAAACTGACTCCACTAATGGGTGGAGTCTTGTCTGGAAAACACTATCTTAGAGAAACTCTTACACATATTCTCTGGGAAACAGAAAGGAATGTTTGCAGCAGCAATGTACATACTACTGAATACTCACGCCCTGGAGTACTACTACACAGCAATGAAAATGCATGAATCACTGCTATTTCCATCAACAAGGATGAATCTCATAGACATAATGTTGAGTGAAAAGAAGCCCAAGTTGCAGAGTGCATATGGTATAATCCCTTTATGTAAAGTTTGAAAACATGAAAAGTTACATATTTCTTAGAGATACAGCTATGTGAAGCTAGAAAGACAAGCAAGAAATTAATGCATGATTTACAGCAGTGGTTGAGAGGTTAGGATTAAGGTAGTGTCTGCAGGAGGTGTGAAGGTGATGTTCTAGTTCTTTAAGCTGGGTAATAGTTACGTGGCTGATCATTTCATTGTTATTTTCCATACCTTGTGTATCATGAATATTCCTTTGTACATATTTAATATCAACAACAGCAAAAACAAAGATAAAGAAAAGGCTGAACATCAAAGCATTTGTAAATACAGCTTCCAAAAAACACATCTTTAGAAAGAAGTTTTTTATTTTTTAAAAAACAGAAGTAAAAAGTAAATTTATTAGAAAAAGATCCACTATCCTCTCTTCTATATGACTTGACTGATAGGATGAAAGCACCAAAGTTGATTTAGAAACCACTCCTACAGCATAAATATCCCTTTAATCACTGTGTTGGTCAACATATTCAATTGTGGTACTTTATTCTTTCATTTCAATGCCAGAAAAACATGCTTTTTCTGATGACAATTATGCTCTCACATTACAATGGGGGTAGATGTCTGCACTTAATCCAAGAAATTATCTGCATTTCAATGTTGTGAATATCTTTAATGATAACAAATAACAGACTGTGTAAGCAGACCCTTTCACCTCCCTGACAAATTCAACCAAATTGGTGATACATAACCGTCTACAAACCCATATGCCATATGCTCTATGCAGCATTCCTTTTGGGGCTGGACACTAACTAGTCGGGATTTATTAGGCTCTCATCTTTTTCTGAGTTTTCAATTTCTTTGTTATTTATTCTTTACCAGTCCTGAAGAATAGGGCTTGATTGCTACTCCCATTTTGCCGGGAAGGCAGTGAGAGGCGAGGTAATTTACCAAAAGTGGAAGAATGAGATGGTGGCAGGCCCGAAATGAAAGCCCATAGTCCCAGGGGGGAATTTAGATTCCACCACCTTTGTGAGCGGGTGCCAGTGATGTGTTTATCACACACTTTCATCCAAGGTTGCTGAAGCATTTCATGAACAGAAATCCTTTTCCTCCTGGTCTCTATGGCTCCTACAGGGTGTATCACACCACTTAGCACCTATATTGCTCTTATATGCTTCTGTTTTCTTCTTCACATATTCCATTTGTGTAAAGGATTTAAGTGTCTGATAAAGTGGTGAGCTCCTAAACAGCAGAAAGCACGTTGTGTCTATTTCTTTTGGCATCCTCTTTCTTAATCAGCACAATGTTAGGCATCTGGGTCAGCCCTCAAGAAATATTTTGCTCTGAGCTCTTATTACGACATCTTGTAAATTAGGTGACCAAAGTGCAGGATTCCAATCTGCATGACAAAATGAAATTTTTCTCTTACCAGGAGAGATTTGTGTTTGGGCTACTTTTGAAATATGACTAGACTTAACAAAATTCAATTTTGACATCATTCCATATGTACACATTCAGCAGGGTTGGTGTATGGGATAATCGCTGTAGGGGATCATTTGCCTATGTAAAAAAATTATAGAAACCATGCTCTATGCTCCCCGTGAACATTTGCTTGGAAAACTGGAAATGTGTAGGGCACCAGCACATCTTGACAATTCAAATCTTAAGTTTCTTATTTAATTAACTGTACATGGCCTATATGATTTCCAGATTTGTTAAAAAAAAAAAAAATAAAGGAACGGACAACAGAATTAGGCTACTTGTCAGTGAATGGAAGACATAAATGACTGTGAAAAATGTTACTCTTGAGTTTGAGTTATGTTAAGGTCACTCTAAAAAGATTAGTTATGTAAGAGGATCTCTCAGTCCTTCCTTCCTTCCTCTGCTTTCTCCTCTCCTTTTCTTCGAATTGTTCCATTTTGTTTGCTTTGGAGACTCCTAAGTATTGAATCCATCTACCCCAGCCTGACAAATTGCACAGCCGTCCCTGGCAGGGCTGATATGCACCAGTTCCCACTGACAGACGTAACAGCTGGCATCCATTCTGAGCTGTCAGTCACTGTACCATAGTAGTTGTTAAAGATTTTGACCAATACCTATCCCTTGCTTTATGTGATATGAGCTGACCGCATATTTGGATTCTCTTCTATGCAAATATTCTTCCTGAACTTTTTTTTTCAGTTCCACTCTGGGTTTCCAAAGTTGAAGATAAACAGGGTGTGGTGAACCTTTATTATTTTTACCTGCCCAGCATCTACTGACTCTACTTCTGGTAAAAGCCCCCAGATTTGTTTGGGGCTCATCCCTCCTCATCTCAGTCCGTGAGGTCCCAGGAGGGCTGACTTCATCTCAGACATGTGTTTCAGACCTGGCCACATCGATTCAGGAGCATTTGATTCCATCATATTCATTAGAGGTCCTAAATTATTTCCTGGGACCACTGGCCTTGAAGTAAGTTTTCATTTCCACTGGTCTTGGAGTTGTAAGCATGGAGGGTCTGGGGCACCTGAAGCCACCTTGCTAACATATGGAGTCTGAGAATGGAGTCAGCCCAGAAACAATAGCACCAGGAGATGGAGAGTGAGAGAAACCTGGCCTTTATGATGTCAGTTGAATCCCTGTATCCACCTATTTCTAGTTCTATACCTGGAATTTAAAAAGTTTTAATTTAAGATTTAAATTAAATTGAAAAAATTGTCGTCCTTTGACTGAATTATGGCAACAACCTCCCAAACTGACCTCTCTAACTTCAGTCTTGTCCTCACTCCAATCTTTCCTTCACTGTCAGCCAGAGGAATTGTTCTGATTTGCAAAACAGATTATATCACTCCTGTGCTTAATCTGTGTGACCCTCTCCCATGATATACTAGTGTTGTTGGGATAAAATCCAATTATCTAACAAGGCCCACACCCTCGGGTGATCTAGTCTCCTTCTCTCAGCACTCCCTTGTTCCAGCCACACCAGGCTCTGTCAAGTCCATGTCAGCTGTGGCACCCATGAGTCTTTGCACATGCTCTTCTTTGCCTTGAAGACTCCTACCCCAGCTTCTTTCTCCTTTCTTGGCCAGCTTTTCCACTTCCTTTATTTCTCAACTCAGATATGATTTCCTTCAGAAGGCCCTTCCTGATTCTGTAGCCGGGGTTAGTTCTCTCTGCTGTATGTACCCTCATAATATGTCTACTTAGCACTCACCATCACATTAAATTGTTGTGATGTTCTAGCCTCTCTCCAGCCAGCCTTTGATATGGACCACTCCTGGAACCACGCCTCAAACTTAGAAGGTGCAGGGATAGGTGGGTGGGTGGCTGGGTTGGGGATCCTAGACCTACTACACGAAGATGGGGATAAAACAAGCTGGGCTCGCATGTAATCCCAGCACTTTGGGAGGCCAAGGCGGGTGGATCACGAGGTCAGGAGATCAAGACAATCCCGGCCAATATGGTGAAACCCCGTCTCTACTAAAAATATAAAAATTAGCTGGGCAGGGTGGCACATGCCTGTAGTCCTTGCTACCGGGGAGGCTGAGGCAGGAGAATCACTTGAACCTGGGAGGCGGAAGTTGCAGTGAGCTGAGATCACGCCACTGCACTCCAGCCTGGTGACAGAGTGAGACTCCATTTCAAAACAAACAACAACAAAAAAACCAAGGTGGGCTCCAGAGCTGGGGGGAGGGGTAACTAAGGGAAAGGAAGAGAATATGAAACTCATCAAGGAAGCAGGAAGGAAAGAAAACGTTATCTGGTAGCTGCTTTTATGAGTCTCTCTGCGAGATGCATTTCTCCTGTGAGATGCACATAATTTTCATTTTCCATAAAAGGTAGAGAGACGTGAGAAAATTACCCAAATCAAGCAATTAGCAAAAGGCAATTAACAATTGATCAAGTTGCCAGATTTAGGAAATAAAAATACAGAACACTAGGTTACATTTGAATTTCCAATAAATGACTATATTAGTCTATTTGTGGTGCTATAACAAAATGCCACAGCCCGGGTAATTTGTAAGTAATACAAATTTATTTCTCACAGTTCTGAAGGCTGGGAAGGCAAGATCAAGGCACTGGCTGAGGAGGGCTGCTCTCTCTGCTTGCAAGACGATCCCTTGTCTCTGCAGGCTCCAGAAGGCAGGAACACTGTGACCTCACATGATGGAAGAGCAAAGGAGCAAGAGGGTCAAATTCTGAGTGAAGTCTCTTTTATAAAGGTCTTAATCCCATTCACAAGGGAACCCTCATGACCGAATCACCTCCTAAAACCCCCACCTCTCCAACACCTCCACAATGGGATTTAATTTTCAACATGAGTTTTCGAAGAGGTGTATATTCAAGCCATAGCAACAACAAAGATTTTATAAGTGTGTCCCAATTATTCATTATCTGAAATTCAAATTTAATTCAATGTCCAGAATTTTATCAAGCAACTCTAAAAGGTGGGCACTCTCTATGATACTCATGGCAGGGAACTTCATGGTCAGAATAAACCATCCTAGACAAATCAGTTGTTGAGAATATTGAATGTGAGAAAGCAGTGGGCAGGCCAAGGTTGTCAAGGTGACAAGGAAACTGTAATTCTGATGTCCTTCATGGCAGTAAAAGTGTCCTGTCAAAAAACCGTGAGGTGCTATGTTTCCAGAAGAGTCATACCCTCTAACTTGCATCACGATTCTGGAATTTTAGAAAACAACCACCTTAAATCCCCTAGAAGAAAGTGAGGTATCAGTTAATCATCAGTTGATTTCTCAAGGAAATATTCTAAAATACAGAAATGTTTTTGAAAAGATGCTTATAATTTATAAGTGCATACACTCCTCTAAATAGAAATAACACTGGATTAATGATCATATCCACGCCATAAAATATTTTGCAGCTGTTAGGAATGATGATTTCAGAATTTTTTTTTTATAACATGAGGAAATGTGTATGCTACAAGATAGAATACATAATTGTACATACAGGATGATCACAACTATTTGAAAGGAAATAAGGGAAGAAAGAATGAAACCTTGTACTTAAGAAAAAGATTGTCAAGAAATACACCAAATGTTGAAAGTGGATTTGTTGGGATGGTAGGTGACTTTTTCCCTTTCAACTTTTCTATATTTATCAAAATTTTTATCAATGATATATATTACTTTTATAGTAAACTATCAGTATTTTATTTTAAAAGAAAGGAAGTAGATACTAATATCATTTGTTGTAACGTCTGTTTTCTCGAGTAGATATAAACTTTTAATATTGCATTTGAGTGTCTACCACATATACATAGTAGACACTCAATACATACTTAGTGAATGAATAAATGGAACCAGGAGTGTGTCAGTACTGTTTACCATTGTATTCTTTATATTCAGCTAAAGAGAAATGAATGAATGGGAGATTTTAGCTTTTGGTGGTTTTGGATAAGCCTCCTTGTCTCTCTGGGATTCAGTTTCATCACTCACAAGTTGAGAGCTTGGATTATCATCTCTATGGTGGTCTCCAGAAACTGAAATATTTTGTGATTATTTGACTATATAAGCGAGGTTCAGGCTCAGGCAGCAAGGAGTAGAAGCCAGTTGCTGATTTGCTGATCTTATAATTCCAGGCCACTTCTTAGCTCTAAGTGTCTCTACTTTAGGGTCAAGCAAACCTTTTATGATGGACTGTTTAATAAGACAGGGATCACTTATGATTAAATCCACTGCTTTCTGCACTTCAAACATTTTATTTTACATTATTCTAAAGCTTTCTGAATTATTGCTTTGTTCTGTAATGGTAGCAGTTTCTGGTCTATTTTAGGATTGTTGGCAGTTGTTGTCATCTCTCTAGAGCTGGCTGGACAGTTTGGCATGCCGGTACTGTATCGGAGAAATGGTATGTTGAGAGGACAAGTTTCTTCTGTTGTTGCTATTGATTATTTTGTGTTTGGACAGTCAAAGAAATATTTTATACAAAAGCAAATTACCAAAAAAAGAGGAATTCAGAAACCCTTTATGTTCAGGATTCTGTTTACCCGTTGGAAGCTCATTCACAGATAAAATGGAAATGTGCTCAGCTCAGCTGGTTACATTAAGAGGGTGTTTCCGTGTTCAACAACTTTTATGATGGGCACAGGCTTTCTTATTTTTAAGCCTCTTGCTGTTGCCATCTCCAGATATTTTTTCCCAGCTCTTTGCTTATTTTCAGAGCTGTTTAGCAGCTATTTACTACCTTAGGTCAACAGCCTATAAAATATGTTCTTAGTTTTAAATTATAGATCATATTGCTTTTACATTTTCTCAAAACTACTTGATTTCCTTAATGAAAATTATTTCAATTGTTATGTGAATAGTTTATTCTGTAAGGAAAACAAGAAAGCTTCCAAACGTGGGTAAGATAATTCTGTGTACAGCAAGAGTCAGCTGAAATGCCATTGGTCCAAGGTTAAGTCAACTGTGGAAATCTCAGGAAGGTTGAATATTTAAAGCAAAATGTTGCATATGTTCCTCCTTGTTTACCAGGATTTATACCCTATATCCTCCAAGAGAGGTTCAAATAGAGATTAGGGTGCAGAGAAAAAGTAATAATTACATGAAAAGGCAATGAAATGTTGAAAAACAGTTCTCTAACCTTCCTTTTAAAACACCTATGCTTATAGCATACAGACAAAATGCCCAAAACACGAGCAATGGATGAATCTTATAAGAGCAGCAGCCTGTCTTTTGAGAGAATGTTGCCATCAACATCAGCTTGCCCCCTCTAATTAGTGCCTAACTTTGTAATGTGTTTAGCTTTTTTCCCCTCACAAGAGCTTATTGATTTTGGCAAAAATGCCATTATTTCAGAAAAAAGAAGAATATCAGATATTGAACCGACAGAAACATTCATACAACTGGTTACTTGTCTATTCCACTCCTCACTCTCCAGCTATTGGGATTTGGCTACAATTGTGAGAAACTCAATATAAAGGAAGAGGAGGCATCAATGCCTATTGCAGAAGCAGTTTCTTCCAATCTCGTCACTAGCAAATTGAGGGGAAAGAATAAAAATGAAAGATACCATTTCTCCAATAAGGACGTGGATTTTGAATTTAAATTCATCCATTGGAGGAGGAATAGTTGGCTTGAGAAGAGATGGAGAGTAAAGTGGAAATACATTCTTCAGTTCAATGAGAGTACTACAAAGACCATAGGTTTTTATGAAAAAAAAAAAAAAAAAAAAAAAAAAAAAAAAAAAAAAAAAAGAAAAAAACCCCAACAGAATAAAGAGCAGATAAGAGATAGCATGTTCTTTATTTAATAGGCCAAGAAGCAGAGCAGGAATTGGTGCATATATTCATAATTGTTTCTTTGCTATTTGATTTTAGGACATCTGGCCACAGCCTGTCTTTCCCTACTGTTACCCTCTTCCTGGATACACCTGTGTGTGCTAAGAACATTGTTCTACTTGATTCTACAAACATGCCACCTGGTTTGATTTCTTAAGCTTTGCCTATGTGATTCTCCATCCCACTGTTTCTACTTGCCCATCTCCAAGTTATACTTGAAGGGTTGGTTGAAATATCCCTCTTCTGTGAAGTTTTTCAGATACCTTTAGACAGAAATAATTGCATGTAATCTGTGACCCCACCATGATTTAAATATATATATTTTTAAAAGCGCTCATCAGATTGTAGCTAGATATTTGTGCCTATCCTTTCCACTAGACTGTGAGCTTTCTGAGAACATGCTAGTATGTTAATTAACTCCTTTTCGTAAAGCACTGGGTACAAAGTAGGCAACTAACTTCCTTATCTTCCATTTTCTCTCTGTCTATACATGGCAGGATGGGATTTTTCTCCCCCATCTTCTTGGTGGTAAGAAGATCTTAGTTGCAGTAAAGAAACAATGACTTTGCATAACATGCATTCAAGTCAAGTTGTAAGAGTCATTCAGTATTAGCAAGATAAAGATTTATCTTGTTTAACTCTAAAAGATATAAAGAAACTAAGCTTTCACACACAGTGAACTGTGGGATTCTTCCTCCACCTGAAAAAAACAGAGCCTTGAATCGCATTCATGGTCTCAAGGACATTGCAAAATATCTCCAACATGGAAGTGAGATAAAGATGGATCTTGGGGAGCTGAAGAAAATGAAAAAGATCAAGGAAAAGCAGGAACTCCTGGAATTTCTTCTGAGGAGACTCCTATATGGAGGGAAAGATGATTCAGAGGAAAGACCAAACAGATCTTTTATACCATCCTCAGGACTTTGTGTGTTGATGGTCATCTACAGGGAGGGTTGCTTTCTTTGGAAATGAGCTAGCTATGCCTTAGATGGGAGGCTCCCTCTCTGGTGCTGTTTCCTCTTCTTTCTACTGCCCCATCATACCAAGATCCCAGCTTTGTCTTTTCCATTCCTCTCCTCTCTCAACTACATCTTCAAGGCTCAACTCTGACTTGGTGGAGGAAGACTACCACTGTGCTTTAATAAGTAAGCATAGGTCCAGCTGGTGTGGACTAATATCCTCGCTCAGCTGCTCCATATCCCTGACACTAGAAAAAAAGCCAAGGTGACAATTTCCATCAGTCCAGGGAAAAAAGGCCATGGAGTCGAAAAGCAATTTGAGTTATAGAAAATATAGTACTGTTTCTTGCACACTTATGTTGGTGGACTATTATTCATACTTGCTAGCTTTGTACATTTTTATTTCTTTTTCATTAGATACATATTAAGAATATAGAAAAGCATACAAATGCCACCAATAGTTCTAACATTATTTTATCCAATTTTTGAGGTACAAAAAGTAAATGAATGGGGCCAGGCGCCAGTGGCTCAAGCCTGTAATCCCAGCACTTTGGGAGGCCGAGGCGGGTGGATCACCTGAGGTTGGGAGTTCGAGACCAGCCTGACCAACGTGGAGAAACCCCATCTCTATTAAAAATACAAAATTAGCTGGGTGTGGTGGTGCATGCCTGTAATCCCAGTTACTTGGGAGGCTGAGGCAGGAGAATCTCTTGAACTCGGGAGCTGAAGGTTGCAGTGAGCCAAGATTGCACCATTGCATTCCAGCCTGGGCAACAAGAGCAAAACTCCATCTCAAAATAAACAAACAAATAAATAAATAAATAAATGGACATTTATTTCCTCTACTCATGCCCTCAATTCATAACACCTTGCCATCCAATCCATAATTCTTTTTAATTTACTTAAATATAGAAATGATATAATATGTTTATTTACTTCTGTAATTGAACAATTTAAAAATATTATTTAAGTACCCTGAGTGTGGGGTACTAAGGTGGGCTGTAGGAAGTGTGTGTGTGTTTGTGTGTCTAAAGGTAAGCTTAATTCTTACCCTTGAGGAACTGATTAATTGATTAACTACGTGTCAGAAATACAGAAATGAAAAAGATGAAAATATTCTAAAAAGAAATACATAACTACACATAAACAGTTTAGCCTAAACAGAATTATTTCTTAAAAATAGGTTAACTTTTGGGGAAAATAAATTATCTTTTTTCAAGGAATGAGATCATGTCCTTTGCAGGAACATGGATGGTACTGGAAGCCATTATCCTCAGCAAACTAACACAGGAACAGAAAACCAAACACAGCATGCTTTCACTCATAAATGGGAGCTGAACAATGAGAACACATGGACACAGAGAAGAGAACAACACACATGGGGAACTGTCATGGGGTGTCGGGAGAGGGAGAGCATCAGAATAAATGTCTAATGCACACAGGGCTTAATACCTAGGTGAAGGGTTGATAGGTGCAGCAAAGCACCATGGCACACGTTTACCTGTGTAACAAACCTGCACATCCTGCACATGTATTCCGGAACTTAATAAAATAAAATAAAATAAAATAAAATAATCTTTTTTTTCAGGGCCTCCAGTGACATTTAGTGCTTTACTTATTATACCTTTGAAGTGACTGCATTGAGTCATGCACTCAGAAATGGAATCATCTTAGATAGTATATGGCTTTATAAAGAAAATGAAAAATATCATTTTTTCTAGGCCAGCTAGAGCAATCACCTCTTATCTTTCTGCCCCAGTCTGCCTTCCAAGAAGCACTGTGTGAGGCCAAGCATGAAGAATGATTGGGAAAAGCAAGCCCCTCCATGGTACTGGTGGGAAGTGAGTAAATACAGCAATCTTTCATCTTATAAAACTAAATAACATTTCCTTACTCCCTCATGTTGGTTTAGGCTTTCTTGAGCATGAAAGGGGAATTTTCTTCTTCCTTTCAGACTAGCATTTATGAACCTCTAAATGGAAGTCCCTCTCTGCTTCTTCACTCAGACGAGGGACCTCGCTCCCATATCCTCAGGGTGTATTACACGGACCATGGACCACCGAGTGGGAGACACAATCCTATTTCTGGCACTGCACCCTGGCTTGCTGGGTGACCTGATATCAATCACTTAACACCTCTCCATTATCCTGACTGCAGGACAGCCACTGGAACATTCTCCCCTGTTTCTAATGTCATAGCCAGTCTTTTGCTGCAGGCTGGAGAACAGGACAGAGTTATGTCACTTGTCAGGGGAGTCAGGCACTCGGTGACTCGTTTTCTCTCGTATGATTGAATTGCCTTGGAGAAATCTACCGCAGCCTCAGAAGCAGATGGTGCGATTTTTACTTTAACCAATTAAAAACAAAACAAAACAAAACAAAACAAAATCCTGAACCCTACGACATCTCCCCAAAACACTGAGATAAAGTTTTGTAAAATTTTAAGAGTTAGACTTTTGGTTCTCCTGGTAATACATACATTTTTAGTGAGAAATAAGAAAATTTTGGAGATACTTGTAATCATAAAACCTTCTGATTAGAATACATTTTGGAATTAAGAATCAGCTGAAGAATTTTAACAAGAATATACATTCTCATATCCTAACCGAAATATGTTAATCCAGGGAGCCTAGGCATCTGCATATTAAGAAAACTCCTCAGAAAATTTTAATGGTCAGTTAAATTTGGAAATGATGCATCAAGTACACTAAATTAGACCTGATATCCACTTTCAACGTATTTCAATACTTGCAAAGTTGGGAAAATCACTAGTGAGAGAAAGAGTAAATTCTATTTTGGAGTTGCTTGGGAAATTATCAATTATTATCTCATTTGATGAAGAATGAAAACACTACTGTGCCTCAATTGCTACTGGTAGGTGATAGTAGGTATTGGATGCTCTCTGTGCCACATATACCTCTGTTATGGGGACCAGCTGTCCTGGTTTGTCTGGTATTCTCCCAGTTTTAACACTAAAAGTCCTGCATCCAGCGTGGTTGGGCATTGAGGTATTTTTCATGTGCTGTCCCTATTAATTCTCAAAATCAAACTAGGAGATAGATCCTGTTACTGACCTCATTTAACATTTCAGAAACTTGAGGTTCAAGTAGATTAATGAGCTTGCCCGAGTTTGCTCAGCATGCAAGTTGAGAATTGGGATTAGATTCTAGAAAATTCAACTCAAGAACCCTTTTTCTTCATCATTATTAATTCCTCCAATCCTTTCAAGAGTCATTCTTACGACTTCAGTTAATGGCAGATTCACCACTGTTGGTGCAAAAGGGTCCTTTCTAAGGGTCCTATTTGGGGCTCTCTGTTGGGACCTGTTTAATACTGGCCTTTCTGGGTGACAAGATCTAGTCTTGCTATCATGTTCTGGGAATGGATATAGGGTCTTCCTCTGGATTTTTTATTCAGCCCATACTTGGTTGTAAAATAAGTATTACACGTAATGGCCTCAAAGGAGAAGATAAGCCACAGCAGAATAACTTGAGGGACTGACGTTGAGGAGGCAGAAGGTGGTTTTGCCTGGCTGTAGACTGCAGGCTGTTGGTTTAGGAAGCATTTCTGGTGTAACTATGTATGCACTTCAAGGTTAGTTGTTTTATTTATTTTGCTACTGCTATTATTTGTATTCTTTCCATCTATTAGTAGAACTCTCAGCTTGTCTTCTATTGCCTGACCCTCATTGTTCCAAGAAATACTCCAAAGAAACTTGAACACTGACTGAATATTTTATGATTAAGAAATTATTGCTACTTTTTGAGATAGGATAATGATCTTGTGGTTATGTTAAGAAATACAGGACTCTCTTAGAGATTCATACCAAAATACTTACAGATGAAATAATTTTCTGTGTGGATTTTCTTTAAAATAATACAGTGGAGGAAAGGAGAAATGGCGAGGTATGTAGATGAAACAAGATTTGCTATATATTGATAATTCCTGAAACAGGATGATGGCTACATGGAGATGTTTTGATGTTCTTGCTACTTTTGGTTTGTTTAAAATTTTCATAATAAAAAGTAAAAGACAAGTCCCCAAAGGAGGATCAGAGAGGAGTCCTGCTATACCTCTGGGTAATCACATTGCATAATGTCACTCCAAGTGTTTTTGCTTTGATGTTCCACTTGAGATATTTTATTTACTTAATGTGACCTTGCTCATACTGAAGAGACTTTACAAGATACTACATTAAGCATGATTTTTTTTTTTTAAAGTCTATATCCCATGGACATTTCCTCTGTGTGCAGAAAGTGCCAAGCCCTAGGGGTGGGGTCCAGGATAGGCTCACAGGCTTGGTCACTGGCTTCCGGATTAGGACACCGTTAGGCCAGGAATGGGCTTAACTTGAGCCAGATGGGGGTGGAGTGGGGTCTAAAAGAGGGGACTTTACTTCCAGTGTGATTTGATTCTGCTTTTGCGCAGCCTCAGGCAGGACTCCCACATCAGATTTCCCATACCTACCTACGGCTCATCTCATCTCTGTTTAGTAATTTTCTCTTTTCTCCATTTCTTAAAAAATTCCTTTGCTTCAGGACACCTTATTAAAGCAACTCTCTTCTGGCTGTTAGCGTTAAGAATCTGTCAGTGTTTTCTATTATACACCTCTCTCAGCTGACACTCTATTCTTAATTGGCACTATTGTAGTGGGAAAAAAGACAAAAAGCTTTAGTTAATGCTAGGGACCAGGCTAGGGTTTCAATCTTAACACTGTGCATCCTAGGTTAGTAGGTTTAAGTTAGTCCCCTAATTTACTTGAATATCTTTTAGTCCCAGGGAACTTCTCTGTTATTTGCAGTGAGTGCTTTGTCTACACACACTGGCACATTCAATAGTCTTGTCAGAGTTCTTGTCACTGCCTCTTTGGGACAGCATACACTATGCCAATCATTTTAACAACTGCTTTCTGTGTTAACCAACCAAAGGGAAGTCCCTTTGCCAGGGTGATTAGATTCTTCACCTAAATTCAGCCCAAGCTCAATGGTTTTCCAAATAGGCAAACTCTTGGAAATATTGGAGGAAATACCAATCCTTCCAATTGGTATATTCCACAGGGTGGTAACACTATAGAATATACCAATTGGAAGGACTTTTAGAAATTATCTTATCTACTACCTTCATTTTATGGATTTTAAAATAGGCTAGAATATTTGAATGGCTATTCAAAGTCAGAAATCTATTTAGTACAATACAGTCTCTTGACTTCCATTTAGAAATGGATTCAGCCATTAGTATTTTTAAAATTCACTTTTTAAATAAGGATTTTCATCATAAATTAATGTGGGAGTTGAAAAAAGATATACTTCTTAAATATTTATTTTACCTTAAAACGTGTCAAATATCCCTTCATTTGCAGTTTGTGAAAGCTGTCCTAATTGGATACCCATAAGTATCATCTTTAATTTTCACTTTCTTTAAAGGAACTTGAGTGGACTAAAATGTATAGATATTTGTTAAGGAATCTGACTGCAGAATTCTAAATTTTTAAGACTAAGTCTTTTACCATTTAGTACTTAATAGCTAACTTAGCAATATTTTTAGCAACTCACTTCATTGAGTCTTTCCGAAGAATACAAGCTGTTTCAATAGAAACAATAAGTTCTTCTCTTTACATACTCATATTTTATCAGTTACCTTAATATTTAATTAAATTATGGAGTTAAAATTACACGTACCCAGGCAGTGACAGGTTTAGAAAGCACAGTCTTGGTAAGCACAGTAGCTGAGGGACACAAAAGTATAGGGGTATACCAGGGAATTACCTACGATCCACAAGCAGGCTTTAGTCAGTAGGTTTGCAAAAGTAATAGAGAGTTTTAGTTTATCTGGCTGGATGGTTATGTGGTGGCCATTTAAAACATCATTTTAAAAATAAGCACTTTTCCTACTGATGTGCTTTGGGGCTTGTGGGCTAATGTTGGAGACCTGGTTCCAGCTTCCCTGTCTCCTGGAAACTTTGCCACCTCCCTATTCCTGGTCCTAGGGCCCGTGTCCAGGAGCATAGCTCTGTAGGAAGACTGTGGGATTAGCTCACACTTCCTGCTCTGTGAAATCTCTTTCTGCTTTTAAGCACCTGGATATTTCTATTTCTATATTTCAAACTCAGTTATGCATTACTTTTTTGGATCATATTTTATCCAGAACATCTATCTGTTTTTTGGAAAAGAGAACCCATTCCCATCAGCTTAGTTCATTCCCACTGCTTAGGTCAGCAGTCCTCTGGAAGACCTTCGTAGTCCAAGTAATATTGATTCAGGAAGAAAGAGCTGTGATTCTTTTAGTGAAATGTCGCAGTGGGGTCTTTGTTTGTTTTCCAGAAGGCAGACACAGGCTTCCTATCGGGGGAATCTCCTTTGCTTATGCCCACTCAGTAGTAGAGGTGTCTTTGCTCTGACATCCTCCCTAGCCCGCCGCATTACTCCCACATTGCCTTGGAAGTACTCCAAGTTATCATTGCTTTTTGTCTCCCTGGAAGCCAAGTTTTAATTCCACTTCCTATTATCCCATCACTCTGTCTCTTGGACATTCTTCCTTTGATACAGAACTGTCAGGCCCCTTTGTAAAGTGTAAACTTATTACAGTCCCTTTACTCACCCCGGCACTAATGTCTTGACTTCAAATAAATGTCCCGAAGCTCTGTTGGCTGGCCTTTACGGAGCAGCACATTTTTAAGTTACTTTCCATCTACTGTCCTCTTTTACTTTGTTTAAGATGTAAAATGAGGGCAAAGAATCAGGGGCTTAACTGATGGTGTGCAATTTCCTGCTGTCTCTATACCTTTTTTATGACATTAATTCATTGCCACTTCTCTGACCTGTGGAATCTCTTCTGGATAGAAATGACTATGAGTTAAAATAAAGTTAAAAAAAATACCAATTTGATTCAATAGTCTTGTCAGAGTTCTTGTCACTACCTCTCTGGGACAGCATACACTACTGCAGTCATTTTAACAACTGCTTTCTGTGTTAAAACACATATCTTAATTACTCATCTCCTCTACCTGAAGGTTACAGTTTTGATTTAGTTTCCTTTGGTTAGAAAATAAGTGACATCCACTTAAAGTACTTAAAGTCATCTAAATTTCCTGCCTCTACTGACTTCTCTATTTTGTTAATTTTCTCCAAACAGATCATTATGGTACAAGTACCAAGAAAAACATCCAGTTTGAGTTTTTTGTTCTCAGCATTATCATTTGATATTCTACTGTCAGAGTTTCTCAAATGTGTAGGTAGGTTGTTTGGGTTGTAAATAATAGATGCTGATTCTAGTTCATTTAAACACACAATAACAATTTATTGGTGGATACTAGGTGCTCTGAAAATCAAGGGGAGGCCTTCAGGAAATGGTTGGTGTGTTAATCAGTTATTGCCACAATAATGTTACATAAAAAACCACCTCAAAATTCAGAGGCTTGAAACAGGGTTGACTGTGGGTTGGTGGATCCTGGATGGGCTTGGCTGAGGTGGTAGGTTGAGTATTTGCCACCCAAAATAGGTATTCCTGTGACATGGGGATATAACCTTAAATGGCAAACATACAGTATTTAAGGACCTAGTGATAGAAAGATTATCCTGGATTATCTAAGTTGGTCCTAAATGTATCATAAGTGTCCTTATGAGAGGGAGGCAGAAGGAGATTGTGCACGGAAGGCAGATGTGTGATGTACAAGACAGAGATATTTGAGGACACCATGCTGCTGGCTTTAAAGATGGAAGAAGGGGCCATGAGCCAAAGAAGGAAGCTCTACAAGCTGAAAATGGCAAGGAAACAGATTCTCCCCTAGAGTCTCTGGAAGGAGCATGGCCCTACCCACACCTTGGTTTCAGTTCAGTGGAACTTCTTTTTGGGCCTCCAAAACTGTAAGAGAATAAATTTGTGTTGCTTTGAGCTACCACCTTTGCAGTAATATGTTGGAGCAGCCGTAAGATTCTAATACAGCTGTGTAGCTCTGCTTCGGGTTGCAGGTTGGCTGGGCTCAGCTCCAGGCTTTGAGTTGGGTTTAGATGTGCTCCATGTGTGTACTTCTGGGGACCCAGGGAGAGGAAAGACCCTTCCTGGGCCATGCTCTTTTTATGGCAAGTCACTAGAGCATACACATTAAGTCAAGCCACACAAGCATGTTTAAGTCCTCTGTGCATCCCCTTGGCTAATTCCTTTGACCAAAGCAAGTTACGTGGCCAAGCCCAACATCAGTGGGGCAGGGAGTCATAGTCAGCCTACAGTGGAAGGTAGGGGTTGAGGAGAATAAATGTTAGCTGAACTATAATCCAGTCCATTACTGGCAGGGATCAAGTGAATTGGCTGACTTGAATCACAGCCAGGGTGGTCTACCTACCACAAGGACAGCCTCCTTGTAGTCATTCTGTATTGGGGGCTGCTACTACTGGCTCCTGGGCACAGGAGACTGCCATTACCACTTAATGAATTCTAAACTGCTTCTTCCTTTTTTTTTTTGTTTAAATCACCTGTCAAGTGTCAATGTCCTACGTACAAACATTTGATTGGCCAAATCTAGTTTATAAGTTCAGAGAAAGCAATTGTCTCAACTTTTCAACTTCTGTATCAAGAGGCGGGGTCCTGCCTATTGCATATGAATTTTGGGTGGACACAAGCATTTAGAACACAGCAAACAATTAGACCACAGCAAGCAATTTACCTTTACACTAGGGCAGCAAGTGTTGAACATTTACTGCCTGCATTTTTCTGGGTGAGGTTCAGGTGATTAGGACTGGTCTTCTCCCAAGCTCTGACCCTTATTCTCTTGGCCTGGGCTTTGTACATTTGTGTTTTCCTTGTCTCCCTCTATATGTTAAGAAGTTTGCTCCTGCAGTGAGACCCAACATTGTAAAGGGTAGATGGGTTTATTCCATAAGGAAAGTATTAGAAAACCCATTTAGGGGAAGGTTCAGGTGCAGGCTTGAATCTGGCACTGTCAGCTATTAAGCTGATATTTTGATATCGATTTGACCTCTGTGTCTATTTTTCAACTGATTCCAAATTTATAATATGAGGGGGTGCAATTGGCAACCTCAAACTCGCTGACATTATTTTAAAGGGAGGCAAAAAGTAAAACTTGAAGTAGAGAGTGGTCAGGCACTCTCAACTCTAGCCCTATCTTATTGAACTAGTTTCATATCCTATAAAATAGTTTATTTTTATATACATGAATGGCTAAATGCCGAATGTCAAAAATAACCTGAGAAGGCAGATGACAATAGTTGAGTGGTAACCACAGTGATGAGCAACCTAAAGTGTTTGTAGTCCTGTGAGTGGGCTCAGAGAAGCTGACTATGACAGTAGCACATTATTGGGAGCTGGGACAGATCAGTTGCTGACTGCCTCCTATGTGTTAAAGTTTCTCTACTTTTGGATTATACTGGCTACATGCTTTCTGGGGAGTGCAGACGGAGCTGAGCGGACCTCACTCCAGCTCTTTCACCATGTGGGTGCAAGGACTTTCGCAGCAAGTAGTCTCTAGAGTGGGAAGTCATTATGGTCTTCTTAAGGTGTTAATAGTTATTTCTTTTCAGAGCAGCAGGAGGATGGACAGAAGAACCATCAATTCAAGGGTAATTCTTTCCTTTAATTTCTCCATCTTGACCCAGTCCACACTTCTTTTCAGATTTGAGTATCCTGGACAAGTCTAAGATGAAGCTTCACTTTTCTATGTGTTTGGAGAGCATGAAAGATACCAAAGCTTATCCTGAAGTATACTTCCTCTGCAATTCAGAGAAATTAGACTTGAAAATAGTTCCTCAAGTTTGTATAGTTATGTAGACATGTCTTTAATAGGACTTTTCCAAAGCGAATTTTATAGATCAAAGCAAAGATGCAACCCAAGATTAAAGACACCTAAATAGAAACTTAATGAAAACTTGATACAAATGACAGACATATGTAGCTAGAGTTATATGAGAGTGGCATGGACATTGGATTTTATTTCCCACCCAGCATCATTTTCCAGTCTTCTGATACTAGTAATTTTATTTTTCTTGAGTGAAATCACCCCTCCTCTACCCTCATTCTGTGTGATTTGGATGGGGCTGACTCTACTTTTTGCATATTGAGAACTGCTGTATGACCCAAATTGATCCAATGAGCTAAAATCTCATGGATTTTGATAGGACAACTAGCGGTCCTGTGTGTGGATGCAGCAACAGAGATAAGCAAAATCAAGAGATAAGGAGAGTAACAACTAAGTACTAACAATATAAGTTGAATACCTGGGTTCAGTCAAGTCTGAAACTCTGCTGCCTCTGGACTTCTCAGGATATTTGAGCCAACGGATCTGCTCCTTTTACTCAAATTTGGATTGTACTTTTGTTACAAATTAAGGAGCTCCTACTCATATAAAGAGCAGGGAGAAGATAAGAAAAATACAGGCAGCATGATATAGCAAGTGGAAAGAGCACAGGCCTGGGTTATTGGCCCCAGTTCCATAACGAAACACTTCTGGGACTTTTTCTTTACCCGTGAAATGAAGCTAAAGCTTTTTCAATGTTATTTGTTTAATTGAGGATCAAAAAGACTACAGAGCCATGCAACTAGTTTCCAGCACAGTCCTATAAGGAGCAGCTGACCTATGTTCTCATTTTGGGGTTCTGTTCACAAGCCTTTCTCTCCAAGACTAGTTTCCTTTTATGGTATTTGATTGACACTCTCCATAACCTTTGGGAATTCACATGGAGAAAATGATAATAAGAATAGGTCATGAACGAATATTTCTTTTATGACAGAGAAACACTCAGTATTAGATACAAGAAGAGGCAGTGGAAAAACTGACCCATGCTTTAGACCAAGGATTGATGCATTAGAGATTTTTCTTTCTCATTATAGTCTTTGAGAAATGTTTGAGGAGGATTTAAGTCAACTATTTATTAGATCCCCATTGCCTGGTAGTATGCCTGCTTCACAGTGAGTACTCAATACATATTTACTAAACAGTTGAGTATTTGCGGTTATTTCTGCTTGGATTACAGAGTCCTTCATTTAAATTAATAACATTTCTCCCCTAAAAAAGGAGATCCCAGAAGTCTATTTCCTTTTTTATTACTAAAAAATGTTTTAAAGTGGTATTTTCTTATTCATGGCAACACATTTTTTAAAAGGGACTTTATTTGTGATAGTTATTGCATTTTTTTCTGTAAAATTTTACATTTGGCCCCTTATTCATTTTCTCAAATTTGTTTGATTTACTTTTCATGTTTCTCTAAAAGATTAACTTCCTCCTTTCTAAAAAAGTCAATATTATTCATGGTTGAAGTTGTATTTTCTTAAATGTTAGCACATTCTATCCTCTTGCATCTTATTTGCCATGGTAGTTCCTTTACTGCACGGAGAATCTGAAACAGATTTAGATAGAATTGGGTCACAGATTATTAAATAACCAGCCTCTCTACCTAGTCCTGTAAAATTTACAGATGAAAATATATTTCCTTTTTTTTTGTCCATCACTGCAGAGCATTTCTCACCCCTGAAACTGAATGGAAATTTGTTCATGATCTGAATTTATTCAGTGGTATCTCTTATTTGTACCCCTTGTTGAGGTCATTTTTAAGCCCTCAAACCAGGTTTGCAAGTAGTTTTCCTCCTTTCAGCTATTTATTTTTTCATATTCCCTTCCTCTCTCATATACACTGGCCTTGCATCTCTTCAACCATTCCATTATTACTAAACTTCTTTCCTTCCTTCCTTCCTTCTTTCCTTCTTTCCTTCCTTCCTTCCTCCTTCCCTCCCTCCTTTCCCTTCCTTTCCCTTCCTTTCCCTTCCTTTCCCTTCCTTTCTCTTCCTTTCTCTTCCTTTCCTTTCCTTTCCTTTCCTTTCCTTTCCTTTCCTTTCCTTTCCTTTCCTTTCCTTTCCTTTCCCTTCCTTTCCTTTCCCTTCTGTTCCTTTCCTTTCCCTTCCTTTCCTTTCCTTTCCTTTCCTTTCCTTTCCTTTCCTTTCCTTTCCTTTCCTTTCCCTTCCTTTCCCTTCCTTTCCTTTCCTTTCCCTTCCGTTCCTTTCCCTTCCGTTCCTTTCCTTTCCCTTCCTTTCCTTTCCTTTCCTTTCCTTTCCTTTCCTTTCCTTTCCTTTCCTTTCCTTTCCTTTCTTTCCTTTCCCTTCCTTTCTCTCTTTCTCTCCTTCTCTCTTTCCTTCCTTCCTTCCTTCCCTCCTTCCTTCCATCTTTCCTTCTCCCCCTCCATTTCTCTCTCCCTTCCATCCATCTTTCCTTAATAAATGCTTCAGAACTGATTTACTATTAGATGCCTTCCTTCTAGAAATTCTTGGCCACTCACTTGGGTCCAATGCTCAGGGATCCATTTTTATTTTTTGCTTTTTACATTCTCTTTGTTCTCCTCTAATTTATGTAACTTCAGACCTCTGGGGTTTTCTTTTTCATCTTTTCTGCAAGAAATAACAGTAAAATAGAAATACAATCTAACTTTCAGGAAGCAGAACTATGAGATTACTGTCTTGTGTTCATAACTGGCTCTGAGATGTATTTTCCTGGCATGTTAGCCTTTCTGTATGTTGAGCAGAAACAGAGGAAGAGAGAGTCTAGCTCTCTAGTTTAGAGCAAGGGTTCTTGTTACCAGCTGTCTGGGTTGAATTCTGGCTTTGCTATTTATCAGTGTGTGACCTTAGGTAAGTTACTTAGCTTATTTGTGTTCAACTTCCTCATTTTAAAATGAGAAGATACTAACAGTACCTAATGGATTAAAATATTAAATTTAATCCTATTGGATTATAACCTCCATGCAGCTTGGAGGTTTAAAATCAATAGTATATGATAAACTCTTGAAAATCTCCTATACATGCTAACTGTTATTATTAAGTGGAAATTACATCCCAAATGCCTAACTTTAGAAACAAACATTAAAATAATCCAGTCATTCAGGCAATGAATAAAGAACTGTATATATTTTTTTCTTTTTTAGACATGGTCTGGCTCTATTGCTCAGGCTGGAGTACAGTGGCCCAATCTTGGCTCATCGCAGCCTCTGCCCCACAGGCTCAAACCATCCTCCTACCTTAGCCTCCCCATGCTCGGCTAATTTTTCCATTTTTTTCTGTAGAGATGGCATTTTACCAAGTTGCCCAGGCTGGTCTTGAACTCATGGGCTCAATCCATCCATCCACCTTGGCCTCCCAAAGTGCTGGGATTACAGGTGTGAGCCACCATGCCTGACCCTCAGACTATAATTTCAAAGGGATTAAGGTATATAGCATTAGAAGCAAGAGCAAAAGTCTAGAAAAAAATTCTTTCTATATTAAGGAAAATATTATGGACATTTATTAAAAGATTTTTGATATATTTATATGTTGTGAGAAGAGATATTTTACATATCTATTGCTGCATAATTGTCACCCCCAAATTAGAGGCATAAAACAACCACCATTTTATTTGCTCATGAATTCTGTGGGTCAGGAATTTGGACAGAGCAAAGAATGGATGATCTTGTTTCTGCCACATAATATCTGGAATTTCTACATTGTATGAATTTTACTTGGAAAGATTCAAATGACTAGGGATTGGAATCATTTGGAGGCTTCCTCACTCGCATGTCTGGTAATGGATAAATGGATTGAAGGCTTGGCTCAGCTGGGACTACTGATTGGTGTCTGTCTACCTGTATCCTCTCCATGTGGCTTGGACTCCCTCAAAACGTGGCAGCCTTAGGATACCTCAGGGTAGCCAGACTTCTTACTTGGCAATTCCAGGTGCCAAGAGTACGTCTGTGCTCCAGAGAACAAGGAGGAGACTCTTATGACCTAGCCTCTGAAGTCACATTGTATCACTTGCACCAAACTCTACTCGTTGAAGTAGTTTTGAGCCTGACCTAACTCAAGGGATGGAAATATAGTTAGTGAGAGAAGTATCAAAGAATTTGTGGCTGTGTTTTTAATCACCACAAAAGGCTGCAGAAAAGTTACTTGCACATCATTCTAGTTGCATCTGCTGGTTGCAATGAGTAGGGTGGTCTTATTCACAAAAACATAGGATTAAAAAATACAGAATGTTGTGGAAGGAAAGTCTTTTAATAAGAAGCATCTATAGGAAAAATAGTGTTTTGGTCTCAACCCTTTCTGATTTATGGTACTTTGATGTTGTTAAAATACTTGATTCTCTTTTTTAGCTTTCTCCCACTCCCAGATTATACAAGTAATATTTGTTTTGTAGAAATACAAAAAGTACATACAAATATGAGGAAGCAGACTATGCCTCCATCAACCCTCCCACAAATAGTTCTACTACCAACAGGGAGATACTATTAGTATTCTAATATAGTTCTCTCTCTCCAGTTTTTTATAATAGTTTTTATGGTTTGCATAATACTGTATGTATGACATTATGTTGCCCAGTTTTTCAATTTAAGATTCTGTTATAAGCATTTTTCTTTATATAATTAAAAGTTACTTGTAACCTTTTCTCTTTGTCACTCTATTATTAGTAGGTTTTTAAATGAAAAATTTTAATTTCAATTAAAACAACACATGCTCATGATAAAGCTTGAAAATACACAGCTGCATAAAATTTTAAAAAGAAATCTACTTCCTCAAGCAAATCTAAGTTATTGTCTATAACTAGATGTATAATTAACATTTTTTTAAAATAGGATTTTTAGTTTATTTTTTTAAAACTTTTTCCTCCTTAACTTTAGTGAATATTGAATGTTCACTTTAACATTTCTAGATTTACCTTTATTTACATAATTCCTTATCATGTTTTCCAATATTTGATATTATAAATATGCTGCAACAAACATCTTTGAACGTGAAAACATTTTTTTTGCACGCTTGTAAACCTTTTGTGTAGGAGAGACCTAGGAATGAAAATATTGGTTTGAAGGACGTCCATTTAACATTTTGATAGATAATGCTGCATTTGTAATCATCTGGTTTAATGGTTGCATAATAGTTTCATATGTACATGTAATTTCATTTGCTTAATCATTTCCCAGAATTGGAAAGTGAGGTTGTCTGCAGTTTTTCCCAATGATAAATAATGCTGCATGAATATCCTCATGTGAAACCTTTGTCAGCATTACTTTAGGATTGAATTTTTACAAAGGAAATTAGTTGTTATACCGTACACATGTTTTAAATACTCCTCATTTATATTGCTAAATTGCTTTTCCAGAAGTGTTGTATCAGTTTACACACCTGGTACCTGCAAACCTTTGAGCTTGAGATCAGGCTAAAATGTTGCTATAAAATGTTATGACTGGCTCTTAATTTCCCATACTTAAGGTTAATAGTAACTGGTTAAAAAAAAAAGGCCAGTATTTGGACAGAGAATGAATACTTCTCAAGTGATTCATATATTACTCAAAATGCCACGGAGTTTCTGTTAAGAATGTCCTTTGCTGTCCCTTGGCTGTTGCTTCCTATGTCTGCACAATTAGGAAGTCTCGATAAGTATTAGTGGCAGTCAGATCACTTACCTAATATGAGTCTATCCTATATGAATATGAAGTAGAGAATGCTCTATAGAGCTGCAGATTCTCTACTTCATATTCATATAGGATATGGCCTATTTGTCGCTCTAGATTTAAAAAAAAAGTTAGAAATAATCCCTAAACATTGTTCCTGTGATTGCAACTAGATTTCCAAAACTTTTAAAGTTTTTATTTGATTATTATTATTATTTTTGTCCTTAGAGTTAAAACAATACCCTGAAGCAAGTGGCTTTTGGATCTTTTGGGAAAAATGCTTTAAGTTCAGCATAAAATTAATACAGGACTGGATTTCCTAATCACTCTAAATCTTGGTTTTTCTTTCCTTTTATCTTAACAATTTTTCACTTCTCATGTAGTCCATATTGCTGGGTATGACTAATTTTATTCAGTTTGTCTGTATATTTATGTTTAATTTCAAAATTAGGTCCTTAGCTTCTCAAACACAGTAATTATTCCCTGTATATCTGTGTCCCCTGATAGTGCTAAAAAAGCTCTTTGAACACAGTAGGTTCCTCATTCACTGAGACATAGTCTCAGTGCTCATAAAATATTCACATAGTTCCCTATATTTTTCAACCACCATTGCAGTTGTATTGGGGCCATGTGACTGTTTCTGACCAATAGACAGGGAATGTTTGTCTGAGCTGAGACACTTAAGAGTGAGTGTGCTCCTGTTCACCATAGCAAAAACTTGTAACCAACCCAAATGCCTATCAATGACAGACTGGATAAAGAAAATGTGGCACATATACACCATGGAATACTATGCAGCCATAAAAACAGATGAGTTCATGTTCTTTGCAGGGACATTGATGAAGCTGGAAACCATCATTCTCAGCAAACTAAAACAGGAACAGAAAACCAAACACCACATGTTCTCACTCATAAGTGGGAGTTGAACAATGAGAATACATGGACCTAGGGAGGGGATCATCAAACACTGGGACCTGTCAGGGGTTGGGGAGCTAGGGGAGGGATAGCAATAGGAGAAATATCTAATGTAGATGATGGATTGATGGGTGCAGCAAACCACCATGGCACTTGTATACCTATGTAACAAACCTGCACGTTCTGCCCATGTATCCCATAACTTAAAGTATATAAAAAAAAATAGGCCGGGCGTGGTGGCTCACATCTGTAATCCCAGCGCTTTGGGAGGCTGAGGTGGGCAGATCATCTAAGGTTGAGAGTTTGAGACCAGCCTGACCAGCATGGTGAAACCCCATCTCTACTAAAAATACAAAAATTAGCTGGGCGTGGTGGCTCATGCCTGTAATCCCAGCTACTCGGGAGGCTGAGGCAGGAGAATCGCTAGAACCCGGGAGGTGGAGGTTGCGGTGAGCCCAGATCCTGCCATTGCACTCCAGCCTGGGCAACAAGAGAGAAACTCCATCTCAAAAAATAAAAATAAATAAATAAATAAATAAATAAAAGAGTGAGTGTGTTGCTACTACTCTCCCTTACCCTGATGTGGCAGTGTTGGAAGCCAAATATTGAGATAATATATCACAACATGGAGTCTAGATGCCTGTGTGGAGGTGCACTGGGAGTTCCCATGATCCACCTCAGACTTTGTGTGAGTAAAAAATAAACTTTTGTTGCTTGAAACCACTGCGATTTTCAGGTCTATTTTTTTCCACAGCAAAACCTATTCCATCTTGAGACATTGCCCTTAAGCAGCTCACAGTCTGTGTGAAGTAAGCACATGTTTGATTAATTTTGAGTAGGTGGCTGGGAGATAGAATGACCTCTGGACCTTGAGGTTCTTTATGGAATGAGAGTGCAATCCGATTAGTTCCTCTGAGTTTTGGACTCTAACTATGTAGGAGTTGGAGGAAAAACAGCTTCACAGGGCCACAATTTCCTCATTTGTAAATGCAAGGATTGGCCATTTTTCCTGCTCTAATTCCAGCTCTGTTTATAAGCAGCTGTGAGAGTAAAGGAAACAGAGACCATAAGGACAGTCATATCTTTACAAAAAGAAGTACTTTTCTGTGATTTACTGGTTAGGCCCTCACAACACTACACTTGAAGTCGCAGATGGAGGCAGAAAGGGCCATTATCTTCTAACTCACACACAGATCTTTCAGTCTGTCTTCAGGAAAGCCACAAAAATTTGTTGCAACACGTTTATTACTATCAACAAGGATACCTTTTCTTTAGAAAGAGAATACTTATAACACTGTCAAACTCCCATTTAACCTTCCACACTGGATATTGCATCTTAGGACAATTAAAAAAATGTCTTTTCATCCTCTTACAAAAATGAAGTTAGTCACTACCTCCCACATGCTATCTCTACATTCTAGACACACTTCTATTATTTTATTTATTACATGGTATTTTATTATTGTTTTTTAAGTCGGTGTTTCTGCTCTACTGGATTGCACACTTCAGAAAAAAAAGGGTTTTCTTCATTATATCTCTAGGGTCTAACCCAGAGCCAGTACCCCATAACCACTTAATAAATGTTTCTTAAATAACTGATTGACAAGCAAGTGGATCTTTCGTTGTAACCTAATGCTTCAAGATAAACTGTACTTGGAAATGGATGAGACAGTGCTAGTACTCAAATCAACTTGCTGGTATCATAATCTCTCTCCCTCTCCACCTTTTCTCTTTTCAGAGATGGGCCATTCCAGGTGACTTGCTATGCAGTTACATTACAGAAATCATGTTTTAGCTTTAGCTTCTTAGCTTGTTTTGCAAGAGAATTAGGAGGTATAATGCATTTGTGTTGCTAAAGAGCTTGACATCTGCTTAGGAAAGTCACTTTAGAATGCCTAAGTGCTAGTATCATAATATTTATTGAGAATTGATGAATAGAATTCCTAAAATAGTCTTGTTCATTGTGGTATCACTGAAGGCATGCTATACTAAATCCCATCTGTCTTGGATATAGGATTTCTAGAAGATGAATGAAAAGAGGAAATTGGTGGATTTTGGAGTGGATTGTATAAGAATGAACAATTTCTATAAAAGTCCCTTTTCTTAAAGTGACAAGTGTTAGGAAAATGCCTGTAGCTGTACCTACATGAGCTGGGTAATTACAAGTCTAAAAACAGTAAATCCCACATGTTGCCAGATGGAGAATATGAGAAGCACCTCAATTTTGAAGTCTGTCCTGGGATGGGGCAGAGGATATGCAAAGTCACTCCAGTCTCGAATCCGTAACGTTAGGTATGTTGTTTTTGGTCATATCCATTCTCTGCAGGAGGGGAGGCTTTATTCTTTCGTTGTGTGAAGTTTGACAGCCTTGGTACTTATGTCAGGCATTGGTAAAACAACTAAACCAAATATGTCTTCAATGATGAGAAAGGATTCAGTGGTCAGAGCAATTGCTCGCTAACGTGGGACAGTCATCTTCATTTGGGAGAACTTGGACAGTGACTCTCTGCTGTGGTTTGAATGTCCCTTCCAAGACTCATGTTGGAACTTGATCCCTGATGTGGCAGTATTGAGAAGTGGGACCTTTAATAGATGATTGAATCATGAGGGCTCTCGACCTTGGACTTCTCAGCCTCCAGAACTTAAGAAATAAATTCATCTCCTTATAAGTTACCTGGTTTTAGGCATTCTTTTATAAGCAACAGAAAATGGACTATGACCCTCTGGAAGACAGTGAGAGGGAAAAATAATGCAACTTTATTGGTGAGGCTAAAAATTTCCTGAAGTATATATCAAACATTGAGTCTAAAACATTGCCTTTTCTCCTCCCAAAGAAGAAGGCAGTGCTGGACTTATGCTCTTCTCATTCCACTTCATTGCACTGCTGCTTGGTTACTCAGCTTTCTCTACAAAAGTCCTTTTCATAGTCATTTAAATCTCTCATTTTATTTCTATAAAAA
Organism: Homo sapiens; assembly: GCF_000001405.40. Lineage (NCBI taxonomy): Eukaryota > Metazoa > Chordata > Mammalia > Primates > Hominidae > Homo > Homo sapiens. Next base: position 57,346,594 of record NC_000004.12, read on the forward strand.
TATATAGAGATTCTTGCCTAGTGCCCCCAAAAGTCCTGCCCTCTCTCAATTTTAAGTAATGAACATTCCAAAATAGAGAAACTAGCCCAGTTTTTGCTCTAGGGGAGTAATCACAACTATCATTATCAACAAATACCTATAGACTACCCTTTCTGTGTCACATTAATAGTAACAATTATTGAAAGCTTACTTAGAGGTGCTGACACTAGAAAAATTCAGGGAACTTTCAGAGTTACCATGTAGCAGAGGCAAGAACACAATCCAAGGCATATAAATTCAGCCAAGAACTATATTTAAATGACAGCTCAATAGCCATCCATATTTAGCACTTCTCTCAGAAAGTTAGTTTTTTTTTTTTTTTTTAACTTTTAGTTTCAGGGGTACATGTGCAGGTTAGTTATATCGAAAAACTGCATGTTGTGGGGGTTTAGTGTACATATTATTTCATCACCCAGGTAATAAACGTAGTATCTAACAGGTAGTTTTCGATTCCTATCCTTCTCCCAACTTCTACCCTCAAGCAGTCCCAGTGTCTATTGCTCCGTTCTTTGTGTCCATGTGTACTCAGTGTTTAGCACTCACTTTTAAGTGAGAACGTGCAGTGTTTGGTTTCCTCTACCTGTGTTAGTTCACTTAGGATAATGGCCTCCATCCAGCTCCATTCACGTTGCTGCAAAGGACATTATCTTGTTCTTTTTAATGGATGTGTAGTATTCCGTGGTGTATATGAACCACATTTTCTTTATTCAGTCGACTATTGACAGGCATTTAGGTTGATTTCATGTCTTTGCTGTTGTGAATAGAGCCACAATGAACATACACATGCATGTGTCTTTATGGCCGAACAATTCATATTCCTTTGGGTATATAGCCAGTAATGGGATTGCTAAATCAAAGGATAGTTCTATTTTAAGTTCTTTGAGAAATTGCCAAGTTACTTTCTATGGTGGCTGGATTAATTTACATTCCTTCCAATAGTGTATAAGTGTTCACTTTTCTCTGCAGCTTCACCAGCATCTGTTACTTTTTTGACTTTTTAATAATAGCCATTTTGACTGTCGTGAGATGATATCTCATTGTGGTTTTGATATGCATTTCTCTAATGATTAGTGATGTTGAACATTTTTTCATATGCTTGTTGGCCACGTATATGTCATCTTTTGAAAAGTGTCTGTTCATGTCCTTTGCTGACTTTTTAATGAAGTTGTTTTTTGCTTGTTAATTTGTTTAAGTTCTTTGTAGATTCTGCATATTAGACCTTTGTCTGATGCATGGTTTGCAAATATTCTCTTCCATTCTGTGGGTTCTGCTTACTCTGCTGATGGTTTCTTTTGTTGTGCAGAAGCTCTTTTGTTTAATTAGGTCCCATTTGTCAATTTTTGTTTTGGTTGCAAATGCTTTTGGCATCTTTGTCATAATTTTTTTGCCAGGGCCTACGTCTAGAATGGTATTTTCTGGGTTTTCTTCCAGGGTTTTTGTAGTTTTGGGCTTTACATTTAAGTCTTTAATCTATCTTGAGTTTATTTTTGTCTATGGTGTAAGGAATGGAACCAGTTTTAATCTTGTGCGTATGGCTAGCCAATTATCCCGGCTCAATTTATTGAATAGAGAGTCCTTTTCCCATTGCTTCTTTTTGTTGACATTGTCAAAGATCAGATGGTTGTAGGTTTACAGCTTTATTTCTGGGCTCTCTCTTCTGTTCCATTGGTCTATGTGTCTGTTTTTGTGCCAGTACTATGCTGTTTGGGTTACTGCAGGCTTGTAGCATAGTTTGAGTCTGGGTAATGTCATGCCTCTCACTTTTTTCTTTTTGCTTTGTATTGCTTTGGCTATTTGGGCTCTTTTTTGGTTTCATATGATTTTTAAAATAGTTTTTCTAGTTATGTGAAGAATGTTATTTGTACTTTGATAGGAACAGCATCAAATCTGTAAATTGCTTTGGCAGTATGGCCATTTTAAGAATATTGATTCTGCCTATCTATGAGCATGGAATGTTTTCCCATTTGTTTGTGTCATCTCTGATTTCGTTAAGCAGTGTTTTGTGATTTTCATTGTAGAGATCTTTCACTTTCTTGGTTAACTGTATTCCTAGGTATTTTATCTTTTTTTGTGGCTCTTGTGAATGGGATTGCATTCTTGATTTGACACTCAGCATGGATGTTATTGGTGTATAGAAATGTTACTGATTTCTGTACATTGATTTTATATCCAGAAACTTTGCTAAAGTTATTCATCAGATCTAGGAGTTTTGGGGCAGAGGCTATTGGGTTTTCCAGGTATAAAATCATATCATCTGCAAACAGAGATAGTTTGATTTCCTCTCTTTCTATTTGGATGCTCTTTATTTCTTTCTCTTGCCTGATTGCTCTGGCTAAGACTTCCAGTACTATGATGAATAGGAGTGTTGAGAGTGTGCATCCTTGTTCCAGTTCTCAAGGGGAGTACTTCCAGTTTTTGCCCATTCAGTATGATATAGGCTGTGGGCTTGTCATAGGTGGCTCTTATTACTTTGAGGTATCTATTCCTTCAATATCTATTAATGGTTTATTGAAGGTTTTTAACATAAAAGGATGCCAAATTTTATTGAAAGCATTTTCTGCATCTATTGAGATGATCATGTGGTTTTCATTTTTTGTTCTGTTTATATGATGAATCTCATTTATTAATTTGCATATGTTGAACCAACCTTGTATCCCAGGGATAAAGCCTACTTGATTGTGGTGGATTAGCTTTTGGATGTGCTGCTGGATTCAGTTCGCTAGTATTTTACATCTATGTTCATGAAGAATATTGGCCTAAAGTTTTATGCTTTTATTCTGTCTTTGCCAGGTTTTGGTATCAGGATGATGCTGGACTTACAGAATGAGTTAGAGAGGAATCCATTCTCCTTAATTTTTTGGAATAGTTTCAGTAGGAATGGTACCAGTCTTCTTTGTACCTCTGGTACAATTTGGTTGTGAATTCTTCTGGACTTGGGCTTTTTCTGGTTGGTAGGTTTTTTATTACTGATTTAATTTTGGAAGTCATTATTGGTCTGTTCAGTTTGAATTTCTTCCTGGTTCAGGCTTGGGAAGTTGTATGTTTCCAGTAATTTATCCATTTCTTCTGGGTTTTCTAGTTTGTGTGCATAGCAGTGTTCATAATAGTCTCTGAAGGTATTTTGTATTTATATAAACGGGTCAGTGGTAATGTCCCCTTTGTCATTTCTGATTGTGTTTATTTGGATCTTCTCTCTTATTCTTCATCAATCTCGCTAGCAATCTTTCTTATTTATTCTTTTCAAGAGCCAACTTCTGGTTATGTTTACCTTTTATATGATTTTTCTGTCTCTATTTCCTTGAGATCAGCTCTGATTTTGGTTATTTCTTGTATTCTGCTAGCTTTGAGGTTGGTTTGCTCTTGTTTTTCTAGCTCTTCAAGGTGTGATGTTAGGTTATGAACTTCAGAACTTTCTAAATGTTTAATGTGGGTGTTTAGTGCTATAAACTTTCTTCCTAACACTGTCTTAGCTGTGTCCTAGAGATTTTGGTATGTAGTGTCTTTGTTTTTATTAATTTCAAAGAATTTCTTGATTTCTGCCATAATTTCATCGTTTACCCAGAAGTCATTCAAAAGCAGATTGTTTAATTTTCACATAATTGTATGGTTTTGAGCAATCTTCTTGGTATTGATTTATATTTTTATTGTGTGGTGGTCTAAGAGTGTGGTTGGTATGGTTTCATTTTTTTAAAAAATTTTTTGAGAATGTTTTATGGCCAATTATAAGATTAATTTTAGAGTATGTGCCATGTGCAGAGAAGAAGATATGTTTTTGGATATAGAGAGCTGTAGATGTTTATTGGATCCATTTGGTCGAGTATTGAGTTCAGGTCACCAACTGGCCACTCTGCCTTTTAACTGGGCATTTAGCCTGTTTACATTCAAGGTTAATATTGTTATGTGTGGATTTGATCCTGTTATGTTGTTAGCTGGTTGTTGTGCAGACTTTATAGTGTCAGTGGTCTATCTACTTAAGTGTGTTTTTATGGTGGCCTGTAATGGTCTTTTGTTTCCATATTTAATACTCTCTTAAAGACCTCTTGTAAGGCAGATCTGGTGGTAACAAATTCCCTCAGTTCTGGGATGAGCTCAGGCTTTATGTTCCCTCTTCAACTTGGGGGAAGCAGGGACAGGGACCTTGGCAGTAGCAATGGCAGAGGGCCTTTCACTTCTCTCTTGGGGCTCCACCCCAGAGAAATGCAGGGCCGCTACCAATCAGAGCATTCTGCCAAGGGTTGGGCAGCTGCACTTCGGGCCTAAGTTGGGGGTCCCTGCCTGGTGATGAGCAGAAGGGTGAGGGGAAGTTGACGAGTCCCTTTTCCTTAGGGAGACTGTGGCATGCTGGAAGTGTGAGTAAAGCACTCAGTGCCTTTGCTCCTTCCCAGTCTGAGGGCAGCAAGGGCAGTACCATTGTGGTGGCAGTGGCAGAGGGACTGTCAGTTGCTTCTGGGAGCTCAACCCCAGAGAAATGCAGATCTGCAGCCAATGGGAAGGTTCATCCAGGGAGTGAGGCAGTTGCACTGTGGGGCTGAGTTGGCGGCTCTGCTTGGTGAAGAGCAGGGGGTCAGATTCACACAGGGAAGAGAGACTGGGCTCTTTCCCTTATGGTGACTGTGGTGTGCTGGAGGCACAAGTAAAGCCCTCAGGCTCTTTGTTCCTTCCCTAAGGGCAGCAAGGGCAGGACTGCTGCAGTGGCAATGGCATTGGCAGTGGCAGTGGCAGGGGGCTGTCAGTTGCCTCTGGAAACTCCATTCCAGGGAACCAGAGCCACCAGCAGTGGGAATGTTCAGTTGCTGGGGTGGGGCAGCTGCTCTGCAGTCTGATGAAGAGTAGTGGGTGAGGGCTCACAGGGAAGACAGACTGGGCTCCACTCTGTGTTATGGCTGCTGTGAGGCCTTTTGTCCCTTCCCCAGCCTGAGGGCAGTAAGGCTGGTACCACTGCAGCTGCAGTGGGAGTGGGTCTGTTGGTTGTCTCTGGAATTTCCTCCCCAGAGAAATGTAGAGCCATCACCAACTGAAGTGTTTAGGCGGGGGCAAGGTGGTTGTGCTAGGGGGCCAGATCTAGAGGCCTTGCCCAGTGAGGAGTAAGGGGGCCAGGACCCATGTGGAAAACTGGCCACTTTTCTGTGAGGCAGCTATGCTGTCCTGGGGCCCACATTAGTCAGAAAGACAGGCTTCAGTGCTCCTCTGGTCAAAAGAAGAAAAATTTTTCCACCCAAAGGGAGAGTAGGAAGTATGACTGATGTGGGTGCAGATATAGTTTACATGATTGTGTGCAGAGTGTGTATGGGAAATGGTGAGTAGAAAAAAATTTTAATTGGATGTCATTGACTTTATTTTCTCCGAAGCAGAAGTTGGAGTTTTCTGCTGTAAGTGGATGAAGGTGGTGGCTTGAGGAATGTGATTATTACTCAGAATAGTCTGTAGATTATCAGATGATGTGTCTTCAAATCATAACAAATGTAAATTGTAGGAAATTACAGAACTTAGTTTTATTCTCCATCACTATTATGATAATAAATCCTTCATCACTATTAGAGATGATAAAGCCTCTGTGTCCATGACTTCATCCGACAGCATGTACGCTTATGGAATAGCAGAGAACTGGCTGATATTGAGATGTCATTTTTAAAGCAGTATTTCATGTTGTGTTGGACTGCGTGGGACCTAATATTACCTGCAGCTGGAGAAACTGGATGAAGACCTCCCCAGGCCTCAGTGAATTCTCATGAACTCTGAGAAGCCAGATGGAAGACAGGAGAGGCTGGCACTGTCGCCCCGCTGTGAGTGCCCCCTGTCATGCTGATTTCTCGGTCTCCTCAGTTGTCCCAGAAGAACTGGGCAGGGTACCCATTCTACACACTTCATAGAACTTTGGGGACAATCAAATCAGAAATGAAACAGTTTTGTTGTACTTTTTAATTTTGTGGGATTTTCTCTTTTGGAAAGATTCACATTGAGAAGACTCTTTTTATGTGGCTTATCTGTTCACAATGTTAGCAGTTTGTCTGCATTTTTATTCTGAATTCAATTATTACCCCTTAGAAGCTTTTCATGTCATGTTAAAAAAAATGTATTCTCCTCTCCACAGCCATAAAAAAAGCAGAAGTAGATAATGTTATTCAGTAAGGAGTTGGTATCATTAGCTCAGCACATCAAAAATCCTCTGAATATAAAAGAATTTCTTCTGAAGTGATATAAAAATTAGAGTATTTAAGCAAAGAATACCATTGTCATAAGCATTTCACTCCAAAAGAATTCAAACCTTTAATTTCTCACTTTTTTGTTTTTTTTTTAAGCATAATTTCCATTTGATTTTTTTCCAGAGGATAGTTTTCTTCAATCTTTAAGGACTCACTCAGCTCCTTACATGGGCTTTAGTGGACATTGTGGGGTAGCAGTAGCAGCTCTAAATCTGGATGAGAAGGTGTTCAGTCCTGCTGGCTTCAGGAGATTCATTCCTGAATACCTTGCTGTAGCCACGCAGTGATGGAGCTCCTGACAGTTTGAGAAGCACATGGGCAGCAAAGATCCTTGATTTGGAAATGTCCCTGACAGTGGTGGCCTCTACTATGCCTTGAATAGAGAACTTAATGACCTTGTCCTTGGGCACACATTGAATGCAGTTTGTGCAGTGAAAAGGCTGCACGTGGCCGCAGCCCTTTTTGGCTCCATCATTGTTCCTTCTCTTCTTTGTCTTCTTGGAAGTGAGGACCCGAGAGAGGCTCGCTTCTCTTTTTTCTGAAGTGCTAATCAGAGAAAGTTTAGTGTCAATACTTATAAAAGCACATTTTCCTTACTAAAGCAGCAGCATAGCCTTCTGGGTAGTAAGGCAAATTAAAATTTAGGAGGACTGGGTTCTTTCAAGCTCAACCTGACCTTGGCTATGCTGTTTACCCTCACCTGAGCCTCAAGTTCCCCATCTATAAAGTTGGACTCATAATGTCATAATGATCTTGCATTTACACACTCCTTTGAGGATGATAAAGGGAAGGTGCTATATAAACCATGAAGGTTTTATTCTTTATAGTTTTTAACTAAAAGTATTATTAACTGGGTTCAGAGCAGATCAATGAGGGATAGGAAGCAGGATTTTTAAAGAAAGGTTAAACTAAAATTTGTGCAGAAAGCAAATGTTTTTATATTAACTTACTTAATCCCATGAGCTTCCAATATGTGTTTGGAAATGTTTTTATAGGAAAGACCAAATGGCTCAAACTCATATGAAGAAATTTCACTTGAGAATCCTGACACTCAGCTTCAGAGGGAATTTTGCATTTGTCAAAAATATAGCCAAATTATATTTACTTCCCCTACATGCTCTAGTAAGATGTTAGATGGCCATGCTGTATGATCCCATATATATATGAAACATTCATTAGACATGAATTATCTCACTGCGTGTCCGATTAGTAGAAGTCCCCAAGGAAGCATAAAATGGTGTATTTTTAGAACAGATACTAATTATCTTTATTTGGCACAATAACAGCCCTCTCTGATGTCCATAGATGTTGAGTCCCAGAACTAGACCAAAGGATGTTTCCAACAGTGCTAATGTTAACGAAACCAGCAAGAGTCCTATAATCTTTTGAGGCAACTATTGCTTCATATCTAAAATAGATTACTGTTTACATTAATAAAATTGACCTAAACTAAGTGTGATCAAGGTGTTGTTTGGAGGAGAACAGATGAACTGAAATAAAAAATATTTAATAAGACCTTATGGGTTATATGATTGTGAATTGCAAGCAGATGCTCCAACTTGCTCTCTACTCAACAGTTATGGGCAAGTAATAGCACTAGGTGCTGGGATGGTAGTAACTAAGCAAGCCTTCTGTATGTACAAAGAATTCTCTGAATCAAAGACAAAGGTAAATAAAAGAAGAAGAACAATAATAAAATACTAATTTGGGGATTAAATATTTTGCGGTAGTGGGACGACTCAGGCCTTTGAATGAGTAAAGTATGTGCAGAGAGGTACTGGCTAGAAGGATAAAGCAAATTATACACGAGAGGAAAAGAATGAAAGTGAACAGAAAAAGAGTTAAAATTCATTGTTTATGAAAGACTGACAGGACCATATTGAGGATTGTTGGAATGATTTGTATTACCTGGTGATGGAAAAATGATTTTGAATATGTCTATTATGCATTCATATTTTCTACTAAAAACCTCTGGAATTTCCTTTCCAGCATTTTAAAGGAAAGGATGTAGAGATGTATTCTGTCATCAGAGGCTCCAAACATAAATGATGACTTGGCTTTAGGCATTAGGGAGTGGTGGAGACTGTGGTGAAGTGTCAGTTGCTAATTATATTAGAGAAAACAGCATGGACTTTATGACCCCTTCAGTTCAAAGTTCTTGGATATAAGTAAATTTCTTTACACTGTTTTTCAGGGCAAAATTAAATTTGGCCTTCTTGACTAATAGATCACTCTAGATAAGTTTATCTCACATAAACAAAGATATTTCAAAGCCTAAAAAAGTACAACTCATTCCCACAGTGGTATTTTCTATATGAGCATTTGGTGCCCTATTGCTGATTCCAGGCAGCATAAACTTTGTACAGCTGACATTTTCTGACTCAACTCCTGCTATAATTGAAATTACTTTATTAAACAAGCTTGAATCATTTCAATTACTTCGTGGCCTGGAGTGCTGTTGGCGTACATGATGACTACATGCTGATTAAATTAGAGCTCGTACACCCCAGAAAGATGTGCATACCAGCAAATGGCTTTCTCTTTCTTCAGTATAAAAAAAAGCTCTCTCTAATTCATATTCACTGGATAGATCCCTTTGGGTGGTATATTAATATTCATAAGATAAACCACATAGCTAAAGCAGAAAATTAAAGTCAAGTCTCTTAATAAAGAAGCAAGAGTAATGACTACAGTAAAATCTCCAAAAATGCCATTATCCCTGTGAAGAGTGAACACTACTACTGTACATGTGTTGAAACTGAGCAAGAGAACAATAAAAAGTGAATTATTGCAGTGATTTGGATTTTAAAATCCGCTAGAGAGGAATGAGCAAACATAAACACTTAGACTAGTAGAAAAGGATATCAGGATCAAATGGTTGTACAAAGCAACAACTTAAGAGTAGAGTTCACAGTTCTCCCTTTTCTGATAAGGGGATAGATTTGTGCTACAGGAGATAGCACTAAAATTATTTCACTTAAATAAACTATATACTTTTCTTTTGAATTCAGTACCGAATTCTGATGATTGGGGGTAAATTAAATCAGAGCTGCCCAGTTAATTCCTTCTAGTTTATCTACTATGCTCTTACTCTTCTTTGGCCATTCTTATTAATGTCTTCTTGATGAGATTAGAAAATTACACCTGCATATACATAAGTGTTGAAGATACTTGCTTTAGAAGTGTCTTTGGAAATATTACTGCCCCATCTTGCTCCCTCCTTTCCTTCCTCCCACAGAAACACACTGAGTGCCCATTTTGTGCTGGAAGCTTTCTTAGGAGCTAGGGACCCAGTAATTGGCAAAACTCCTGCCCGCATGAAGTTTATATCCTAGTGGTAAACAACAATAAACATCTAAACTAATTAAAAATAATAATTTCTGGGAGTGAGAAGTGCTATGAGAAAAGCAAAGCTGATAAGGGTATGGAGGTGAATTTTTTTTGATGGGGGGTTGTGTTATTTTAGATAGGGATATCAGGAAGGGCCTCTTTCTAAGGAGATGACATTAGAGAACAGTTACATATTAATACTATAACAGTAATAATTTATTTTGGTATCATGCCTTATAGTTTATAGGGTACTTTAAAACAAAATATATCATTTAATCCTCATATCAATCTTGTGAGATCATAATTATGATCTCAATTTTCTAAATGACGCTAAGAAAGCTTAAGTGACTTGCCCCAAATTATATAGCTACTTTATGGCAGGACTTAGGTCCATGGCTTATATTAGAAAGAGGATTTTACTATGACAATGAAAAACCAAGGATTTAAATAAATTTAAAACCCTGCTAACTGCAAAACTATTATTTTTTCATAGCTTCTTTCAGTCCATATATATGCATGAGTGTATGTGTAGTCATTCAAAAAGAATTACACTCTTTCAAAAATGTGTTACTCAGTAACAAGGTTGTACAATAAAATTTGGTCAGAACCAATTTATAAAGGAACCATGGCAGTCATTTCTATAATTTACAAATATTCAGGAAGGTATACCCTTCATGTCACAAGGCATACATTAATCCTGCAGTCCAGTTCATTCCAAGCACATTTTAGCACGTCACCTTTTTAGTTAGAGGGTAAAATGGCAACCTTATTGCAATCCTTTATGTCCTCATGGCTGTAAGGAAGAGGACTGCAAAACAAGGCTCTTGATACAATTTACTTGCAAACTACATGTTTCTATAATCTGGCTGGTTGAACAATATGATTTTAAAAGCGTTCAGTTCTTTTTGAATTACCCTATATTTTGCATCATGGCAATCAATTTCTACTTTTGTGTATTTTAAATAAGCATTAAGTGCCATAATTTGCTAAATGGTTTGATTGTCAAATGTGGAGTTCTTTTACTCCAAGCCATAAGCGCCGTTTCCCCTTCTTAAAATAATCTCCTCACCTTAAAAAGCTCATCTTGCTTCTGCCAGAGCTCAAAGAAGCTGTATATTCATTTTTGTTTTCTCCAAGGATGTCCCAGGCAGAGGAAACAGCCTACGTGAAGGCCTGGAGGCCGGCACTTAGAGTGTGAAGAGTACAGTGACAAAGATGATGATGGAGCCGCAGGTACAGAGGCCTCACCTGGAAGGGTAAAAATGCCACAGGGACTGTAAGTTTTGTCTTTGGAGTGATGGAGAACCATGGAGAGGCTTTAAGTAGGATGTGGACACATTTACTTACTTCCTTACATTAGTTTGCAGGTGCCATTGTCTTGTTAACTTCTTGTCCTCTAAATTTCATGAGAAACTGGCTGTGTTTACTATGTGGGAGGGTGTTTTGTGCTCAATCCTGAAGTTTATTAATAGACACAACTGAAGTAGTTTCCTACTTTCCTTCTGAGCATAGTTTCTATTGTTCTGAGGAGAGTGACAGGCCTTAAAAATATACATTCATGTTTTCAAAAGTAGTTTTCAAATATCTAGGAGTTTAATACGTCCACATTAGTGTGTTTGAGAGTGTTCATTCCATCATCTTAGAAGGGTCCATTTTTCCCTCTCCAGTTTTCCCATTTCCTTCTCAGAAAGCAGCAATTAAGTTCTCAGTCCTGTACCAAACTTAGAAAGCAACTTGGATATCCTCAGTATTATAATTTGGAGTCACACTGTTTTAAGCCATAGTCTTGAAGAAGATTGAAAAATTCGATTTCAGGATTGATCGCTGACTCAATAATAGTGGAGATTAATATTTTGTTCTGTTTGAGGAAAAGAATTGGACTGAGTGCTAGAGGACTTGATTTCTTGAAATGTTATAATGGCTTTACTATATAATAATAGCTGTACAGTTGACCCTTAAGCAACATGACTTGGAACCATGCAGGTCCACTTCCAAATGGATTTTTTTCCACCTCTGCCACCCCTGAGGCAGCAAGAACAATCTTTTCTCTTCCTCTTCCTCCTCAGTGAACTCAGTGTGATGACAATGAGGATGAAGACCTTTATGATGATCAACTTCAACTTAATGAATAGCAAATATATTTTCTCTTTCTTATGATTTTATCAATAAGGTTTTTGCCTTTTCCTTTGAACAAGATAGAAAATCATTAGAGAAATCTAAGCAGAGCAGTGACATAATATGCCTTATGTTTTACTTTGATAGCAATGTCAGGAATACACAGCAAGAGTGAAAGCTAGGAGATACATTAGGAGGTTATTGGAATAAATGTGACAATTTTACAATAATCCAGATCGTTTTAACTAGGTGGTAACAGTGGAAATGATAAGAAGTTGCTGGATCTTGGATACATCTCCAAAGCCAAGCTGAGATAATTTGCTGATAAATTAGTAAGAGTAGTACATAAAAAAGGGGGAGGGGTCAAAGGCAACAGCAAAGCCTTTGGCCTGAGCAACTGGAAGAATGGAGTTGATATTTACTGAGAAGGTGAAGACAATGGGAGGAGTAAGTAAGGGTAAGTAAGGAGTGAGTTAAGGTGGCAGTGGGTTAGAAATCTATAATTTCATTTTGAGTATGTTAAGCTTGAGAAAGTTATGAGATAGCCCACTGGAGATGCCAAGTAAGAAGTTGAATAAGTAGCTGGGAGTCAAGGGAGAAGGGAAGATGTAGAGATAAGCGTTTAGGAGAAAACAGCATATGTATGCTATTTAGAGACATAGACCTGGATGAGATCACCCAGGACGTGAATGTTGATAGACAAGAAGTTCAAAGACTGAATGCTGCAACATGCCAATGTCTGAGTGTTTGGAAGGCAAGAAGAAGCAAGCAAAGGAGACTGATGAAGAGCAACCAGTGAAGTAAAACAAAACTAAAGAGGGTGACTTGGTGCTAAGTGAAGGAAGTGTTTCAGAGAGGAGGAGACGTATGGAATAAGGTGAGGACTGGGAAGTGACCATGGGATTTGCATTATGGAAACAGTTGATAGCTTTGACAAGATGGCTTCTGTGGAGCATTAGGGTTTAAATCCTGACTGAGGAGGCAGATTCAAAAGAGAATGAGAGGAGACAGAATGGTTAGAACTTTTTGAATTTTGCTGTTAAGAGAAATAGAGAATGGGGTGATAGTTCTAGGGAACATATGAGGTCAAGAGAGAATTTTTAAAGATGGGAGATAGTACAGTATGTCATATGGTGATGAGAATGATATGACTGAGAGTGAAAAATTGATGGTACAGGAGAAAGAGAGAGAGGGATGGAGGGAAGTTGGGAAGGAGGGAAGAGAGAAAGAAAGAGTGAGAAACACAGCTACAGAATGTTGCTGAGCAGGTTAGAGAGGATGGTCTGAGACAGGCAAACAGACAGTTCAGGGGCTAATTAGATTGCAGAGATTGGGGGTCTATCAAAAACTCGTGAACACAGAGACACCTATAGTGACTGAATGAAGAGACTCCAATAGCTCGGGCAGCTTTCTGTCTTTGATGCAGAGGCTTCTGTATCCTCCTTGTGGAGACCAGAAGTCTAATCCTAGGATACAGCAAGCTGAGAGGTCCAGGGGTCAAGGAAACATGGAATATTTGATTATAGTCAGGAATACATGGGCAAGAAGTTAGGTTCTTTCTGGATCCTTGCTGTCATGCTGATAACGCATCAAGACCTACCTAGTCAGATGTCATCTTTATTCACTCTTAAGTTCACTAACTATTTCTATGTTTCCTGAGAGCAGAGACAATACCTTATACCTCTTGATATCCTCCTCTAGTGCTTACTGTGCTTTGTACACAGTGGCTGACAGATAAATGTTTATAAAATTGAAGATACTCATCAGTACTAAGGATTTATATTAGGCCAACGTAACAAATTGATAAGTAGAAAATTGAAACTTTAGTCTTTGACAGCCCATATGATTGATTTCTTTGTAATTAGCTGAATTTAACTCATTGACTGGTTTAGTTATCCAGAGACATGAGGCTTCAGGAAGTGAGGCATCAGGAAAAACTGCATTGAATGACCTATTCTGCATCCCCCAACCATTTACCAAGGGGTATTTGAAAGTTTGCTTTCCACTTTCTTTATATTTCAGGGGAAACAATGTGCTTTTACTCCCAAGTAACAAAACATTGTTGGGAACAGGCCCCCAAATCTGGCCATAAACTGGCCCCAAAACTGGCCATAAACAAAATCTTTGCAGCACTGTGACACGCTCGTGATGGCCATGACGCCCACGCTGGAAGGTTGTCGGTTTACCAGAATTAGGGCAAGGAACACCTGGCTCACCCAGGGTGGAAAACTGCTTAAGGCGTTCTTAAACCACAAACAATAGCGTGAGTGATCTGTGCCTTAAGGACATGCTCCTGCTGCAGATAACTAGCCAAACCCATCCCTTTATTTCAGCCCATCCCTTTATTTCCCGTAAGGAATACTTTTAGTAAATCTGTAATCTACAGAAACAATGCTTATCACTGGCTTGCTATCAATAAATATGTGGGTAAATCTCTCTTTGGTGCTCTCAGCTCTGAAGGCTGTGAGACCCCTGATTTCCCACTCCACACACCATATTTCTGTGTGTGTGTCTTTAATTTCTCTAGCACCGCTGGGTTAGGGTCTCGTGACTGAGCTGGTCTTGGCAAAACACTTCTGTTTTGTTTTCCAAATCAGGCCAATTGCTATAGTTACTACCAATAGCAACCTAAATCAGGGAGGGGTCAGGAGGAGGAGAGAAATATAAAGCAAAGAGTTTGAAGAAGGAGCAGAACCCTAGATAGGAGCTCTCTCTGCTTATAACTAGCTGTGAGATTTAGGGCAAGACCCTTAGGTTTCTGAACTTCAAAGTCTTCTTTTATAAATAATAATACTCATCCTGTTGACTTTGCAGATTACTATGAAAATCAGATCAAAATGCCTGGAAAAAGATAAAGCAGATGCTCCTTTCCTGGGGTAGATGGACAGGCTTCAGGTGTGTTTAGGATCCCCCTGAAACTGAATGAAAAATTTTGCGTGTATGCATTTTTGCATTTTCTTCCTAGATTCTCCAAGGTTTGTCATCAGATACTCAAAAGGTTTTGTGACAACATTGCTGTAAAGCAGTAATATTGAAGACAGTAGCGTTGAAATTATTTGCTGTGGCCAAGTGTGTTATACCTAAATCACAATAATGTTTTCTGTGCTCAAATGGGATTTAAAAGCAACATTGCTTGCAGCAGTGGTTCTTCAACTTTAGTGAGCATCAGAATCACCTGGAGGACAGGTCAAGATACAGATTGCTGGGCTGCAATCCCAGGATTTCTGATTCAGTAGTTAGTTCTTAGGTGGGGACTGTGAATCTGTATTTCTAACAGATTCTCAGGTGATGCTGATGTTGTTGGTCTAGGGTCCACACTTTGGCAGTCACTGGCATACTCACAGTTGCTACATATGCCCTATAAGTATTTAGTAGGTAGGCTACTGGAGAGGCTTTGATTTTCAGGAAATGGGCAATACTCTGAAATATACAATGGTAATGGTATCTACTTTGGACCTCTCTGTTGAAAAGAAAGATAAGTTTCTTTGCATTTTGGGTAATCTTCTGGGGCTGTCATAACAAAATACAACAGACTTGGTGGCTTACACAGGATAAATTTGTTTTCTCATGGTTCTGGAGGCTAGAAATCTAAGATTAAGGTGCTGGAAATTTGGTTTCTGATGAGATCTTTCTTCCTGTCTTATAGATGGGTGCCTTCTTGTGTCCTCACATGATCTTTTCTCCATGTGTTGAGAGAGAAAAAGAAAGATCTCTGGGCTCTCTTCTTCTTCTTATAAGGATACTAGTCCTGTGGAATTGGGGCCCATCATTTTGACTTAATTTAACCTTATTACCTCCTTAAAGACCCTATCTCCAAATGCAGCCACATTGGAGGTTAGGGCTTATCTTAGCCTATTTTGTGCCACTATAACAGATTCCCACAGACTGGGTAACTTATAATGAATAAAGATTGAGTTCTTATAATTCTGGAGGCTGGGAAGTTCAAGGTCAAGGGGCCTGCATCTGGTGAGGGCCTTCTTGCTGCACTGTAACATGACAGAAGGTATCACATGGTAAGAGAGTGCACAAGAGAGCAAGAGGGGCCAAACTCACTTTTACAAAAAATCCACTCCCATGATAATGACATCAATTTATTCATGAGGGTAGAGCCCTCATGACTTGATCACCTCTTGAAGGTTCTACCTGTAAACACTGTTGCATTGGGTATTTAAGTTTCCAACACATGAATTTTGGTGGATATAGTCAAACCATAACAGGGCTTTAACATACAAATTTTTGGGGAACACATTTCAGTCCCAAAAGGGCAGTGTTTGTGAGTTCCTTACTAAAGCTGATTGTCTTCTTTCTTGAACAGCATGCTCTTAACATCCCTTTTGGGGGCCAAAATGGTGTAATATTCCATCTGACAATATGCCTGCTATTTCCTTGCTAGTCTCAAAGAGTGGCAATGCTTTGCTTCCTAGAGCCCAGCAACCGGCAATGGCTGCCATTTGGGCTGAATGGATGGTTTAATCGAGGAAGTCACAGGGTTCTCTATAAAGCCTTTCCAAGAATTTGAAAATATGCTTTCTTTTAAAAATGAAGGAAAGAGGCTTTTGGAAATAAGTACTTTTTAAAGATGTTTACATCAATGGTGAAAAGGGAGTAAGAAATGGAAATGTAAGTACCATTTGTAGTAGTCTGAATTCTGTCTTTTATTTTTTTAAAAATATTTTTGCTGTAGAGCATGGTTCGAAGCCACCTGCATTGTTCTTTCCATAGGAAAATGATACACTCACATTTTATGTGGCTGTCTTGGACAGCTGCTAATAACACTGGTGAATAGCATAGAAATATAAGCACTAACTAGCACCTTTCAGAATGAGAAACACTTGGGTAAAAC
Source organism: Homo sapiens (assembly GCF_000001405.40). NCBI lineage: Eukaryota > Metazoa > Chordata > Mammalia > Primates > Hominidae > Homo > Homo sapiens. Next base: position 57,363,124 of record NC_000004.12, read on the forward strand.
CTGTCACCACAGAGCAGGAGAAGGGCTTGTCTTAAACACTGCAGAAATTGTACTCTATGATAGATAGACTTAAGGATAATTTCATTTGTCCCTCACAAATGCCATTTTTCAGAATCTCACTTCCTTGCTATTTTAATTTTCATTTTCCTGCCCTCATCTTCATTTTCCGTTTGCCCTTAATCCTTTAATACTTTCTTTTTATCTTTACTTGACTGTTTAGAATACTTAATGTTTGGAGAAACTCTTTTTCAATTAGGTCTGGTAGCTGTCAAGGAACTGTAAATAAGCATAGTATTATAGATTAGATTTTAAAAAGGCTATTTAAGTCACATCACTGTGAGCCATATTAATATTTGAGATGCCAAGGGGCTTTCACAGCCCTGGAACTCAGAGGAGACTGAAATGTCTTAATCCTTAAAATATGGAAGAGGAAAAAGGAGAGAATGCTTTCACTTTTACGTGAGCAAAAGTTGTCTGACCAAGGGCATGCAGAGTCTTAGAAAAACACAAAGCAAAAGGAGCTGGCAGACAGTTGTCATTTGGGGGCAATCTTGTCTGTTTGCTTGGACAAATTTCTTCATGGCCCCCACCCCTATCTCCTTTAAAATCAACTGGGACTTCCTCAAAACACTTGCAAACTATTTTTGAACAAGTCAGGCCCAGAGTATTAAAAATGGTGAATAGCTGTAAATCCTGGAGAAATAGCATATTGGTAAAACTGCAGATATTTATGCAGTAGTTGCTGTAGTTTTGGTTTCAAACATCCCCGTTTCTCAAGGCATTTGAATATTTTTGGTTTACAAAATACTTCCGCTTGTTTTTTTAGTGTTAGAAGTGTCTACATTTTTATAACTCCTACTAAGGTGTCTTATGTTCATTACTGTCTCCATAAAAGCTAGTGATTTGGTGGCAGTGGTACACTTTATGAGCTGTCATGGGATATACTACATATTATGTTAGGACGAAGAGGGAGAAGATGACAAACAAATCATGAAGTTGTCTGTTTTCCTAGACAACTTTACATTTGTTTTCCTCAGTTTTTAAAGTATTAAATGATATATACATTTTGCAAAGTAAAATGTTTGTGTTGTTTTTTCATGCTTGGTACAATTAAAAAGCTGTGTTCTGATCAAAACTTTTATATATATATATATATATATATATATATATTTTAACTGAAGACAGTGATGAAGAGACTTGAATGCTCATTTCTGGTTATGCTATGAATGACCTCTGTCACTCTGAGTCATTTCTGAGAGTCTTTCCCTGCTAGAAAGGGAAAGAAACAGGTCCAGATATAATATGGTGATACGCTTTGGCTGTATCCCCACCCAAATCTCATCTTGAATTTTAGCTTGCATAATTCCCATGTATTGTGGGAGGGAGATAATTGAATCATGAGGGCAGTTTCTCTCATACTGTTCTCATGGTAGTAAATAAGTCTTATGAGAGCTGATGGTTTTATAAGGGGTTTCCCCTGTTGCTTCACCCTCATTTTCTCTTGCCTGCCACCATGTAAGATGTGCCTTTTGCCTTCTACCATGATTGTGAGGCCTCCCCAGCCATGTGGATCTGAGAGTCCATGAAACCTCTTTTTCTTTATAAATTACTCAGTCTCAGGTGTATCTTTATTAGCAGCATGAGAACTAATACATATGGACTCCAAGATATAACACAATGGGGCAAAGTGATTTTTATATCCCAAATTGCCCATGTGGTATTTGTGTTACTGCTAGGGTGTAGTCCTAATTGTAAATTAGTAAATGCATTTTTAGTTTATAAAGCCATCTATGGAAGTTTAGTTAATGCAACATAATTCCACCTGAACCTTACAACTCTTGAGAAAATTGGGTGCAAAGCTAAAGGAACATTGCATGCAAACGCAAATCTAAAAACTTACTCAAATGTGCAAGTATTCTATGTGCTTGCATATAAACGATCACCTTAATCAAAACTAAAAGGCAAATGATAAATTGGGATAAAGTGCTTACAAAGAATATGATGGCTAAGTGATTAATGGTTTCACTCTATAAAGAGATCTTCAAAATCTGTAAGGAAAACTCAAATCACAATAGAAAAAAGAACAAAGGACATAAATAGGCAATTTATTAAAGAATAAAATTAATGGCCAATACTAAAAAAAAGTCAAATTTCATTAGTAACTGAAGATATACATGCTAAAATCAAACACTATTCATCTTTATCAAATTGACAAAGATTAAAATTTGATATTTAATACTCATTTATTTAATACGAATGACTGCCCTTGTACTTTCGGGATGGCCCTGAGATAATAAAAGATGAAAAATTTCCTTGGACAGTATGCATTTTAGAATGTGGATAAATGTAGTATGTTACCATTTTCTTGCTGGACAATGAAGCAATGGGGAAGGAGACCAGACTTTGAATGCAGGCACCAAGGTTAGATTTCTAGCACTCCTACCTTCAGTATGACCTTGAAGAGGTTGCTAGTTTCTTAAGCTTTCTGCACTTCTGGTTTTTCTTTTATAAAATGAGGGTAATGCCCACTTTGCAGAGTTATTGTTAAGATGCAATGAGATTAAAAATGCTTCTAGAAAATGTATCTGCTTCATAAATGCAGCTATTATATTGCTTTAGACTATTTCCTACAGTTTCAAACACAGCATTTCAAAATTTGTATTGTGAAAGGCTTGACCGTTTAGTGTATGTGTGTCAGATATAAATATTGGGCAAGAGCTGGCTCATCATTAAATCCCAGGCTGCTTTGTGCTATGGGACATTTGACAATGTGACTCCAGGTGTACTGTCTTTTCTATATGGGCAATCTTTTTCCAGATAATAGGCAGCCTGGAATTTTTTTCTTTCCACTGAAAATCCATGTTTGATTTTATGGCATGGGACATCAAAGTTATGCAGAACAGAATGAGACAGACTAAGCAAGAGACAGAAAGAGGCATCATGCAAAAAGAGAAAATCTAACAGACCTGTTGCCCTGTGCAGAGAATATACAGAAGAACCAAGTCTATTGCAAGAACATCTGCAGAAGCAAATCAGGGAATGAGTGTGTCTAGAGTTGGAGGATTTCAGCTGATGAAGTTGCTGTACTTAAAATGTAAACATTGAACAATTGAAGACAGAGAGACTGAGAGAAAGGCTCTGATACCAGTAAGCAGCCTACACATGTGGTTGTGGAAGAGCTTGGAGTACAGAACAACAGGCTCAGGCAAGACCGAGTGAGAAAAGCTACTGACAACCTCTGCCAGGAAGAGGTTTTTTTAATTGTGTAGTGATGAGCAATAGAAATTAACAGAAAAATGCTGCAAAATGTTTATAGTTTATTTGGTATAGGTATAGCTCCCAAATCTACTAGCTAAATATTACCTCATGAGGAAAATAATAAGACTTTAGATCTTCCCTCATCCAAAATGCATCCTCTCCCTTATTTTGGGGAGTCTTTCCAGATTCACAGTCAGTTGATTGAGGTCACTAACATCCACTTCTTCTATCCATCAACTTCTTCCTCTCCGAAGCTGCCTTCTACCTGTCCATACCTGTTGCTGCAGACCCTTTGGTGAAGCACTTTTGCTGTTCTCTGATGTCATGAGAATACTGGTGTTCCCATGAAGGGTGACATCTCCTCACACTCCCAAGTCTTCTGGTTTTGGGGCACCAGATCTGAGCTTGAGTCCTAGCAGAGGCCGGGCAAAGAGCTTCCTTCTCATCTCAGTCATACTCTCTCAGGTTCCTGAAGTAGATCTACTTGTGCCCATCTTCTTCCTGTGTGGGACCCAAAACCTGCCCAAGGGATCCCAATTGGCAATAACATAGCTCTGATCAATGGCTCTTCTATGTCTTTCTTTATAGTTTCTCACTGCATCAAAGTGTCCTCCCTCCTCTCTCAGGTACAACCATTGCACTCCCCTCTCCTCATCCCAAAGTGGCCCTGCAGGGGACCAGAGATACTTCATGTGAGTGGAGAGTGTGTTCTGCAGCCTCCATGCTTCCATACCTCAATCTTACCTGCTCATGTGAATTCTGAGGGAGGGTCTCATCTACTCCACAAGGTAAGAAGCAGCCATTCTCAATCCATCTCTTTCTTGCCATTATGAAGTTTTCAAGGAAAGAACCTGCACTGTAAGAGAACAAAAGGAGTAAAGCCCAACTGGAACATTCTGTTTTCTGGAGCTGGCTGACCAGTTTGGTGGGTCTCCATCCCTTCTTGAAGGGGCTGAGAAATCTTGCTTTGGGCTGAGTGTGCTGCACACTCTCTATGCTTCCAAATAGCTTATGCTTTTTGATGCTCCATTTTATCAGTGTACAATTTTCCTTGGATAGCACCAAGCAATTTCTCATTTCCTTTCTCCTTTGATGTACAATCTTTCAAATATTCATAGATGTTTTCCCTGCCTTTTTTGTTGTGAACCTGGCATATTTATCTTCAGTCCTTCAATCACATCAGTTTTACTTTTCTGAGTTCTCACCAAATGTGTGACAGCTGGAGGTTTCTGAAGCCTGGCTCTCAGAGTGAAATAAAAAGTTAAAAACATTTGGATGAATGGTCTTGGGGCTATCCAGTCTTTCTGGCTGAAATTGACCTGTCTTTCTTTGGGTTAGAGCCTCAATTTAGGTTTTCCTGCTCTTCCTACACCAGAAAGAGAAAAACTATAGCACCTAGAGGCTATAGTTTTCAGTGGGTGGAATGACAATGTTAAATTTAAGAGGCTCTTTGTCCTTTTCTGGAGTAGAGTGGGGTTCGGGTATGGGCATAATAGTAAAGAGGGCATGGAGCTTCACAGAGCTAGCTTAGTAGCCTTGGGTAAGTGACTTAAGGTCTCTAACCTCGGTTTTCTTAACTAAAAAATGTTGATAATTTTTGAGGCTAAAATGAGATTTTTAAACATGGCTTTGACTGTGTTTGGGACACAGTAGACACAAAATAAAGAAATTTGCTACTGTTACTCACTTTGGAGCCAGAGAAACTCAGCTTTAAATCCCACCAACAGCTAAGTGCTCTTCTGCCAGGGGTCAGTAAACTTTCTGTAAAGAGTCAGCTGTAAATATTTTGGCTTTGTGGGCCAGATAGTCTCTGTTGCAGTCATTTGACTCTGCCATTGTAGAGTGAAAGCAGCTACAGACTATACATAAACCAATGGGTGTAACTGTGTTCCAATAAAACTTTATGTCTTCATCTGTTTGGGCTGCTATAACAAAATACCATAAACGGAGTAGTGTAAAAACAACAGCAATTTATTTCTCATAGCTCTGGAGGGTGGGAAGTCCAAGAACAAGGCTCTGGCAGATGCAGTGTCTGCTCAGGGCCTACTCTCTGCTTCATAGATGGAGCCTCTAGCTGTGTCCTCACATGGTGGAAAGGACCAGTTAGCTCTCTGGGGCCTCTTTGTATAAGGACACTAATCCCATTCATAAGGACTATGCCTGCATGAACTAATCACCTCCTAAGGGTCTCACCTCCTGACACCATTACATTGGGGATTAGGTTTCAACCTATGGATTTTGGAGGGACACAGCACTCAAAATATAGTGCTTTATTTATAGTCTTGGAATTTCTTCTCATGTTTACATGTCAAAAGATATTATTTTTGACCCCTTTTAATCATTTAAAAATGTGAAAACCATGCTTAGCTCTTAGGCCAAACAAAAACAGATGGTGAGCTGGATTTCGCCTATGGGCCTTTGTTTGCTGACCTTCCCATAAGTTACTACTTCATCTCTCTAACTCTCAGTTCTTTTTCCTGTGAATTGGGTTGGTGTTTATTTCAATGAGGTAAAGCGAGTGGTGTCTTTAAGTTTTCAATAAATTGCTGTCATTTGTTATGATTCTTATTAACATTAAAAAGTGGAGATACATATGCTGCAATGGTCTACATTTTTAGTTGAATATGATTACAGTTAAGAAAAAGTTTTCAGTTTAATATCCTTTTGAGCTTGCCTTATGAAGAAGGGTAGTTGAAAGAAAACCATTTTAAAATGTAATTTACGAGCTTCCCATCTGTTGTATAAACAAACAAACAAAGAAAAAAACATTCTTTAGTCTTTGTCCTGGGCTCCTGGGAGGGAGTTTTTAAAGCCTTGGAATTTTCCAAGTGATAAGAATGTCTTTGTTATTTGTGGGTGCTACTGGGAACCACACTTGAGCTTATGCTCACAAGGTGACTTACCTTGGGCCACTAGTTTCAGCAGTGGTCCTGGCCATGCCAGAATGACCTACCCTATGATTAGAGGGTCGGGGCTTTGGGCCAAGTGATATCAGCCGAGCCACCTGACCTTGGGAAAGGGAGGAAGGGCTGGAAGTTGAGTACCATCCTGTGGCCAATAATTACGCCCAGGCTCTGGTGACTTCCCTGGTTAGGAAACATACATCAACATCTCAGACTCTCCTAGACCTTGCCCAATGCCTCTCTTCATTTCATTTGTCTTGATTTGTATCCTTTATGATAAAAGTATAATTTTAAGTCTAGCACTTTCCTGAGTTCTATGAGTCATTGTAGCACTGAACCTGTGGGAGTAGTGGGAACCTTCAAGTCTACAGCCAGTTGGTCAGAAGTGTGGGTGGCCTGGCAACCCTGGAGCTTGTGGCTAAAGTGTGAAGTGAGGGCAGTTTTGTGCAGGACTGCACTAACATGTGAAGTTTGATCTAACTTTGGTAGTGTCAGAAGTGCTTTGCCTCATCTAAATCCAAGACATCCACATATTAGTCCAATCATTCAGTGAAAGCTATGAAATAATGCAAGATTTGAAGTGACTCTTTGAAGCTGGTGTTTTGCAAATGTATAGCAACAAGGATGATGCCAGACTAATTTTAAAGATGCATTCTGCTCTGAAGACAATGTGAACTATTCCAACTATGAAGACATACATTTTTATGTAGTAAGTCTATGACCTAAGAAGAGGTAAGTGTGTGTGCATATACACTTATTCTACACGCCCTAGGATTGCCAGAGTTAGCAAACAAAAATACAATGGACCCAGTTAAATTGGAATTTTAAGTAAACAACAAATAATTGTTTGGTAGAAGTATGTTCTAAATATTCCATAGGATCTGGCAAACTCTTGATGAAGGGGGAATGTTGCCGCTTCTCATCCCTTATTTCGGCTTTGCCCCATAAAGGAGGAGAGATCCATCCAGAGCCCCCTCTGTCTATTCCCATTGTTAGCTTCACTCCAAGGTCGGAGGCAAACAAATGGGAACTATGCTCTGTTTGTGGGTTATGTTTCTGCATTTTGATATCATGGGATGATGCAATGAACTCCCTCTTCCTTCACGTCCTGAACCCAGACACTGCAGACCCTTTCCCACTTTCCCTTACACTGCACCCATGTTGGTGGCAAGGTGATAAGTGGGGCCTGGCTTTTTTGGCAGAAGGGCAGGGAGCCTTTTGATGCAGGAAAACAGAAACCCCCCCCACCCCTTCAGGTGATATGGTTTGGGCTGCATTCCGCATACCACCCACTTCAGATTTTTCTGTAGTGGGGTATCTGTGCCGCCAAGCCTGTTATAAAAAGGCACTTAATTTTGTATCTGGCTGAACCACTTGTGTACATACTTCCCTTGGCCAGACTCCAGAGGTGATAGGGTCAGGATGGGACATAGGCAAGAATCTGCCTCAGTCCCTTGATACGGTTCTCTACGGGCCCAATTTCTAATTTTTTGACGTAACATGGCAAAGTAGGAGTTATGTTATCTTATTATCCCCTTTTACAGTTGAGGAAAGTGAAGTCCAGATATATGGAGGGAAGAGTTATCATGTAAAAATTCACAGCTCTTCCTGCATATCAGAGAGATGACTCAAAACTTCTCATTGTATGAACTGTTGCTGTACTGCTTAGTATATATTGTCCTCCTAAACCAGAGTAATTATTATAATAACAAAAAGGCTAATACACTTATTATTTACTATTTGTTAAGCATTGTTTTTATTATTATGTTTGTGTATATGTAAAATTAACTTAATAATCATTGATGATAGATACTATTCTTCTTCTTCTTTTTTAGATTAAATAACATAGAGGCACTGAGAAGTTCAGCAATGTGTCTTAAATCACATAGCCAAGAAGTGGTGGAGCCAGGATTTGAACCCAAGCAGGCTGGCTGTGAAGTTCATGCTGTTAGTCATGAAACTATACTGCTTCTTAAAAAAATTGTGACAGCACCCAGCAGACGGGGGACAATTGCTATGTGCCAGGAATGGCATATGCCTATCTTATTCCTGTACTAGATACTATTATTAACATATTTTATAGATGAAACCGAAGTACAGAGAAGTTCAGTACTTGCTCAAGGGCAGAGTTGGTAAATAGCAGAATCAGACTTTGAATCCAGAGCCATTGCTTAGTAAAAGAATCATAAGAGTTCTCTAACTTGACTCAAGAAGAATGTTTAGGGGATAAGACTGGTGACCAGAGGGTAGACTCCACTCTGTGGCTCCAGGCTGGACATTGCTATCCTTTGTGGAAAGAAAGGGAGGGAATCAGGCAAAGGGACTGCAAAAAATTGCTCCCATAAGTTCCTAAGAGACACCATAAATAACTAATAAATGGGGAGAAAGTCCGTGAGTTCCCTATGGCCAGCATATTGGCATCACAATAGTACATGCCCCATCGTCAAGAGAAAATGTGTCAAGAAGGCCCTTTTCAGCTTATGGCTCTCAAAGAATTGCTGAGTGGCCTGGTGCTTTTCTTGTAGCTACCAGGCAGAGAAGAGGTAGATCGGGCTGCATTTTTGCTAAAGCTGGCCATTGCGAAAGTTATTCAGACATGTGACAGTGTATTTTATCCTCAAGTCTTTATATTGAATTACAGTCTGCCACATCTTTTTCACTTTCACAGCCTCTGCTTACAGATACTAGAGGATCAAACCTTACTTTTACAAAACTGCAACTTTTCTTGACAAGCTTTTACTGTAAAGGGCAGAGACAAACCTTTTATGTTGTTGTTTTAAAAACATCTTTAATTGTTTCATTTTGGGAGAGAAAGAATAAACTATAAATAATTTTTACATGAGTGTGTGCATGGGTAATTATTTCCTTAAAAAGAGTAATAGACAACAAAGGATGCCCAGTGGGGTGCACAGCAGTGTGCTGGAAATATTGATCAGGGGACTGGAAGCTTGTTATCAGATGAGGAATTAAAAAGGGGAACCTCACAGCTCATTCATGCTCCTGGTGAGCACGTTGCATCTGTGCTCTGGGTTCTGTACTGGCTTCCCATTTGCTTGGGGATGCAATTCAAACAGTCAAGGTGGAGACTGTGATCTATGGGGTGTGCAGTGATTGGACCCTCATTTCTTAACTGTGCCCCTCTCTTTCTTTGCAAGGACCGTTGACAGCTGAAACTAGCTGAAGTCCTCCTGGGAAGAATTCTATATTGGGACTCTTCAGGCAGAGAGGTCCCAGGAGAGGGCCATCCATGGTGGAATAGCCATCCTGTTTTCCTGTGGCAGCCTGAATCTGTTGAATTTCTCTGGTTCCTGGCAGAGCTGTTGCCACTGATGTTGACTTAATGCCGGCAGATCCGGAGTGGAGGAAGAAAGTGAAGGCCACATTGACAGGGGTTGGCTTGGCTTCCTCTCTTCTCTTTTTCCCACCCGTACTCCCCTTCTCCTGTTTCCTTTCTCTGTTAATTTGCTAATTTATCCCAGGGCCACCTGTGCTGTTGCCCCAGCTGGGAACCCTGGAATCATTTTCCAGTTTTCTTTATTTCTCATGTCCAATTAGCCAGCTCAGCCTGACATTTGACCCTGGCAGCATTTTTTTCAGAAGCGACCATCCTTCTGAATGAGATCTGCCCTAGATGTACTCTGCTTGCATTAAGATAGCTTCCTATCCGATTTACTCTGCCATCAGCGTGGCCCTCTCCAATGTAATAAAAACACAGATTCCAGATAATTTTTATAAAGTGATGGTTCTCAAACTTTGCTTCATATCTGAATCACCCAGAGAGTTCTTAAAACATTTGATGTTCAGATCATGGTTAACACCAATTAAATCAGAATCCCTTGGGATTGGACCCTGGTGCCAACATTTTTAAATAACTCTCCAGATGAATCCAATGTGCAACCATGTCTGAAATCATTGTTCTAAATCACATTTCTGATCCCACTTCTCATGCTCAAAAGCCCCATGATGGCTCCCCATTGCCTGTGGAATTGAAAGCCCATACTCCTTAACTTGGAATTTCTAGCCCTTTACCATATGGCCCTAACCAATATTCTTAGTCCTATCTCTGCATCATTCTAGTTCTAGATGTAACTTATTGTCTTGGTTTCTCATGATTCCTTATATATGCTATGCCCTTTCTTGCTTCAGTGATTTTGTTCATATTTTTTCTTCTTCAAGATTGCTACACTGTCATCCATTGATTCAGATGGTATTTTTACTCTCTGTTTGCTATTTTCAGGCAACGGGCTGGGCATACAGTGGTAAGGCTCAGATTCTCTAACATCAGCTCGGTGTCCAACAATTCAATTTGATTCTGACATTAACTTCCAGAATTAGCATGGACCATACAGGTTAAGGGTTTAGGCCCTCAAGACTGTTCCTACTTTAGATGCTAGTTGCAAGTCCCAGGAACCACCTGTACTTCTGACCAATCAGCTATAAATCCAAGGATTCCCACAACTTCTCTCTCAGTTTTGATAATTCTGTAGAATGACACACAGAACTCAGGAAAATGCTTTACGTACTTTTACTGGTATATAATAAAGAATACAACTCAGGAACGGTGAAATAGAGGAGACACACAGGGCAAGGTGTAGGGGGTAGGTGGTGACACAGAGCTTTTATGCCCTCTCAGGACATAGCAACTCCTCAGATCAGCAAACCAGAGGCTCTCCAAACCCTGTGATTTAGGGGTTTCCATGGAGATTTCATTAAATAGGCTAAATCACTGGCCAGTGGTGATTGAGCTCAGTCTTCAGGTTCTCTCTTCCCTGAAACTTAGAGAGTGGGCCTGAAAGTTCTAACTCTCTAATCATGAACTGGTATTTCTAGGGACCAGCCCCCATTCTGAAGCTATCTAGGGGCCCCTACAGTGAATCATCTCAGCATACATAACACACTCATCCTTCAACAGATTCCAAGGATTTTAGGAGCTCTGTGCCAAGAACTGGAAATAAAGACAAAATTTATTGTTTATTATACTACAGTGGCAAAAGGAGATTCTGTTCTTGGCCTCTGGGCTCTTATTGATCTACTGTCATGGATGCCACTGACTGGGGCTGGTGTCACAGGCAGTCCAAGAATTTATCAAGACAGTCGTAGATAAAGAAAGGCAAATGTATTAGAGAAGGTAAGAAGATACGTTGCAAGGGTACAATGGGCAGCACAGCAGAGAAGGGGCTGTCTGCAAAGACACAGGGGCTGGTGGGAAGTTTTATAGCATTATGCTGGAGAGGCTACATGCTGAGTGAGGTATTTGGGAACAGGATGTTGCGCCAGCAGGTTGTCTGTCATTAGCCATTTCTCAGAACTGTTGTTCACCCCGACGTGGAGCTCTGTCTTATTAGGGCTCCACAGCTACCACAGATGTAAGATTGAAACTGTGATAGGTACTGTAAAGAAGAGACCTATGATTCCAGAAAGGCTCATGGTAAGGGGATCTGACCTAGTTAGAGAGGTCAGGAGTCTCTCCCAAGGAAAAGATGCTTGAGATCCTTGGGGGCTCTAATGACTGCAGAAGTCAAATAGACTCTACCTTGAGAAAAAAGGACAGAAAAGTTGTGATTGTAATCAGAAACTCTTCTGGGACAAATTATCCAGACAGAGGGAGCCTCATGAGCAATGGAGGCAGGAGAGAGGGGGCATGGTAAGGACAAAGACTGAAAAAGGGCTGGTGGCTTAACCAGATGGAGCAGAGGAGAGTGTAGTGGGCAAGATGAGCCTAGAAGGGAGATGAGGCTCATCCTTGGATTCAAGCACCTTGGTCAGGAACAATGAAAACCTATGGAAGGGCTTTCATCAGGGGAATGTGGTGCATACCACTGACTTGGGCTTTTGTTTTGCGAAGATACCTCTGGAGGCTGGTTGGAGAATAGACTAGAAAGGGCTTAGTAGTTGTGGATAAATCAGGTGGTAGTTAGCAGTTAAACCAACCAGGCCAGAGAGGTGTAACTTGAAGGCCCTGCTCTAGTGTCACCCCCTCTGTGAGGTGAGCTCAGCCAAATGGAGAGAGAGGCAAGGATGGAAGTTGGACTTGATGGTCCATACATTTTATTCCTACATTACAAATCCCCCAGATGGTGAGGTCCTCCTGGTCCCTGGAGCAAAGTGAGTGATTCATTCTATAGGCATCACAGCCTTTGTTAATTCTGCTGCCCTGCTTGACCATGATTTCATGCCTGTAAAGAAGAAATTTGTCCTGTTCATCATCAATTCATGAGCATTCAATGAATGCTCATCAAAAAGAGGAATAGTCTATGGGACTTCTGGAGCCAGATAGTTTGGATGAGACTTCTGACTCTATCACTTTCTAGCTTTGTGACCTTGGGTAAATTGCCTAGCCTCTCTGTGCCTCAGTTTATTCACCCACCTCAAAAAGTCATTGTGAGCATAGATGGAGCTCATAAAATGCACTTAACACAATGCCTGGAACATGGTAAGTTTCATATATGTGTTTTCTATTATTATTATTGCTCTTATATTTAATAGGATCACTCATGTCCTTTTGCCAGAGTCTTGTTGCTTTAGGAATGGGTTAGAAAGAAAGCACTAATACCCTTAAAGTTTCATCAGATCCCCTCTTCTATCCCATGTTCTACAGAGTGTTCATGTAGGGAGACTTACTACTACCTGGAACTTGCCCAGGGTATTAGGAGATTGTGCTGGTTAATTTATGTGTTAACTTGACTGGGCCATGGAGTGCCCAGATATTTGGTCAAACATTATGGTTGATGTGTCTGTGAGGGCATGCTTGTGAGACTAACATTTGAATAGTTAGACTGAGTAAATCAGACTCTCTCCCTAATGTGGGTGGGCCCATTCAGTCAATTAAAGGTCTGACCAGAACAGGAAGGCCTCCCCTCCCCTGAGTAAGAGGGAACTCCTCCTGCCTGCTTGCTTGAACTAGAACATTGGCCTTTTTCTGTCTTTGGATTCAAATGGAAAAATCAGTTCTTTTGGGGTCATGAGTCTGCTGGCTTTCAGACTGTAACTACAGATTGACTCTCCTGAGTCTCCAGCTTGCTGGCTGCAGATCTTCGAACTTTTCAGCCTCCATCATCCTGTGAGCCAATTTCTTATTTTAAAAGAATCTCTCTCTCTTGCTCTGTGTATTTCTCTTCCTCTCTCTCTCTCTGCTTTTCTCTCCATCTCTATATATGTATATGTATAATATGTATATATAACACATATATAGATAAAGATAGATAGTTGGAAAATATCTCTCTCTATAGGAAATTTTATATATATATATATATATATATATATATATATATATATATATATATAATCTCTTCTCTATTCTCTGTAAAACCCTGACTAATGCAGAGATGATTAGGAAAGGGTTTCCAAATAAGATTTTATTATCCCACTTGAGATCCTTAGAGAAAGCAGTCATGATCCAAACTAATGGGTAAAGACATCTAGTTAGTACTCCTTTGGCATTTACACACCTTAAAAAAATGTCAGTGTCAATGTCATGACCACAGTAAGAAAGGTCTCTGGCAGTATGATGCTGTGCTTAATTATAGGCCCCTCATTCATCACACCCACAGGCTGCTTTCTAGCAGGGGCCATCTCAGGAGCCATTTCCCCCCTTGGTTTAGATGAAGCAAACAATGTAAGAGTTAGAGGTGTTTCCCTTTCTCCTCTCATTCTAATTTTCTGCCTCCTTTTCCTGCCCTACATCTATCTTCACATGGCAGAGTCAGAACGAATACCTTATTTCTTTCTTAAGTTATTACAGCATTTAAGGAAGCTAATGAATCTTTTTTAACACAAATTACTATACCTTGTGCTTACTGGTGCAGGATGTTTCACCTTCCCTGTTTTACTGCTTTCTAGCAGAATGCTGTGGCTCTCCTTTGTCCAAAGTCAAACTGTAAATCCAGTTACTTTATAACAATATCGAATGAAATGAAAATCTCTGAAGTTTCTCCTCTCTGGCTCAACATTTGGTTGGGAAAAATGAAGTTGCCATTGTTTGAGCTGATGAAGATTAAATGGACTGCCTCTGAATTTAATTGAGTCTCTGTTTGAATAATATCCATGGTGGGTCCTACTGCAATGTTTGGTGATTAATGGTGAGAATGAACAACAGTAACATCTGGACCCAAAGCTGTTCTTGGCTTAAAAGATGTTCATTCTTTTGAGAAAAAGGATTCTCTGCATCATTGTTCAAATAATCATTAGCAGATAGATCAGCTGGGACATTTTAATTAAAATTTCAAAATGTAGGGAGCAGAAAATTTCTTCACACTCTTATTTATCCAAGTTAAAATAAAAACTCTGTCATTAAAAAGGGAAATACATTTCTATTTCCTCAAAAGAAGAGAAGGAAAGGTGAATTATGTAGTAGCATTTGTTTGCTTACAGATAAGTGTGTAAAAAGGAGAATTTGAGCATAGGATTTTTCCAATCAGTTGTTTTAATTATCATTTAAGAGAACTTTGAGGAATTGTTTAGATTTAAAATATAATTTTGCCTGGATTTCATTATACAAATTTTTATAAGCTAAATATTTTAAAATAGTAGTCATGGAAAGTATTATGAGTAATTAAGATGATATAAAAATAAAAGAACAAGAATCTTTTGGGAGATGTTATTTCTAAATGTTGACTAGCTATACTAGAATTCTTACAAAATATTTGGGTAAATAAAGGGATTCTGCATCTGTGCTTGTTATAGTAGGATTTCTATGGAGTGACTCTGTGTGGAGGGGAGACAGCTAATCAAATATATCAAGTATGTTAACAAATTACTTGGAAAAGGGTATCTTAACTGAAGTTTTATTAGTCTAATCCTCAGCTGATAACACAAGAAATAGATTGAACAGATCCAGCTGATTAGAAGAGACTTAAACCCAGGAGATGGTATATCTGTTATTATAAAGCAATAAACACAAAAAGACAAAGGAATAAAGATGTTGTCTTTATTTGATAGCAACATCCGAGTTTAGAAGTTTCATTTCACAACATAAAAAGGTACCATTGGTCAAAATGTAAATAGTCACTGGAGAAAAATAAACCAATAGATGTGAAAAACAATTGTTTTCACCCAAGTCATTATTTTTATTATTATCATTTTGGTTACCTAGCTTACTCTGTGTCAGAATGGGTATACATTACCATAATCACAAGTAACTGGATTGAGCTTAGGCCTTCACTAACATTGAAAAATAATTTGCATTATAAGGAGTCAGTGTGTCTGCCCTAATGTGTGAAATCTCCTCACCTACATGATAAATATTTGTCTTTTTGACTTTGTTCCTATTATATTGGAAAACCTATATGTTTTCTGCTCAAGGTGAAAATACTTGGTTTGCACAGAATGACAAGTTCAATGATTATCTTAGTAGAAATAATAGTTTAATAAGAGAAGAATATGTTTTTGTAGAGTATAAAAATATATGTAATTGCTTTGTAGGGTTGATATCTGTGGTCAATATATTTAGTTATTCAGCAAATAGTTTCGAGCTTCTGCTGTCTATAGGTGCTATGCTTAATGCAAAGTATAAAATATAGGTCTGGTCCTTGTTCTCAAAGAGCTTACAATCTAGTACGGGAGTTTTAAAAAATTAGAGTTCAAAGGAGAATATGGTAGGCATCGCTGTGGGTTGGCAGAGAGCCTCTACTCATCAGAGTCACACAGTGACTCAGCATGATGGAGCTTCATCATCTTGAATGCTGCTGCTTACTGAATGCTGAGGGACAAGGGTACCCAAGCATTTCTCACCACACTGACAAATGAATGTTAAGCATAGAAGTCTTTATCACTTCCGCTATCACTCAAGGTCCAGAGCAAGTCATAGGGCCTTAAGTCAAGCAGAAAGTGCAGATCTACCATGTGCAATGCTACATGGAACTGGAAATGAGTGGCAAGCAGAATTCATGATGATTCCAATAATTAATCCTCTTCTGTTGGTATACCTGGATGACCTTATTTTGTGGGATAAGATTTAATGAGAAGAATATTTAGCAGAGATAGTTTGACTTTAGATTAATGATTGCAACATATATGCAAATATGTATGCTGATGGTGTGGGTAGTGGTATTTCATATCAAATAATAAAGAGTCTCTCTCTGTAGACCTGTTATAAGAAAATATTTTTATGTCTGTTCTCAACCCACGAAGTGGGAGAAAATCTTCACAATCTATATATCTGACAAAGGACTAATATCCAGAATCTACAATGAAGTCAAACAAATCAGCAAGAATAAAACAAACAGCCCCATCAGAAAGTGGGGTAAGAACATGAATAGACAATTCTTAAAAGAAGATATACAAATGACCAACAAACCTATGAAAAAATGCTCAACATCACTAATGATCAGGGAAATGCAAATCAAACCACAATGCAATACCAACTTACTCCTGCAAGAATGGCCATAATAAAAAAATCAAAAAATGGTAGATGATGTTGGCATGGATGCAGTGATGAGGGAACACTTCTACACTGCTGGTGGGAATGTAAACTAGTATAACCACTCTGGAAAACAGTGTGGAGATGCCTTAAAGAACTAAAAGTAGAACTACCATTTGATCCAGCAATCTCACTACTGGGTATCTACCCAGAGGAAAAAAAAGGAGTCATTATACAAAAAATATACTTGCACATGCATATTTATAGTAGCACAATTGCAACTGCAAAATTGTGGAAGCAACCAAAATGCCCATCAATTAATGAGTGGATAAAGAAACTGTGATATATATATATATAATATAGTAATATTCCATCATATGTATATATGTGTGTGTGTGTGTGTGTGTGTGTGTATATATATATATGATGGAGTACTACTCAGCCATAAAAAGGAATGAATTAACAGCATTTGCAGCTACCTGGATGAGATTGAAGACTATTATCGTAAGTGAAGTAACTCAGGAATGGAAAACCAAACATTGTATGTTCCCACTGATATGTGGGAGCTAAGCTATGAGGACGCAAAGGCATAAGAAAAATACAATGGACTTTGGGGTCTTAGGGGGAAGGGTGGGAGGGGGTGAAGGATAAAAGACTACAAATATGGTGCAGCGTATACTGCTTGGGTGATGGGTGCACCAAAATCTCACAAATCACCACTAAAGAACTTACTCATGTAACCAAACACCACCTGTACCCCAATAACCTATGGAAAAAAAAGAAAATATTTTTATGTTTATTCTGTTGCTTCCCTCTGTGATTGCAAGGGGCAGCAGTAACATTTAATCCAAAGCAAAGCACTTTAGCAGAGTGACTTGCTTGTTTGATTGTTCTGACCAAGAAGGTGTCCGTTAGTGGGTATATATCCAAAAAAATTGAAATCAGTATGTCAAAGATATATCTGCACTCCCATATTCATTGCAGCATTATTCACAATAGCCAAGATGTGGAATCAACCTAAGTATCTATTAATGGATGAATAGAGAAAGACAATGTGATGTATACTATTTAGTCTTTAAAAAGCTTGGAATGAAAATGAGATACTGTCTCACACCAGTCAGAATAGCTATTACTAGAAAGTCAAAAACAACAGACGCTGGCAAAGTGGCGGGGAAAAGGGAACACATATATTGTTGGTGGGAATATAAATTTGTTCAGCTACTGTGGAAAGCAGTTTGGAAATTTCTCAAAGAACTGAAAACATAACTACCATTTGACCTAGCATTCCCATTACTGAATATATATCCCAAAGAAAATAAACCATTCTGCTAGAAAGACACGTGCACTCATATGAACATCACGGCACTATTCACAATAGCAAAATCTTGCAACTAACTTAGGTGCCCATCACTGGTGGATGGGATAAAGAAAATGTGGTACATATATATCATGGAATACTATGCAGCCATAGAAAAGAATGAAACCATGTCCCTTGTAGAAACATGGATGTAGCTGGAGGCCATTATCCTAAGTGAATTAATGCAGGAAGAGAAAACCAAATACTGCATATTGTCACGTGGACATAAAGATAGCAACAATAGACACTGGGGACTACTAGAAGAGGGGGAGAGGGAAGAGGGTAAGGGTTGAAAAACTAACTATTGGGTATTCTACTCAGTATTTTGGTGATGGGATCAATCATATTCCAAACCTCAGCATCACAGAATACACCCAGGTAATGCACATGTAGTCCCTGAATCTAAAATAAAAGTTAACACTATTCAGCCTTAAAAAAGAAAGAAATCCTATAATTTGTAACAACATGGGTGAATCTAGAAGACATTATGCCAAGTGAAATAAGTCAGTTACAGCAGGACAAATACTGCATGATCTCACTTATGTGTGGACTCTAAAAATGTTGAACTCATAGGAGCAGAGAGTAGAAGGGTGATTGTTGGGGGTGGTGATGGGGACAACGGGGGTAAAGAAAATTATTCAAAGGGTATGAAGGTTCAGTTAGACAGGATCAATCAGTTCTGATGATCTCTTCAACATCCTGGTGATTATAGTTAATAATAATGTTTGCGTACTTGAAAATTGCTAAGAGACCTTAAATGTTCTCACCACACACACAAAAAAGTATGTGAAGTGATGGATATATCAATTCACTTGATTTAATTATTTTATACTGTCTGGATATATCAAAACTCATTGTACACTATTAATATATACACCTTTTATTTGTCAATTATACCCGAAGAAAGCTGGGGGAGAAAGTGTTAAGCTCTTATTTTCTATGGGAACAGAAGGTTAAGTAAGATCACAAGGAGATTTCCAGTTTTCTGTGCTTTTTGGCTTTTCATAATATCTGATAGTGTTGGCCCCTTTTATTCTTCTAATCAGTTGTTTTTCTTGGCTCTTCTTGATTGCTCCAGCATATGAATGTTAGAATCATTTTTTTGCCTTGTGGCTGATGATAATGTATATTGTCACATGTATAGAAAATGGAAGTAAGCAATAACAAGCATAACAAAATAACACAAATAAAAGAGTTAAATGGGAAACAAGAGTTAACTATGTCCAAATCAATTCTGAAAATTGAGAGTAGTAGAATAGGTTGATTATATTTATAATCACTACTTTTAGTCTAGAGATATTTATCATCACTACTCTTAGTCTAGAGATTTTTATACTTATGGAACTCATTTCAGAAAGGGATGATCCTGTTGGGAACTATAAATAAAATGTGTTGGCAAACTTTGTGAAAGTTATATTTGTAAGTGGCTTCTGAGACAGATGAGAATATAGTCCGCTTTGAAAGATAACCTATGGGAGGACAAGCGAGACCTTATAGGACATTATTGATTCCTAAATTCTCCAAAGTCTCACCATGACAGAGAGAATAGGCTTTATTAGCATCATTTGAAATGTTTGTGGTAAGGAGCTTTGCTCTGTAACAGTGGAGGGGCTTTGACTACTCAAAACCCCACTTTTAATGAAGAATGCAAATTGCCAGGGAAATACCTTGTCCCAAAGACCAGATGAATATTCTAAAATATGGGAAAAGATTGAGATGAGATTGATTACAGAAAGAGGGTTAAAGGAGAGAGCATTTATTAAGGACTCCAGGCCAGATTTTTTTTACTTATGTTATCTCATTCCATCCTCTCAATAAAACTTTGAGGAAGGTTTATTGCCCCCAATTTATAGGTGAGGAAATTCAGATTGAGAAAGCCTCGCCAACTAGCTTTGAACTAGGATTTGCACTCTGAATCACTCGGTTAAGGGAGGGAAATAGATGGAATAATGGAGAAATGGAACCAAGAAGATATTAGCCAGTGCTGATATTTTAATCTACTTTTCCATTCTTCCCCATGGCCTTTCAAAGCTTTTTATTTTTGACATTTGTGCTCCAAATCTATAGATGTATAATAATTTTGATCTGAGGAAAAAACATGAGTTGGGCTCTAGAGTTATTCTATTTTCTAATAATCCTAAGGGCAAATTCAGATTTGCTTAGTCTTCTGTAAAATGCTTTTTAGGTGCTCTGTTACTTTGCAAAATCATTTGTCTTATCTCAAATTTTAAATCAAATTTAATATTTTGAATACCTATGATTCGTTATGTTTATATATTTTTGAACCATTTGAAGTTTAGAAGAAAAGGTTTTCTTCTAAACATGCGAGGTGTTTTCAGCATAGTTACCTCAATCACGGGACTCATATTTACTTTTCTGTGACAGGTGGGCCCTTTCAAGCCATCTTGATGATACAGAGATGTCCAGGGGCTGGTTGGATTGTCCAAGATTAAGATTTCTTTGGAATATCAGAAATGAAAATTGCTAGTGGTTTCTGGTCAAGGACAGAGTAAACAGCTCACACTAAAATCAAGCTACATTGTCTTAGAGTGTATTGGAAGCCATACATAAGAGTAATTAAAGCTGCTTTTTCTTAGGAAGTGCCAACAGTGAATCCTATATCTGTGTAGAAAATACTCCCACAGAATAAGCACATTTCAATGTAAAACAAATGATAGCACACATTTGCACAATATTCTTCAGTTTATAAAATATTTTCTCATAGTGTTCCTCCCTGAGCTTAATAGCAATTCCATCTGGTAGTGTTAGCACGATAGCCCTCTTAATTCATGAGAAAATGGAGACTTAGAAAGTGTAAGTTAAGGGGACAATCGAGCCAAGATGGCCGAATAGGAACAGCTCTGGTCTACAGCTCCCAGCGTGAGTGACGCAGAAGATGGATGATGTCTGCATTTCCATCTGAGGTACCGGGTTCATCTCACTAGGGAGTGACAGACAGTGGGCACAGAACAGTGGGTGCAGTGCACCATGCACCAGCTGAAACAGGGTGAGACATTGCCTCACTCAGGAAGTGCAAGGGGTCAGGGAGTTCCCTTTCCTAGTCAAAGAAAGGGGTGACAGATGGCACCTGGAAAATTGAGTCACTCCCATCCTAAGACTGCGCTTTTCCAATGGACTTAAAAAAGGTGCACCAGGAGATTATATCCCGCACATGGCTCAGAGGGTCCTACGCCCATGGAGTCTCACTGATTGCTAGCACAGCAGTCTGAGATCAAACTGCAAGGTGGCAGCGAGGCTGGGGGAGGGGAACCCTCCATGGCCCAGGCTTGCTTAGGTAAACAAAGCAGCCGGGAAGCTCCAACTGGATGGAGCCCACCACAGCCCAAGGAGGCCTGCCTGCCTCTGTAGGCTCCACCTCTGGGGGCAGGGCACAGACAAACAAAAAGACAGCAGTAACCTCTGCAGACTTAAATGTCCCTGTCTGATAGCTTTGAAGAGAGCAGTGGTTCTCCCAGCACACAGCTGGAGATCTGAGAACGGGCAGACTGCCTCCTCAAGTGGGCCCCTGACCCCTGACCCCTGAGCAGCCTAACTGGGAGGCAGCCCCCAGTAGGGGCAGACTGACATCTCACATGGCCGGGTACTCCTCTGAGAGAAAAATTTCAGAGGAATGATCAGACAGCAGCATTCACGGTTCACAACAATCAGCTGTTCTGCAGCCACCGCTGCTGATACCCAGACAAACAGGGTCTGGAGTGGAACTCTAGCAAACTCCAATAGACCTGCAGCTGAGGGTCCTGTCTGTTAGAAGGAAAACTAACAAACAGAAAGGACATCCACACCAAAAACCCATCTGTACATCACCATCATCAAAGACCAAAAGTAGATAAAACCACAAAGATGGGGAAAAAACAGAGCAAAAAAACTGGAAATTCTAAAAAGCAGAGTGCCTCTCCTCCTCCAAAGGAATGCAGTTCCTCACCAGCAATGGAACAAAGCTGGATGGAGAATGACTTTGACGAGTTGAGAGAAGAAGGCTTCAGATGATCAAACTACTCTGAGCTACAGGAGGAAATTCAAACCAAAGGCAAAGAAGTTAAAAACTTCGAAAAAAATTTAGATGAATGTATAACAAGAATAACCAATACAGAGAAGTGCTTAAAGGAGCTGATGGAGCTGAAAGCCAAGGCTCAAGAACTACATGAAGAATGCAGAAGCCTCAGGAGCTGATGTGATCAACTGGAAGAAAGGGTATCAGTGATGGAATGAAATGAAGTGAGAAGGGAAGTTTAGAGCAAAAAGAATAAAAAGAAATGAACAAAGCCTCCAAGAAATATGGGACTATGTGAAAAGACCAAATCTACGTCTGATTGGTGGACCTGAAAGTGACAGGGAGAATGGAACCAAGTTGGAAAACACTCTGCAGGATATTATACAGGAGAACTTCCCCAATCTAGCAAGGCAGGCCAACATTCAGATTCAGGAAATACAGAGAATGCCACAAAGATACTCCTCGAGAAGAGCAACTCCAAGACACATAATTGTCAGATTCACCAAAGTTGAAATGAAGGAAAAAATGTTAAGGGCAGTCAGAGAGAAAGGTTGGGTTACCCTCAAAGGGAAGCCCATCAGACTAACAGCGGATCTCTCGGCAGAAACTCTACAAGCCAGAAGAGAGTGGGGGCCAATATTCAACATTCTTAAAGAAAAGAATTTTCAACCCAGAATTTCATATCCAGCCAAACTAAGCTTCATAAGTGAAGGAGAAATAAAATACTTTACAGACAAGCAAATGCTGAGAGATTTGGTCACCACCAGGCCTGCCTTAGAAGAGCTCCTGAAGGAAGCACTAAACATGGAAAGGAACAACCGGTACCAGCCACTGCAAAAACATGCCAAATTGTAAAGACCATCCAGGCTAGGAAGAAACTGCATCAACTAATGAGCAAAATAACCAGCTAACATCATAATGACAGGATCAAATTCACACATAACAATATTAACTTTAATTGTAAGTGGACTAAATGGTCCAATTAAAAGACACAGACTGGCAAATTGGATAAAGAGTCAAGACCCATCAGTGTGCTGTATTCAGGAAACACATCTCACGTGCAGAGACACACATAGGCTCAAAATAAAAGGATGGAGGAAGATCTACCCAGCAAATGGAAAACAAAAAAAGGCAGGGGTTGCAATCCTAGTCTTGGATAAAACAGACTTTAAACCAACAAAGATCAAAAGAGACAAAGAAGGCCATTACATAATGGTAAAGGGATCAATTCAACAAGAAGAGCTAACTATCCTAAATATATATGCACCCAATACCAGAGCACCCAGATTCATTAAGCAAGTCCTGAGTGACCTACAAAGAGACTTAGACTCCCACACAATAATAATGGGAGACTTTAACATCCCACTGTCAACATTAGACAGATCAACGAGACAGAAAGTTAACAAGGATACCCAGGAATTGAACTCAGTTCTGCACCAAGCGGACCTAATAGACATCTACAGAACTCTCCACCCCAAATCAACAGAATATACATTCTTTTCAGCACCACAACACACCTATTCCAAAATTGACCACATAGTTCAAAGTAAAGCACTCCTCAGCAAATGTAAAAGAACAGAAATTATAACAAACTGTCTTTCAGACCACAGTGCAATCAAACTAGAACTCAGGATTAAGAAATTCACTCAAAACTGCTCAACTACATGGAAACTGAACAACCTGCTCCTGAATGACTACTGGGCACATAACGAAATGAAGGCAGAAATCAAGATGTTCTTTGAAACCAATGAGAACAAAGACACAACATACCAGAATCTCTGGGACACATTCAAAGCAGTGTGTAGGGGGAAATTTATAGCACTAAATGCCCACAAGAGAAAGTAGGAAAGATAAAAAATTGACACCCGAACATCACAATTAAAAGAACTAGAAAAGCAAGAGTAAACACATTCAAAAGCTAGCAGACGGCAAGAAATAACTAAAATCAGAGCAGAACTGAAGGAGATAGAGACATAAAAAACCCTTCAAAAAATTAATGAATCCAGGAGCTGGTTTTTTGAAAGGATCAACAAAATTGATAGACTGCTAGCAAGACTAATAAAGAAGAAAAGAGAGAAGAATCAAATAGATGCAATAAAAAATGATAAAGGGGATATCACCACCGATCCCTCAGAAATACAAACTACCATCAGAGAATACTACAAACACCTCTATGCAAATAAACTAGAATATCTAGAAGAAATGGATAAGTTCCTTGACACATACACCCTCCCAAGACTAAACCAGGAAGAAGCTGAATCTCTGAATAGACCAATAACAGGTTCTGAAATTGTGGCAATAATCAATAGTTTACCAACCAAAAAGAGTCCAGGACCAGATGGATTCACAGCCGAATTCTACCAGAGGTACAAGGTGGAACTGGTAGCATTCCTTCTGAAACTATTCCAATCAATACAAAAAGAGGGAATCCTCTCTAACTCATTTTATGAGGCCAACATCATCCTGATACCAAAGCCTGGCAGAGACACAACAAAAAAGCAGAATTTTAGACCAATATCCTTGATGAACATTGATGCAAAAATCCTCAATAAAATACTGGCAAACTAAATCCAGCAATACATCAAAAAGCTTATCCACCATGATCAAGTGGGCTTCATCCTTGGGATGCAAGGGTGGTTCAAGATACAAAAATCAATAAACGAATCCAGCATATAAACAGAACCAATGACAAAAACCACATGATTATCTCAATAGATGCAGAAAAGGCCTTTCACAAAATTCAACAACCCTTCATGCTAAAAACTCTCAATAAATTAGGTATTGATGGGACATATCTCAAAATAGTAAGAGCTATCTATGACAAACCCACAGCCAATATCATACTGAATGGACAAAAACAGGAAGCATTCCCTTTGAAAACTGGCACAAGACAGGGGTGCCCTCTCTCACCACTCCTATTCAACATAGCATTGGAAGTTCTGGCCAGGGCAATTAGGCAGGAGAAGGAAATAAAGGGTATTCAATTAGGAAAAGAGGAAGTCAAATTGTCCCTGTTGGCAGATGACATGATTGTATATCTAGAAAACCCCATCATCTCAGCCCAAAATTTCCTTAAGCTGATAAGCAACTCCAGCAAAGTCTCAGGATACAAAATCAATGTACAAAAATCACAAGCATTCTTATACACCAATAACAGACAAACCGAGAGCCAAATCATGAGTGAACTCCCATTCACAATTGCTTCAAAGAGAATAAAATACCTAGGAATCCAACTTACAAGGGACGTGAAGGACCTCTTCAAGGAGAACTACAAACCACTGCTCAAGGAAATAAAAGAGCATACAAAGAAATGGAAGAACATTCTATGCTCATGGGTAGGAAGAATCAATATCATGAAAATGGCCATACTGCCTAAGGTACTTTATAGATTCAATGCCATCCCCATCAAGCTACCATTGACTTTCTTCACAGAATTGGAAAAAACTACTTTAAAGTTCATATGGAACTAAAAAAGAGCCCGCATCACCAAGTCAATCCTAAGCCAAAAGAACAAAGCTGGAGGCATCATAGTACCTGACTTCAAACTATACTACAAGGCTACAGTAACCAAAACAGCATGGTACTGGTACCAAAACAGAGATATAGATCAATGGAACAGAACAGAGCCCTCAGAAATAATGCCACATATCTACAACTATCTGATCTTTGACAAACTTGAGAAAAACAAGCAATGGGGAAAGGATTCCCTATTTAATAAATGGTGCTGGGAAAACTGGCTAGCCATATGTAGAAAGCTGAAAATGGATCCCTTCCTTACATCTTATACAAAAATTAATTCAAGATCGATTAAAGACTTAAACGTTAGACCTAAAACCATAAAAACCCTAGAAGAAAACCTAGGCATTACCATTCAGGACATAGGCATGGGCAAGGACTTCATGGCTAAAACACCAAAAGCAATGGCAACAAAAGCCAAAATTGACAAAAGGGATGTAATTAAACGAAAGAGCTTCTGCACAGCAAAAGAAACTACCATCAGAGTGTACAGGCAACCTACAAAATGGGAGAAAATTTTCACAACCTACTCATCTGACAAAGGGCTAATATCCAGAATCTACAATGAACTCAAACAAATTTACAAGAAAAAAACAAACAACCCCATCAAAAAGTGGGCAAAGGATATGAACAGACACTTCTCAAAAGAAGACATTTATGCAGCCAAGAGACACATGAAAAAACACGCATCATCACTGACCATCAGAGAAATGCAAATCAAAACCACAGTGAGATACCATCTCACACCAGTTAGAATGGCAATCATTAAAAAGTCAGGAAACAACAGGTGCTGGAGAGGATGTGGAGAAATAGGAACACTTTTACACTGCTGGTGGGACTGTCAACTAGTTCAACCATTGTGGAAGTCAGTGTGGCGATTCCTCAGGGATCTAGAACTAGAAATACCATTTGACCCAGCCATCCCATTACTGGGTATATACCCAAAGGATTATAAATCCTGCTGCTATAAAGACACATGCACATGTATGTTTATTGCAGCACTATTCACAATAGCAAAGACTTGGAAGCAACCCAAATGTCCAACAATGATAGACTGGATTAAGAAGATGTGGCACATATACACCATGGAATACTATGCAGTCATAAAAAATGATGAGTTCATGTCCTTTGTAGGGACATGGATGAAACTGGAAATCATCATTCTCAGTAAACTATCGCAAGGACAAAAAACCAAACACCGCATGTTCTCACTCATAGGTGGGAATTGAACAATGAGAACACATGGACACAGGAAGGGGAACATCACACTCTGAGGACTGTTGTGGGGTGGGGGGAGGGGGGAGGGATAGCATTAGGCGATATACCTAATATTAAATGACGAGTTAATGGGTGCAGCACACCAGCATGGCACATGTATACATATGTAACAAACCTGCACATCGTGCACATGTACCTTAAAACTTAAAGTATAATAATAATAAAATAAAAAAAGAATAATTTATCCCTACTTAAAGACAGATTGTCCAATATGTAACCACTACATACAAAAAAGTTATAAAATTCTCCTTGGTTTTACAATGATAAATGAAAAACATTAAAATTCTTTAACTGAACAAAGAAAAAAAAAAAGAAAGTGTAAGTTACTTGTCCAAGGTTACTTATTGGATTTAGAATTCAAGTCCTCTGAATCCAAATTCAGATCCTCTGAATCCTAAAGGACTCTATCCGCAAATTTATAATCACCTGTGAGATAAAATTTCAGGGTCAGCCTGACTTGTCTCAAAATAGCACTTCACTGCCCACCCTTGATAATGGTAGCTCTGGTAGCTCTTATTCTGCCATTAAGTTTTGGATGATGTTTATAAAGCACATGCTTCTGTCACTGTAAGACTTTGGAGAAGGAGATAGTAACAGCCCAGAAAGTCTTGCTTGTCCCCCTAGTTCACTGCTAATTTTCACTTCGGTCCCATGGTTGCTCTCAGATAGCATTTCCAAAATTGTGCAGATTACACGTCCTAGCTGTGGGACCTTGTACAAGTTATTTAAACCCTCTGGGTTCCTTCTGTCTGTAAATGGGGATAACAATAATTCCAGCTGCATTGGGCTGTTGTGAGCATGAATGAGTTGCTATATTTAAACCATTTAGAATAGCGTCTGACTTATAGTAGCACTCAACGAATGTTGGATATTGTTATTATTGCACTTGAAGTGCTTGGCACTTAGTATATGCTCAAAAAATGTGAGTTACAAAAAATAAAGAACAAAAAAGACAGGAAGACAAACTATAGTGAATTCACAGTTCTCAAAGGTGCAGGGCCTTGATGACCAGAAAGAGTGGCAGAACTAACTCCCTCACACAAACTTATAGACACAGTTACTTTGGTACAGCTGAACACTATATAGCACTATATAACCTCTTCTGATCCCAAACTCTGCTAAAGTTTATCACCATCCATCAAGAAAATGCCGACGAGCCACTGAGCTGTGATTCATGTTGCCCATCAGAGCTGGCACCAGTAATGACCTCTGTTGCTGCCTCTTTGTATGTGGTTGGAACCGGTAAACTCAGCCATTCACCTGCACATTTTTCAGTACTTTGGACCCCTGCTATAATGAATGGACTCATAGGCACTTTTCTCAGCAAAAATGACAGCAGTTGCTTTTAGGAAGAATGTTCAAAAGCACATCCACAAGAATGTTCAGCCAGGCATGTAAGTAAATGTGAATTAAGTTATCACATTCTGACTAATCTCTAAAGAGAATATGCCTGCCTTTGAGCAGCTAAGAAAAAGAAAAAAAAGGATTAAATTATTTGCATGCAGACCAACTTTATGCTAAGTTTGCCTTTAGGACAAAATGTTTATATTACTTCCTACCAGGTCTGCAAACAAGCTATTGTGCTCTGGGCTAAGAAGATTATGTGCCCAGCTACCTGGGTACTGAGAACACAGGTTCAAACTGGTCTTTGAAGAGGGAAAGGCTCTTACAGCTAGGATATGGACAACCATAAGGAACAGCAGTTCTGTGCCTTATGTTGGCACTTTCGGTTCTGTAGTGAGAATTAAATGACTAAGGACGACTTGCTTTTCTCTAAAAGAATGGACTGCAGAAAACCAGGGACTAATTACTCCTGTGGTAATCTACTCCAGAGAGGTGAAAGCAGTCAGAAGCAGGTAAATACAAATAGAAAAAAATCATGCCTAGGTCTAGCTCCTTGAAGACACCAAGTTCCCCATTCCCTGTCTGGGGTTTGACACAATTCTCATAAAAAATGCAACGTGGGTTAGTTTGACTTTCCTTAGAGCATAATGGGAGATTACAAAGTACTTTAAAACAAAGTGATGATGACAAACATGCATAGACATTTCTTCTTTAATGAAAGTGTTGATGATTGTGGGTTCGATTCAGAATGAAGGTAGATGATACTCATTGCTCCTCAGCCCAAAACTTTCCTTGATGTGCTTTTCCATTACTCCAGCTTCTTGTAGGGTATAGAAATATGTGATACTACTAGTACTATAATAATAAAGAAAATAAGAATAGCTAAACTTATGCAGTGCTTGTTTTGTGATAGCACCTTCCTTTATACATATTTCATTTATTTCTTGCAAAATGCTTAAGAGGTAGATGTTTTATTAACTGCATTCTAAAGATGTAGAGAATTTAAATAACTTGCTCAGTTAAGTATGGAGTTCAGACCTAACCCAGCTCTTAACTATGACTGCTGTCACTGCTACTACTACAACTGCTATGATGAGAATGACTACTACTTCTTAACTATTGCTATTACTGTAACTACAACAGCTACTACTGTCATAATTGCTACATCAGCAACAGCTACTACTACTACTATTATTGTTTCAGTAGGTAGCTAGTCAGGCATGAGCCGGGCAAGAGAGGGCTCCCCACCTCCCAAAAAACAAAGCAGGATTGTGAGGTAACCACCAGGTGATGGTCAGGCAGTTGTTAACTGTCTCTCTAAAATAATCATTGGTCACAGCCAGTTCCAGGGAAGGGCAGTCTCCCAATAGACAGAAACATCTGAAATTGGTAATCAGCAGCTTCCCAGTAAGATCTCAGGGGTTGGGCGAGTGGGCTCAAGACTGCATATTAAGAGGCAAAATGGTGGAGTTTAACTGGTATATGACCTTCCTCTAAGAATGCTAGACCGGTAGGGGAAGAATGCCTCAAGTGAGCATGTGCACAACTCCAGTAAACACACTGTACATGCTCCCCTCCTAAGGGCTGGCAGGCCACTGTGCATGAAGATAGCTCACCCCAAGGGAAGGATCGGGGGAAATAATACAAGAACCCAGAAGTACACCAACGTATAGAACCCCAAGTCAAAAGGTCAAACTGTGCACTTGATCTCTCAAGTCTCTTGCTTGGCCCTCTTCCAAGTATACTTTACTTCCTTTCATTCCCACTGTAAAGCTTTTTAATAAACTTTCACTCCTCTTCTGAAACTTGCCTCAGTCTTTCCTTCAGCCTAATGGCCCTCTGCCAAATTCTTTCTTCTGAGAAGGCAAGAATTGAGGTTGCTGCAGACCTGTATGGATTCATTGCTGGTAACATAATGACTGACAACTACAACTAGTACTACTATTGATCTGACTATAACAGCAACTATTACTACTACCACACTACTACTAGTAGAAATGAACACTTATCCATCAAATTACTTAAAGCTCTGTGAGAAAAATAATTCGGAATCAGATCCGAGGCTCTGTTTGTTAATGATACCCTAATAACTTCTCATGCTTTTCATTTGAAGTAGCCCTAATGACAGGTAAAAGTGAATTCAGAGTTCTGGAAGACTAGAATTTTCTAAAAGTTTGGCATTTTTTCTTAAAAAAAGACAAAGAATATCTCAAATATTGTTTTTTTTTTTCTGTTGTAACACATCTTGTTGGCTTCAAAAGAATAAACATTTTTCCCTAGAAGATTTTGAGTAAAATTGACAGCATGGAAGCTGTGCCAAGCAATCTAGTGACTTTGTGTTTTCCCAGTAAACTTAGGTGTGTGAGTTTGTGCACACTAGGTTGGAAAACATTGATACATGATGGCAAATAATTGATTGGCTGCCATAAATAAAGGGTTGGAAGTTAATGCCGGCTCAACCCTGAGCTCTCAGCTCAAATGCTCTCTCTTTGAAAAGTCCTCTCTCTTTCCCCTTGTCTCCACAACTAGGTCAACCCCTGTGCCTCAATTTTTCTTAACCATTACTAATCCTCAGTAGCTCTTAAGACTGTTGTAATTTTATAAATAGTTAAATATATGAGGGCAAATATGTCTAGTTATTTTCCCACGGTTAAATTCCTGGGTGTAACACAGTGCCTGGCACAGAGTAGGAGCTTAACATTATTTACGGAATGAATGAGTGAAGAAAGGAATGCATGAGCTTGCTGAAGCATCAGTCCTTCCCTGCTGCTGCTGGGTGCTGATGTGAGCAGGCTCTCTCAGAGTGGCAGGCTCCTGCCATCCAGTCACAGCCAGTACAACTGGCACCTCATTCACTGGCCACCTTTGGGGCATGAAGTGGTTTTTATATGTGATGTTCCAGTATAAAGGGAAATAAGTATTTAAGCTTTAAAACATTAAAACAACAGCCATTTGAACAAGCATGCAGCTGGGCACCCTGCACTGGCTAACACCACTTTTTTGGTGGAAGGCTCTGTGAGGAGATGCAGTCCCAGCTTTCCTCAGAACTGTACTTTGCTCAGAGAGGGATGACGTGTGGTAGGACATGGTTAAGTAGAGGGCAATGGTTCCCATCCATCTTCTTTAGGAGCTGACTACTACATCCCTACAACACTTACCTTCCTCGTGGGGGAAGCATATGCTTCACCTATGTGCTTTTTGGGAATTACAGGCTTACCCGCATTGGCCAGTCTTTTTTTTACAGAAATGACAGGGGAAGGAGAATCTTTAGCAGGCCTCTCTCTGTTTCTTTGGCCTGGTACTATTTTGGTCAGCCCATGCTGGGCTGTTTAAATAATGCTGTGAAATTCTCACTTATCTAGCATGATGGGGGATAGAGGCGCTCCACCTAAGCGGATTTTCCAGATAACTGAAACTTATCCTGCTAAGTTGCAAAATTAAAAAACATTGTGTTATATAAAGGCTTCTAAAGTATATGATATTTATCCCTGCCTGCCTTTTAAATGAGAATATAGTGAATATATTTCAGCTTTATCTTGATGGCTCAGGGTCAGAACTTTGAATGTAGAATCATAGGATTTTAGAGTTGGGACCGGGCCTTGATAAAGATTGTCTGGTTCCACTCCCTCACAATAGACAGCAAGTGAAGGAGGCCCAGAGAGCTGGCATAACTTTTTGAAGACTGCACATCTAGGCAAACAGAGATGCAGATAAAAATTCAGCCTTCAGCTTTTAGCTGAGGTCCTTCCTTTTATACTAGATCAGAGGTTCTTCACGCATATAGTGTTTCTCGTCTCTTCAGTAAGTAGCTCTAAACTGCCGTGCTTTTAACTTGTTATTTCTGATTTTTATATTTTTTCCTACATCCTCCATTCAGGTTTCATTTGATCTATTTGCCTCTAGTGGTACCTGGTCTTCTTATTTGCGGTGCCTCTTTAAAGAAGGGGGTGGTGGTGGTGATGGGAGCAGGGACTTTTAAACTTTTTTGTATCTCCCATAATTTTGCACAATGTCTTCTTGTGCATACTAAACACTTAATAAAATAGTTGTTGATTGGTTGATTCTATCATCTGTGGGCTGGGGAATTAAGTAGCCAAGGCTATTAGAAATGTGTTTTAAATAATGGTACTCTGTACTATAACTAGGTTCTAAGAGACAGCCTATGGGGTCATATTATAACTAAGGTTTGCCAGCTTTGTGATAATAACTTGGCTACTCAAAGACCTTGCTTACTTCTTTCTAAATTTTCAGGCAGTTCTGAATAATGAAAGTCATTGGGTAAAAGCAGTGTAAGTATAGTAGCAGTAATAATAACAGAATCACAGCAAAAATAACAACAGTAATAATATTCTGCATAAACAATGATTTAAAGCCAGAATTGGGAGTTAGATTTTAAACCAAGTTCTGCTGCCCGTATGGGGTTAGGTCATGTTTATACTTGTCACTCTAGTTTAGCCCGGGCCCCGGTACTATGGTTTGAATGTGTCCCCCAAAGTTCATGTGTTAGAAATTTGATCACCAATTCATTGGTGTTGGGAGGTGGGGCCTAATGAAAGGTGTTTTGGTCATGGGGGCACCACATTCATGAATGAATTAATGCTGTTATCTTGGGAATGGATACCTTACAGAAGGATGAATTCAGCACCCTTTTCTCTCTCTCTCTCCCTCCCTCTCTCTCTTGCCCTCTAGTGCCATTCCACTTTTCTCAATGGGATGATGCAACAAGAAGGCCCTTGCAAGACACTGGTCCCTTGATCTTGAACTTCTCAGCCCCCAGGAATGTGAGAAATAAATTTCTGTTCATTATAAGTTACCCAGCTTGTGGTATTTCATTAGAACAGCACAAAATGGACAGAGACACCTGATGTCTATCACAGTTCTCAGTTGTACCCCAGTGACTAGCACAGGGTCCTTACACAGAAGGGGTATCTAGTGCTTAGAGGAGGCAATGTCTGACCTAAATCCTGAGAACAAATTGGAGGTAAGCAGTCAAAAGGAGGGGTTGCCTTAGAAAAGTACTTTAGTCAGAGGAAAACTCGGTTACCAAATTTATTAGGGGAGAAAATTTCTTTGAGAATGAGGGGAGTGTAGTCCAAGGTGAAACCAGAGAAATAAGCAGAGACAGTTCATGAAGAGCTTAGAAATTTGCTAAGGAGCAGGAATTGTATCTGGAAACACAATAAGGCATCACTGGAGCATTTCAGGTTGGGAAATTACATGGTCAGATTTGTTTTAGAAAGATCCCATAAGCTTCATAATGGAAAATTTATTCATTCCATGAATACACACTGAGGATATGCCTTGTGCTAGGCATTCTTCCTGATGAAGCTCTGAATAAGTCAAAGTCCCTGATCTCAAGGAGTTTTCATTCCATTGTGTGTTTGTGTGTCTGGTAGTGGCAGAGGTGGTGAGAAAAAGTAGGTGTACTTTAATTTCAGAGAGTGGCAAAGAATCTGAAAACAACATAAAACAGGGCTTTAGAAGGTGGTGGGGGTGACTGGGCGCTCTGGCTCATGCCTGTAATCCCAGCACTTTGGGAGGCTGAGGTGGGCAGATCACAAGGTCAGGGGTTCGAGACCAGCCTGGTCAATATGGTGAAACCCTGCCTCTACTAAGAATACAAATATTAGCCAGGTGTGGTGGTGGGCACCTGTAATCCCAGCTCCTCGGGAGGCTGAGGCAGGAGAATAGCTTGAACCCAGGATGCGAAATTTGCAGTGAGCTGAGATCACGTCACCAGCCTAGGCGACAGAGCAAGATTCTGTCTCAGAAAAAAAAAAAAAAAAAAAAAAAAAGAAGGTGATGGGGGTAAGGAGAATATTTGGATTGGATGATTGGGAAATGGCTCCCTGAGAAGTGACACATTGGAGACTGAGAGTAGGAGACCAGTTGGAAGACTGAATTTGCAAGTGAGAGTTGTATGTTACTGGATCAGAGTTAAGGGAATGTATACAAATTATGGGGAAAGGCTATTTCTTACGCCCACTTCTCTTGGTACTGCTACTAGGTGGCCAAGACAATATGAAGAATGGAAGAATAGGAGGAATGGCAGATGTTTCCTTGTTCATTGAATACATACTTAGTACCGATGATGTGCCAGACATTCTTCTAGACACTGAGCACTGAGCAGGGAACAAAATAAACTCCTTGCCCTTATGACACTCATTATCATTTCATATAAACAAATAAGTATGCAATATTTTAGGTGATAATGAGTGCTAAGATGGAAAGTAAAGCAGAGTAAAATGACAGAGTGTGACAATGCAGGGGATGACTTATAGGAAATTTGGGTAAATTGGACACAGTGACATTCCAGTGGAGTTCCCTATTACATGCCTAGTGTCTAGAAGAATGCCTGGCACATCACAGGCACTGAATTATGAGAGGCAGTGAATCTTCTAGATATCTCTGGGAAAAGTGTCCTAAGCCAAGGAAATAACAGAGGCAGATGTCCTGAAGTGAGATTGTGCTTGGCATGTGTTTTGGGTACTGCCAGGATGAAGTCGCAGCTGGAGCACAACAGGCCAGGGGAAGAGTGGTAAGAGAGGACACCAGAGAGGCTCTGAGGACCCTGTGGACCTTGAGAGGACTGTGGCTTTCATTCTGAATGAGAATGTGGATTTCCTGCAATATCTTGAGTAGAGAAATGACATGAATGACTAACATTCAAAAAAGTTATTCTGGTAGCTCTGTGAAGCGAGAAATTTAGGGGACAAGGGTGAATTCAGGGAGCTGGTTAGAAGCCTTTTGCAAAATCCAGATGAGAGATGTTGACTTAGATATATTAAGCTAATGGCCGTGGAAGTGGTAGGAAGTGGCTGGATTCAGCTATGTTTGAAAGGCAGTGTGAACAAGATTTGCTGTTGAACTGAGTGTGGATAAAGAGCTAGAGGGTCAAAGATAATTTCAAAATTTTTGGCATGAGCAACTGGACAGATGGGATTGATTTTTTTTAAGAGAGGATTGACTGTAGAAGAAACAGGTTAGAGGGAAAAAATTAAGTACAGTTTTTGTATGTGTCAAGTTTGAGATGCCTGTTAGATATCCAAGTGGTAGTGTCCGCTTGATGGTTGGAAATACAAGGCTAGAACTTGAGAAGAGGTTACAGCTGGATGGATCAACTCTAAAGTTGCCAGTTTATATTTGGATCTTTGTCCTAGAGGTCAAGTGAAGAAAGTGTTTCAAGGAGAAAGAAATAATAAGGGCTGAAATATACTGCAACTGTAAGAAGTTATATGGAACCAAGAGATGACCACTGCTATGATGGAGATTAAGGACAGTAGCAGTGGAATGGTGGGGACAAAAGTCTAGATCAAGAGAGAATTGGCAGAGAGGAATTTGACACTGCAAGTATAAATAACTGTTGTTTCTTTTAACTTGAGATTTTCCATAAAAGTTAGCAAATAATGGTTGTTGGAGGAGAATGTGAGGTCTGGGAGGGCTTCTCTATAAGATAGGTGATCTCATAATATGTTTTTGTTTATGAGCATGATCCAGAAGAGAGGGGAAATTCCATGAGGTAGGAGAGAGGAGAGCAGGAGCAGAGGGATCCCATGTGCAATGGAAGGGCTGGCCTCTGACAGGAGTGTGAACAGATCACCCATTTTAACAAGAGGGAAGAAAGAGCATATGAGGAGAGGTGCTAGCAGGTTTTTGGCCATGGGAAGATGTGAAATCTCTTCTGACTGCCTCCATTTACCTACTGAATAAGGATCTAGGTCATAACTGAGAGGAAGGGTAGCAGAAGCAGTGTTGGAAATTTAGGAAAGAAAACAAAATATGGATTATTCCTCTGGAGAGTGGGAGACTGAGAATGAATTAGGGAAATATAATATGCATGCCAGGAAGCAGCAGGATCCTACCTGGAGTTTGGAGTCATAAATTTGAAATGAAACCAATCAGCATAATTATGTGTTCATCTATCCAGTGGCTTGGGTGTCTGTGATTCAGGTGTTGGTTCAGAGTGGGGTTTGCAACTAATTAGAGTTGGAGGAAAGGGAGGTTAGGCCATGTGCAATGCAGTGAGCAATAATGATGGGCTCTGGAATCTGGGTGAGGGTGAAGAGGGGCAGCAATCAATGGATTATTGGAGTTGGGGTACTATGGAGCGAGTCAGAAAGATAGCAGATGGAGCTCAGAGAACGGGATGCTTGAACCCGAGCCAATGGAAGTAGAGCAGTCATTTGTAATGACAGTGTGTATATATAGCAAAGAGGGAGGCTGGAGAGTGTATGGTGGAAGATCAGATCATTGTAGCTGAGAACGTGATAAAATTGAAAGGCCAGGATATTGGAAGGAGTTCTGAGTAGACATTGAAATTACCAAGTGTAGTGGTGGAGAAAGTGACAGTGAGTCAGAGGCTGCATCTTTCAGGGGCGATGAGAAGTAATCAGTTGGTCTGCAGGGAGGATGAATGGATGGTATAAGGTTGATAGCGTGACTTTACAGAGCAAAGGGAGAAATATTTTAACCTCAGATAGCACCTTGTGCGCATTGTCATGATGCTATCTTATTCTGTTTTGTTTTAGGTTGTGACCTTATTTTTCTCTTTGACAAGCCCCATCTTCTCACTAAACTGTGAGTTCATTAGGCGTAGGGACGGTGTTCTGATTTTTGCCTCCCACAGTGCCTAACATAGTGTCCTGTCTATAGCAGGCAATTATTATTTGTTGAATTAGATTGCACCAAATGTGGAAATTTAAAGATCAAGTAGCTAACAACTTTAGATGCAATATTGAAATAAAAATTACACCTAGATGTATTGTGTGTACTAAAAACATAGCACTGTCAGCTAATCATGTAGTTCCAATTGTTTTCAGAGTTCTAAAGGCATTAAAAATATAATTTGATCATAAATATTGCAAAGAAAAGCCTGAGGCCATTATATTTGCATGGAAAGGTGCTGTTTCCTTGTTTCTATACTGCAGGAATAAAAATGTCTGGAAAAGGACACCATTTACCAGCTTTGACTATTTCCTGAACCCCCCAAATATTTGTTCATCCAAAATTGCACTTTGCAAGCTAAGGAATAGTTAATTTTTATTAGCAAAAGGAGCTGTACCCCTGCCTTAACCAGACCTAAGGCAAACTGGGCAATGCAAAGCATATTTTTCTTTTAAATCTCCTCTCTGTGCAAAGGCATTGTATGTGATGAATAATAAACATCACAAGAAAAGAGAAATTTTGATTGAAACTGTAAACTCAACTTAGATTTGTTTCCATAACTTACTTCTGCAGCATCTAAATGTAAATTGTAAGGGTGAAGAACTGTTTTACGTGATGTCCAAAATTGCCTTTTGAAAACCGTGATGCAGTGTCAGCACTGTACTTGTACCACTGACAGAGGTAATAGAGAGAGGGTATTTCCTACACACTACCCACGCTTTCCATGGGTAATTCACATTCTCCTTGTGTCTTTCAATTACCACTGGCAAAATGCATAAGTAATCAACTTAGATCAAATATGCTTGATTTGTACTCTTTCTTTCTCATCTCTGTCACCTCTTGCTCTCCCTCTTCTTTTTTTCCCTCTCTCCTCTTTTCCTAGACACTCATAAACCAGAATCACTTTAAGATAATAGCTCCTTCAAAAATGCAACTCCACAGGATTTAATTAAACCATAAGTCCCAGACTGGCCTGGGGAGGCTGAAGTAGTTAATGTGAGATGAATCTTTGTTCAGAAAGAACATGGGATTTGTCTTAGTCCATTTTGTGCTGCTATAACAGAGTACCTGAGACTGGGTAATTTATAATGAACAGAAATTTATTTGGCTCACGGTTTGGAGGCTGAATGTAAGATTGAGGGGCCACATTTGTGAGGGCGCCTTCTTGCTGCATCATACCATGGTGGAATGCTGAAGGTTAAGAGAGTGTGCAACTGAGAGAGAACAAGAGGGAGCCAAATTTGCTTTTATAACAAACTCACTCTCATGGTAATGACATTAATCCATTCATAAGGGCAGAGCCCTCACGGCCTAATTAGCCCTTAAAGGTCCTACCTTTTGACACTTTTTTACTGGGGATTATTTCAAACCCATGAACTTTGGGGGACAGCTTCACACCATAGCAGGATTCCAGTGGCTTCAAGGTGTCAGGCACCAATCACATTAAGAGACAGATTTGGCTTGTCACTGATTATGTGAATTCAGTGAATTAAATGATGGGCTAGAGAATTTGCAGCCCTCAGTGTTGTGTGGCCTTGGCTATGGCAATATCCTTTCTTTCTGCTTCCATATCTGTAAAGTGGACTTTGAGTAGCAAGCTTAAACTTTGTTGTTGCTTGAAAAATAACTTTTTAGAGCTTGAGTCCCAATATTTTGCCTTCAGTTTACATCCCAGCACTTTGGGAGGCCAAGGTGGGAGGATCACGAGGTCAAGAGATGGAGACCATCCTGGCCAACATGGTGAAACCCCGTCTATACTAAAAATACAAAAATTAGCCAGCGTGGTGGTGCACACCTGTAGTCCCAGCTGCTTGGGAGGCTGAGGCAGGAGAGTCACTTGAACCCAGGAGGTGGAGGTTGCAGTGAGCCAAGATTGCGACACTACACTCCAGCCTGGTGACAGAGTGAGACTCCGTCTAAAAAAAAAAAAAGAAAAAAGGTTAAATGACTATACTGGGGATATTACACTTGTTGCAGATATTTGGGTAAACATGTCAGGAATTGTTTTGTTAATGAGTAACTCATATTCCATCATATCTCCTAGGGTTTTGGAGTAAGGTAAATTAAACTACATAAGACAGAATTGCTATACGCCTTCCTTAACTGTACCTAGGGCTAATTGTTCAAGCAAAAACACTGTTCTTAAAAATCTCCTGGCTAGGAGAATTATTATAGTAGCTAATATTGACATAATGCTTACTATGTGCTAAGGAGAGAAAGAGTGAGGGAGGGAGGGAGAGAGAGAGAGAGAGGAAGAAGGAAAGAAAGAAAGAAGGAAAGAGAAAGAAAGAAAGAAAGAAAGAAAGAAAGATTTATTATCAGTAATAAGACATATGATTTACACAATTAAGGAGGCTGAGAAGTCCCAAGAAGTCCTCAGATCTGAAGCCAATGGTATGACTCTAGTCTGAGTCCGAAGGCCTGAGAACCAGGAGAGCTGATGGTATAGCTCTAGTTCAAAGGCCAGAAAAAACTGGTGTTCCAGCTAGAAGGCAGTTAGGCATTAGGAGTTCCCTTTTAGTCTAGGGAGGGTCAATATTTCTGTTCTATTTAGACCTTCAACTGATTAGATGAGGCCACCCCCACTAGGGAGGGCAATCTACTGATTCAGTGTTAATCTCATCCAAACACACCTTCACAGACACATCCAGAATATAATTTGACCAAATATCTGGGCAGTCTGTGGTCCAGTCAAGTTAACACATAAAATTAACCACTACAGCATGGAAATGCTCAGCCAGGATTTGGGTCCAGGCAATGTAGCTCCAGAGTATGTGCTTTTGGCCAGAGTATAGTTGGTCTTTTGTATCTATGGGGGATTGTTTCCAGGACCCTTTGGGGATGCCAAAATCTTTAGATGCTCAAGTCCGTTATATAAAATGGCATAGTACAGTTGTCCCTCTGTATTTCTGTGGGTTCTGCATTTGAGAATTCAACCAACCACAAATGAAAAATGCATACAGTTGGTCCTCTATATTTGCAGGTTTTGATCCATGGTTGTTTAAACCCCAGGACACAAAACCCATGGAAACAGAGGGCCAACTGTCTGAACTTATAAACTTTCTAAAGCCTTAGCAATTGTTCCTTTAACTTACTCAACATGAATGTCAAGCAATGCTCCCACCTGAGCTTTGACAAAGATTTTGTAATTATCAAAAGTACAAATCCCTAACATCTTCCTATAAACAACCTCACTCTTCCAAGGTAACTTTATAAAGAGAAAGAGTTTGCTACTGGAGTGTTTGACCTTCTTCCCAGGAGACCTTATTTTGTCCCTTAAAGTTTTATAGTAACCAAACCTATATCCTCGCTTGCCTCATACTAAATCTCAAATATTACAAATCTGATAATTTATAAACCATATAAGGAAAACAGACATGCTTTACTTTTTTCTTCCTAGATCTTGATACATGGAGAGCTGTAACTAGGCCGCAGGTTTGACGGCTGGGCCTTCCTGCCTGATTCAGCTCTTCCAGGAATACAACATTGAATGAAAATGGCAAAGACACTGCTTTCTTACTTAACAGTGAGGGATACAGTCAATACGTAAGTAGGCAAATATAAAAAGATACAATGGGAAGTTGGTTAGCTTTGTGACAAAAATGGAGCTGAGGGAGGGGAAGAATAGAGATGGAAGATGTGAGTGAGGTGACTACACAGGGGGATCAGGAAAGTCTTCTTTGGAGCAGGTGCCATCTTAGCAGGGATTTGAATGAAATAAAGGAGTGAGCCATGAGGTGACCTGAGGAAAGAACCCTCTAGAGGGGAGCTGCTTGAGTCAAGGCCCTGAGTGTGGAGACTGCTCATTGTGTTTAAGGAAAAGCATGGTTAGAGCAATGTGAGCCAGGGGAAGAGAGGAAGGTGATGACGCCAGAGAGCCTCAGCCAGGTGATGCAGGGTATTTAGGTTTATGGCAAAGGCTTTGGATTTTGTGATGAGGAGACACTGAAAGGTTTTGAGTAGGGAAATGGCATGATCTGACTCACATTTTAAAGAATTTCTTTGTTTACTATATGGAGAATAGTCTCTTGGGAGAAAGTGTCGAAGTGTGGCAGCTATTGCAACAATCCAGGTGAGAAGGGATGGTAGGAGGAGCAGGGTGGGGTAGCAGGGGAGGTGGTGGGAATTATTTGAAGCTGGGTTACATTTTGAAGGTAGTGGTAAGGGGCTTTGTTGATGGATTCACTGTGTGATGTGAGCCAATTGTGTTTTAATATCAGACCTCTGTAAAGGTGATCTTATAACTCAGCAGATTTATGTGCAGGAGAGTCGGTTGGACTAAATGGTATCTAAGGTCTGTTTCTCCAACACAGTGATTTTAATCACATTTACTACACGCTCCCTGAGATATAACAACACTCAACTATTTTATCAGCTGCAGTTAAATTTTATTCTTCCCATATCTGAAGCTCAGCATATCTTCTTTTGATCCAGAGGGATTTTTAATAGCAACATTATTAGTTCACCAAAACAAAAGCCGATGAAAGAAAACAGATGCCTTTTCTTATTTATTTTTTGTCACCTTCATACAATGGCAGGACAATGTATAAAAATATTACAGAAAAAATTTCAAGAATATGTATCTATTAAGTAAATATGGGGGAAAGAAGCCCATGCAGAAGAAAAACAACTCATAACAAAACACAATATTAAATAACCATCAGAGAAGGACCAGAGAAAGAATTACTTTATTTAGCTATATCAGTGAAAAATTGCCTGGCTTTATACCAGAAAAAAATCCCTATAATCCACTTTGAAAACTGCTTGCTCCTTATTTTATGCATGACATTTCTACGCTGCAAAATTCCTGATTGAGCTGGTGATTAGAGGACAATGCCTTCGCTCCTTTTCTTTGTCTTCTTTTCTTGGAAGCAGCCTTGCCTCTGCTTCTGCTTCCTCTGAATGGCTCATGAAAGTCAGAGACAGAGAGAGCAATGAGACAGACATGCATCAAAGCACTGATTTCGTTAAAGAGGAATAACTAGCGGGAATGTGCAGCAGCTAATGCAGGAAGTGTTGGCAGAGTGGAGAAAGGGAATGAGAAGGGTCAGCAAAGAGTGATTTTACCTGCAGTGTTGAAGGTCAGAAAGGTGTTAGGTATTAATTGCCCCCAACTCCAAATAAAGTAAAGCTTTGTTTGATTTGCAGGTAGCTCCGAAGAGAGATGGCTCATTTTCAACCTGCATGTTTATATCATGCTACTTAAATGGCCTGTTGAGGCACAAGGGCTGCTGTGAGGCCACAGTGGGAAGAGGAGGAAGTGTTGGGATGCATGTGGGATAGAGTTAAAAGTGGTAATTTATTATGATTGCTTTCCATGCTCGCCATAATAGACTACTTCTGAGCAATCAGGATGTGCTCCTGCAGGACTTGGGGTGGCACAGGTAGGCATTATTTAATTCATCTGTGTGAGAGTGAGCAACAGAGGGAGATAAAGTGGGTATTAATCAGGATTGTATGAGTTCTGGGATAGCTGCATCTAAATCAATCCACAACATCGTCTGGGAAATCAACTCCCTGTTTTCAGCTGGCTTACACTTCTTTTTTTTTTTTTTTTCCTGGTGGGGGGATATTAGAAGCTTTTTTTTCCCACTCACTTCTTCCCAGGTTGGTTCATCTTAATGAGCCCCAGAAAATTCATATGTCAGAAGGAATTTGCTCTGACTGGAATTTCATTCCACAGTCTCTGAATAATGATGACCTGTACGCATTACTGGGACATTATCTGATAGCCTGGGGCTCTTCTGAGTTCATTTCAGGCACTAGCGGGGATTTCTTAATAGCTCCTGAGACACAGTATGTATGTGGCTATGCCAGTCCAGAAGTCAATACAGATGACAAAGCACACCTTAAATGGGAGCTAAAACAAAGAACCAGGAAGGAAGTGCCAAGGCTGTTGCTCTGGTCTTAATAGACAATATGGAAGTTAATTAATTCATGAACATTTCCCTTGATTTTTGGTTACATATTGAGATTGAAGAGTAAGAAGAGAAATGCTGTACTTCAATCCTTAGCCTTGGATAACAATTGTGGCCCCTACACGTGGGAACTTTTCTTATTTCCGTGGGGCATTATCTGATAGCCTGGGACTCTTCTGAATTCTTATTAAAAGTTACCTGCCACCACTTTAGGTCATTCCTACTTGGCAGTGCTTGGTTGTAAGTCTTCAGTCAGACTACCCAAATGTGCTTGTATTGTTTTTGAAAGATCACTGAAATAAAACATGACACTAAATAATCATGAAACCTAAAGATGACCGAAAACATATCCAAGGATTCCCAGGAGTCCATTAGGAGAGGTACTGAGCTGTAGGATTCCTCTAAAATAAATCCTGGGGTAAGTACGCTACTCCCTGGGAGTCATTAGGTAGGATCTCTGGTAGGCAAATGTGTTCTCTTAGGTCTCCTGAGCACTATGAGCTGATGCTCCAGTGCACTTAATGCATGCCCTCCTGGTGTCCCCAACATTTTCCATCCTCTTTTGCTCCAGGGGATCCAGAAAAACTAATAAGCCATCTTAGGTGGCCTATGATACATAAAACATATCAGGGCTAATCAAAGGGCTGGTAATTTCTAAGATAAATTTACATTCCAGGATTCAAAGCTTTGGAAACGTGGTCTCGAATTAACAAAAATACAAAGATTCTGGTAAGACAAAGCACTTATTTATCTGAGTATGAAAACTTCTAATCAAGGAAATAGTAATAAAGCCCAGATTATGATATTTGGTTGCTATGTCCTATATCCCTCTGTATTAGTCTGTTCTCATATTGCTGTGAAGAAATACCCAAGACTGGGTAGTTTAAAAAGAAAAGAGGTTTAATTGACTCACAATTCCCCATGGCTGGGGAGGCTTCAGGAAACTTACAATCATGGAGAAGGTATCTCTTCACAGGGCGGCTGGAGAGAGAATGAGCGCCAAAAGGGAAAATGCCAGATGCTTATAAAACCATCAGATCTCATGGGAACTCACTCACTATCATGAGAACAGCATAGGGGAAACCACCCCCATAATTCAATTACCTCCCCCCGTGTCCTGCCCTTGACATGTGGGGATTATTACAATTAAGGTAAGCTATGGGTGGGGACACAGAGCCAAATCATATCACCCTCCCGGGGTCTGAAAGCACCTCTTCTTATGTGATTGTTCTTTTTAATTTGTCTATCTCTTTTGGCAGGTGTGTTTTTCACAGACATCAGTAAAGATGGTTAAGATGTATCAGTCAGTATATATTTTTGTAAATGTGTTTATTCTGAAAACGTACATTGTTTTCCCAATCCAACATCTCTGGCTTTGTATAAATCAAAGTTGACTCGTATGCTATTGACTCTGTAGGCTGCTGGAGATTTCAATGGACCTGTAAGCCCTGTTGGGTTCATC
This sequence comes from Homo sapiens, assembly GCF_000001405.40. Lineage (NCBI taxonomy): Eukaryota > Metazoa > Chordata > Mammalia > Primates > Hominidae > Homo > Homo sapiens. The sequence goes on from NC_000004.12 coordinate 57,407,193, forward strand.
TTCCCATGTTTAAAAAAAGGAGAGATAAAGAAGGAAACCTGTTTGATCTCTACCTTACCTGGGGAGAGGATAATGAAAAAGAAGTAGAAGTAGAGGGCTACATTTAAATTTCAAGAAATGTAAGCAATAGAAAATATTAGATGTGGCTCCAACCCTTGCAGAATCACTGGTTTCTACCGTGGACAGGCTAGGGAAAGAGATAAAAATGGTTTACCCAGTTGCTTTCACAGGTCTGCTTTCCTGGGCACTCTTTCTCTGGGGATTCAAATGCTTTGTCACATACGGAGGTGCAAGTGCCATCCTGGTTGTGTGTTGAGGCAGAATTAGTCATACTCCTTGTCCGGTGGCCCTGGTCTCAACTAGTCAGGCTGGATTCAGACCCAGGGGAAGTTGCACAGAGCACACTTGAGGGTAAACATGGGAGGCTGCGGGAAGGAGAGCTCCGTCAATGTCAGACGGCGTCAACCTAAAAACCCACTGGACTAAAATAAAGCATGAAAGCTGGAGCTGATTTTCTTCCTTCGGGCATTATTGCTGTCCACCCAATTCTGAGCTGTCACTGTATCTGCTGAGTGCATTTCCATTCCCTACTGTGTGGGGTGCTGGCTCATTCTGGTTGCAAGTCCATTTTAAAGACAGGCCTTTGCACGACTCTATGTTTCTTGGCTAATTAATAATATTAAAAACATTAATAAGAAAAAATAATAATGCTTTTGGACACATCACACAGCAGGACATTAACAAGAGGAAGGCTTCATCAGCTGAGTTTTTATTTTCATAACATCCATGAATAACTGAACTCAGAATGAAACTCTTTTTTCATTATACTCAGAGCTCTGATGTGGAGATGTAACATGCTCTCTAGGGGGAATCTACTCCACATTAAACTGTATTTAAAAAAATTCTACTGATTCTTTTGATCTAAATCTTTTGCAAGGAATTTTGAGCTCATTCTTTTCTTTCTTATTCTGGATTGTGGAGATAGAACACAGTTCTCAAATTCCATCACATGTGACCCGCTCCCATTTTAACCTGGAAAATAGTGACTTTGTGGGAATATTCACTGGGACAAACAGGAAATGTAAGATTGCCCTCCATTTGCCATAGGGATGCTGCCACACTCTGTATTCTCTCTGCCATTATGATTTATATTCAAGGAAAATGTAAACTGATCTTAATATTAATTGAATAAAAATTATAAGCAGGAAGGTAAATTCTATGCAAATACTAAAATGAATTCCTAAGGGTATATACACAAATAGCATATTTTCAGGGGTTGGGATTAACTAAACCGTGATTGCTCTTGCATGGTGCTGAAAAACAGGAGGACACAATTCAATCAATATATATTTAAAATTGAGCTGTTTCCAATTTCTTTCCTCAATGACCTAAAGTGAGTTGGTATCCTAGCTAGAAGTGAACATTTTAACAAGAGTTAATAAAGTCTGTTGCACTGACACTTTGCATACAGAATTATTGCCCCCCTTTGCTCTCAATGTGTTACTTCAATTTAATTAATTATCTTAGGAAAATGATTCAAACTGAAAAGCTATTAAGAAATCTCTTCACTTGCTGAATTAGTGAGACAGCAAAACAAGATAAGATGTGTTTTTATTACGTAAAAAATGACCAAGACAAGAAGACTTCCCTGGATTTCATAGGATCACAATTCTAATTGGTGTTTAATTTTGTGAGTGTGTGAAAGCTCACTTGGTCTTATAACTTTGTCATTCTATGCTTAAATTGTTGCAATGGCTCCCATTGCCTGGGATAGACTGAACCTCCCCTTGGTCATCTGACTCTTGGGCACTGACTTTTTGTCATCCTCCTTCTTGCACTTGATATCTTAGCCTCAAGGAATATGAGACATTTGCTAAGTTTACCATTTTTGTTTCTCTCTTGGAGTGTTTTTTTCATCTTACTGCTTTTCCTCTAGCCCTAGAATTCCCCGTTTTCTCGTTCTATCCACTGGAATCTTACTATATGACCCACCTCAAGTGTACACAAAAAATAAGATCCATTTTTGTACTTGAATTGAATTGTTTTTTTTTCTTCACTCTTTTAGCACAGTGGTTCTCTATCTTGGATGCACATGAGTATCACTAGGAAGTTGAAAAAAATACTGACGCTTGAGTCTCACCTCCACACCTCCATTCTGTGCACAAAATTTTCACTTTAATCTGAACAACCAGTAATAACTTTCCAAAATCTTTCCAGACACATACACCTAATATCTCCTTTCAAGCACGTCGATGAAAGAACTTGTTGATATATCAAAGGGAGTTTGGATGTAAATGAATGGGGTCAGATCACTCCCTTGGATCCAGTGGTGGTGGGAGAAGTCTTCAGTGCAGCTGCCCTCCCTGCCACTGTGGTACCAGCCAGGTGGACTATCCTTATGTTGTGAACTGTGAGGTGCATGAAATATTCAGGCCACCAGGCAGTAGGATAAGTGGGAAACATGGGAATTAATAGGTAGTCATACATGACAGGTGTGGGAAATCAAGCCTGAGCAGCCCTGCACTACAGCCTATCGAAATTAGTCTGAAAGCTCTTGCTACAGTGATTTTTGTCATTCGCCACGTGTAAGCTAGTGTCTGCGATTATTTTATTTACATTATAATAAGCTCACTCATGTTCTCTTGTTCATATACAGTGAACCTCACAATTCTACCACATTGCTTTTGTTGATTTACTCTCCCACTGTTGCTGGTGATTATTTTACAACATTTTCTTTCTCTTCATATTTTCGTTACTCCCTCCATAGTTCTCACTCATGGCTGATGGTCTTGCTTTCTACTTTCCTGAGAAAGTTTAAGGCAACAGGAAAGGACGACTTCAATCTTTCACCAAGTAGTTTACCAATCCACTGAATGTGTACTGAGGACTTTGTTTTCTGTCCTGAACCCCTGTCCCATTGAAGGCAAAATCCTTCACTCTTGTAGCTGATTCTGCCCCTCTTTCATCTTTTTAAAGACTCTGCTTCTGCCATGGGCCCTCTTTACAGCTTCATATTATGATCCTCTCTCTAGGTCACCCCAACATTCCACAGACAGGCTGTGTCATCTGTCATCCTAAGAAAAAATATTCTCCCTTGACCCTTCATTTTCTCCATCAACATGTTGCAGTGGCCTTCCTACTAAGGGAAACATCCTACTAAAGGGAGCATTCTTTACCCAGGGCTCCAGCTGCTGTGCTTTGGAATCTATTCTCCCTTTGTACCGAGGCAATGTTTTCCACAGACTACTCCCTGCCAATGACTGAGTTAGGCAGTAATACTAAGACAGAGCCCTTCTTGGGAGACACAGGACTCCTTTGTTGGCCAACTCTGGCTTGAGAACTAATAGCTTTGTCAAACTTTCCATGAACTGCGTGGCAGCCTAGCCTGCTTCCACTCATTCCTGTCTTCCTTTCTCCTCCACTAAGCCCACTGAGCCTCAGACTTGCATTAGCGTCTGACAGCTCCCCAACCTCTTTTAACATAGGCATTTCCCCATAATAAAATCGTTACATGTTTAATCCAGGCTTTGAGTCTGTTTTGTGAAAGACCTAGACAAACATACTTCTCCAATTCCTTTGCTTCCTTTCATAGCACAATTCCTCTTGGGAGTTGTCTGCCCATTCTCTCCTGCCAAATCTCTCTTAACCCTCTGTCATCAAGCTTTTACCCTCACCACTCAGCAGAGCTGCTCTTGTTCAGTCATCAACAACTTCCATGTTGCCAAACCCAGCTATTGGTTCTCACTCTTCATTTTTCTCATGTACCAGCAACTGCTGCCATTCCCCTTTTGAAGCACCTTTTCCAGTTTGTTTTCAGGATGCCACCCTTTCCTCCTTTTCCTTCGATCTCATTCTAAAAATCCTTTAATGGCTTCTTCTAATTTCTACCCCTAAGTGCCAGAGTGTCCTTCAATAAAGCCTCAGATCTCCCCTCTCTCTACTCTCCCTTAGTGATGCTGACTGAACAGGATAAATGATATGTAAATATCATTTATACATAACTCCAAAATGAATATCTCTAGCCTTAATATTTTCCCTGAAATTCTGGCTTGTGTACCCATCTCCCTTAAGTTGTCTAATATGTGCCTTCAATTTAACATGCATATCTTAAGGTGGCCCTCTAGAAAGTAGAGCTTGAAGCCAGCATAAGATGCTACTACTTTATTTTAAATGTGAAAGTCCAGGTTGTAGAGGCAAAGATGCAAAGGAAGTGAAACAAGGAAGATAGGAAGACGCAGGGTTGGCCATGAGATGCATTTCTGCTTGGTCCTAGCAGTAAACCAAGCTATGAAGAAACACAGCCGGTGGCCCTCAGGCTTGTTTACTTGGCACATAGATTTCCTATAGGATAGTAAGGAAGAGCTGCCCTTTAGGGTAGTCATAAAGAAAGAGAAAGGGAGGGAACTTTATTTGTGTTTCCCTCCCATCTTGCATTTCTTATTGGTCAAGTTTCACCCATGGAGAGCTAACTTCCCCAGTGCTTCTGGGTTGTCCTACAGCCTCAGTCATGCCATTTGGGAAAATAGATTTTATTACCGTTGGTGTTGAATTTTACCTAAGTTCTAAAGTGGACCTGGCATAGGTGGGTTCCAAAGTAGAGAAAAAGAAATTGGCAGTGATGGGGATCTGAGCTGGTATACAGGGGGTGTGACCACATGCATCATCCAAAAGAGAACTTGATTTCTTTCCCCATCCCCAATTAGTCTCCTTGCTCCTACTTTGCCCTCTGAGACTATTCTCCAAATAGCAGCCAGAGTGATCTTTAAAAAATCAGATTGTATATTCACTCGCTCTAATCCTCCAATAGTTTCCCGTCAATAGCTTTGGATAGAACAAAATCCAAAGTCCTTCAAGTGGCCTACTAGACTCTCTGGCTTCATTTCATGTAGCTCCCCCCACATCCTGCAGCTCCAGTCACCTTCCTACCTGTGCCATGCCTCCATCGCACCAAGCTTGCCTCCACCTTAAGGGCAGTGCACATGCTGTTCTCGCTGCCTGGAACTCTCATCCCAGATTTTCCCATGGGTCTTTCCCTTACTTCACTTCTTTGTCTCTTTCAGATCACCTCTTTAGTGAGGCTTTTCCTAGCTATCCTATTGAAAGTCGGAGCCATTTTCATGTTCTTTCTTTCTGCTCTGTGTTTTCTTCTAAACATGTATATACCCAATATTATGCTGTATATCTATTTCTTTGAAGTCTGTCTCTCACTAGAGTGTTAGCTCCATGGGAGCTGGAACTTTGTCTATTTCATTGCTGTTTCCTCAGTAACCAGAATAATGCCCAGCATATAGTTAGCATTTGGTATGGCATTTACCATTTATCAAGATATGTCACCACTTAACTTTCTTCTTTTTCTCTCTTTTGTGTTACAAAGATCTACTCACCATAAACAGAAGAAAGTTCCACTATACAAAAATGAACTGTGTAGTTCTAGCCACATGCTTACAGGGCCAATTTCCCCCAGTTCCTCATTAAGCAGCTTTGTGCAGCTCTAGCCTCCTAGGTGCAAAAGGAGGCCATGAAATTTACTTTGAATAATGCGCAGGAGGGTCTGGGTACTGAGCCTACGTGACAGTCCCATTCTTGGATCTTGGTGGGCTGCTTCTGGTCTGGTTTTTTGTGTTGTGTCGGTGACTCAAACCAGAACTCCTTGGGCACCCACAGGTCCTATAGAACACGGCATGCCCAGCCCAAGATTTCTTAGGCAGTCCTGCTATGTGAGACCAGAGTGTGAGGAATACAGCTTTCTGCTGGGTAATGAAAAGAAAACATTATAATAAGGACTCACATTTGCAACATCTGTTTCATTTGGGTAATTTTAGATGGCTAAAACCCACATCTCAGAATGATGAGGGCTCCTATCATCTTACAAATGATTGCTTCGACATCTCTAAGCACTCACTGCAGTAATTAATAGACTGTAAGGGCTGAGAAGAAATAGGACCCTTATTAAGCTCAGGAAACAGCATCCCTCTGGGCAAACTGACATAGAAGAAAACAGCGTCATGGTTTCTCTCTCCTAGAAAAGACTGAAAAAAAAAAGTCTCTCTTTCTCTCTTTTTTAAAAACATGTAGTAGTGAGTTAAGGATTTTAATATTTTTGTTAACCTTTTCTTATTCAGATAGCATTGCTTAATCAATCCTATCAGCTCTCAAAAGAAAAACAACCTTATTCAAAGACCTTTACAAGGATAAAAATTGAATTTTAAAGGTACCAACAAAATTCCATTTTTACCAAAATATTTTTTCAAAGATAACAGCAGAAATGATAGCACTTTTCTTCATAGTATTTCTGGGTAGAAACATAAGAGAGATTGGCGGCTGTTAATTGTATTACACAGATGACGAAAATGAAGCCCTGTTTAAAAAATATGTTTTCGACTTTTCTATCTCTCACAGCACTTCCTATAGTACTTTCAGCAAGGGCATGACTGTAAATGTAGATGACAATGGCAAAGTAGGAAATGTACTTTCATTTTATAAGATGTGGATGTCCTTTAATCCAACACATTTTATTCTTTTTAAAATATCAAAATAAAACCCCTCCAACTGAAAATGAGAAGATGGAGCAATAACTTTAAAATTTGTGTGAAATTAAGTACAATCTAAGTCGGCTTTTTGTCGAGCCTAATTCCTATTTGTGTAGCTCTGTGTGTTAAACAGAACACTTTGGCATACATTATCTCATTTCGTCCTCAAAATATTCTCTTCTGAATTGGATCCCAAAAGCCTTCTCAGATGCAGAAAAGGCTTCAAAACACTTTATTACCAGGTGGAGGCTGATACCACCCAGCACACTGAGATCAAACAGTCTTTGGGAAGAAGCGGTTTGCTCCTCATGACCTTTCTGCCAGGTATTGGTCTAGGGTATTCCGTTTGCTAAAAGATGTTGAATGTATGTCAATACATTGAAGTGTGATACTGCGTTGTTATGTTAATCAGGATTGGATAAGTTATGCTGTAGTGACAAACAACCCCCATATCTCAGTGGCCTCACAGAAGAAAGGTTTGTTTCTTGATTACAAAGTTGAGTAAGTCCAAGTGACGTTTTGGGGATAATGAATGCTCTGTAATTGCTCCACTGGGAACCTGCAGCTCCTTGGTCATTGCTCAAGGACGGACTGTGTTAGGGTGTTCATTCCAGCAGTTAAATGCTTTGCCCTGGGAGTGACACATATCACTCACTTCTGCCCACCTGGACATGAAACTGTAATCTTCATATGTGCCAGGAAGGAGAGGAAAACCAGATGTGGGTGACGTAGGGATTTCTACTACATGAATTTTTTTCTTTTATCGATCAACAAAGACATATTAAGTTTTGGCTTTAACCCAGAGTAAACTTAGCCAAACCAGTCAAGGCCTATGGCCTTCATCCACTAAAAGTATTACAAGTGTTACTCTGTAATGGCCGAGGTGATGCATTTTTAGAACAATTATGTTTGGCCTCAAATTTTCCCTGATATAGGGCTATAGTGATCTCAATAGGATGCCAAAGCCACTGAATATGTTCAGTGAATTCAGGGGGAGAAGAAAATTGGCCTGGCAGTTTTGATAGTGTGCAGAATAAATAATGAGCTGATTGTCTGCAACATTCATTTTCCAGTGCATCAGTGAACACTGTGAGAATTGCTTTTTAGTTACATTGTTTTCTTTCAGGAACTGTAGAAAGCAGTTACAGGGATTAGGAAGAAGACAGAAAGGCCGAATGTTGTAGATCATATCGTTGAGGGTTATAACTTTGTGCTTGAGACAAAATTGCCATCTCTTGCAAATGTGATTTTGGCCTCCTCCAGGTTGATCTTACATGGGCTAGTAAACTTGGTTTAAAAAAAAAATCACTGGTTACTAAAAGAGAGTGTGTTTGCTCTACTTAGGAGTGAACTCCCTCTTGATTGCCTTAGTCCAAAACACAGGGATGGGGTTTTAAATTTGGTGCTCATCATTGTAGCTTGTAAAATTCAAATTCCAGGTCTCTACTCTCAACAGTTTTGGATCAGTGTTGTGGAACTTAGGAAATCATGTTTTTAACAGGAATTTCAGTTGACTCTGATGTTTGCTAGCCCACAGACCATGTTTTGAGAAACACTGAACTAAAGAAAAGAACATGGATGGGTTGGGAAATGGTCAGAATCTTGTAAATTCTGAGCAGACCTCAAAAATATTCATATTGTCAGGTAATTTGTTCAATATCCTATACAAAGGGCTTGGAAAACAGTCTGCATAGTAAACGTACAACAGACTTTTCAAGATTTGACTGCTAGAGACTGCTGTAAATTTTCTAAATAATCCGTACAATGGTTTTAGGCATTCCTTTTAGTTAACAGTGAGGGCTTTCCACCCACCCCATTTACTAGTGCCCTTTAGGATTGTAGAAAAGAACGCTTGGCCCTCAATGAGGACAATGGAAAGCAAGTTGAATGAATCCCTAAAAGGCATATTTTACTTGAAAAACATGCATTATGCTCTTTTCCAAGTAAACTGCACAGAAAAATGTAAATGAAGCATGAAGCTCTTATGAATTAGACCCTAAGCATTTTTCTTTTTAGCATATAAACTGCCACTAAGGATGTGATAGGAATGCATTTTCCACTATTTTTCAAACTGTAATTACATTTCCCTAGTAAAACTCAAATACTTGATATGGTCCTGTTGCAACTGTACCAGACAGGTAATAATTGGAAAATTTAACATAGAGCTTTATCTCTTAAATGTTAAAAGGTAGGGCTACTCACAGCATACAGAAGAGATGGCATTTGATTCAAAAGCTGTGAACCTGGTGATTCTCTATAATATTAATTTTGCATCTGGAAATATGTTCCAAAGCTGTAGCACTCTTTTAAATACATAAGAATAAAAAACAAATAATTCCTCCTTCAACCTTTACCTAAAACATCCTATAATCTCTATCTAGCTTTCAATAGTTCCATTTTTTTGTTCACATCTCCCGTATTTCAGGTTGGAATGTGATGCATTTGAGTCTCAGAGCAGTACATTACCTTATTTAAGTAGCAATGGAATAAAGTGAAGCAAAAAAGAGGGAAATTCTCTGAGGAGCATCGTTCAATTGTGTATCCAAAGATCACCAGAAAAAGGCACACAGTAAAACGTGTATAGAGAATTAAAGACTTGAGCAATGCTCTTCCCATCTATCAACACAGTTGACTTTGTTAGTCAACATTTTAAAAAGTTACTGTCTTCTTTTTATTCAGCAGCTCTGAGACTTACACTGCGTTAAGCATGCATACACCTACATGGAGAACAATGAAAAGCTCTTTCAGACATCTATGTGTTTTGATAATACTTTTCTGGGGACAATGCAAGTTAAATAGTTTCCACATAAGTACATCCTATGCAATTTCTATGGGAAAACTGTAGATTTGCAACTTTAGGACAAAGCCCATCATTGTCTGTAATATGATCATACGTAGTAAGATGCTTTGAAGAGCAATGACATAATTCCTTAGATCTCATGAAATCTTCAGCCTGACTTTGCGTTCTCTGCTGGGGAAACTTGGATGTTTTTGAGTGCATACGAAACCAAATTCCGTGGGCCTTTGACTTACTTGAGTTTTTTATAGGTTTCACCCAGACCTGATGCATCTCGTTTTTGTGTCTATCAAAAAACAAAAAATAATTTATTTCCACATATTCCATTTCACTGCTTATTACTGTGCATATTTGATTACAAGAGATTTGCAGCAGCACAACTTTGTAAGTGTGAATTAAAGTTATGATTCCTGGAAGGATTTCTCAACTTTGAACACATAAAAAATAGTATAACTAAAAATAGTATAACTTTAATCCCCAAACTAGAGATCACATTCAGCATCCTCCAGTAATTCAGACTGGAAATGGTCTCATACAGTGGAAACATGTAGCTTCTGACAGCTGGAGAAGCAATGGAACATAAGGATCCATAGCTCAGGTTTTTGAATCAGACAAGTTTTAAATCTCTGCTCTACTATTTACCAGCAGGCTTGATCTTAGGATTATGCTCTCTGAGCTCAGTTTTCCCCGTGTGTAAAATGGATAAGAGAATAGTTATAATACATAGGACGTGCTAACTGCTATATCAGACTCATAAGTATGTAAAGGTTCAGACACAATGGAAATGAGATTTTTCATTAATAGTACTTGGTAGTGACCAAAATGTTTCTTCTCCAGTTAGTCATTCAGAGACTCAGGCTGAAAGAGGTTTTACTACCTTTAATATGTAGCTTTCAGGGTTGCTTTAGAGCAGTAGTTCTCAAATATTTTCTCATTATTTCTCCACTAAGGAGAAAAATTAAATTAATTAAACCCAATTAATTTAAATTAATTAATTAAATTTCATTTAACTTCTCCCTAATGAGAGAAATTAAATGCTAAGAAATAAGATTTTACCAGGTAGATACGACCTTTGGAAGGCCACAAACCATTGCAATATCAAAGATTTTTTTGCTCCCCCAAGCAACAATGTTCACTTATTGGGAGCCATATTACCCACACGGAGAATGTATGTGTTGTAAGTTATCTCTGTGCTAGCATCTAGAAAGGGAAAAGAGAGTGAAGGAGTACATCTGGGAGATTTTAATGGGCCAGGCCTGGAAGTAGCCCATATCACTTCTGTTTGTACTCAATTGTCTAGAATTCAGTCACATGGTCACCCCTAAACGCAAGGAACATTGAGAAATGTAATCTAGTTGTGTTTCAGGAAAAAGAGAAGATGTATTCTTTGGTGAACAGCCAGTGGTTTCTTTTACTATTTTACCTGCTTTGTGTGATGTGTGGTGAGAATTTAGTTAACACTTAATAGGAATTAAATGTTTAGCATCATGTCTAGTACATTGTTAGTACTAAATACAATTTTTTGAATTTGCATAGGAAAAAAGGCAAAATTGAGAAATGTCGTCTCTCCATCATTTAATCTATCAGGGAATGAAAAGAAATAGAGTTTAAAGGAGCCTTGGAAACCATGTAGGCTGATCTTCCATTGACAGATTTCTGTTTGAGCATTTTTAGTAAAACAGAGGCAGTGCATTTCCTGGTCATAGCTTGAATTACATGAAAGTTTTCATTCCAGGCAAAAATCTATATCCTCAGACCTCCAGCTGTCCCAGTCTACCCATTATTTGCTTTGTCCTCTGAAATTGTTTACTCAACAAATGTGTATTGAGTGCTTACTGTATGACTAGTAGCACGACAGGCTTTGAGGAATCAAAAACAAATTTATGCTCCTTCCTTTTAAAGACTTGAAGCTTTCTACCCTTCAAAAGGTAGGAAACTTGGTCTTAGTCATTACTATGAAATATATCTTCAGCCCCTAGCACAGTGTGGGCATTTAGCAGGTGCTCAATAAATAGTTGAAAAAGTGGGTGTGACGGTGAAAATAGATAAGAAAAGCAGACAAGGTCAGAATAGGAAAATGAATTATATTAAGGAGGCAAGGACCTTCTTCTGGGAGAACAGCCAAAAGCATATGAACAAGGAAGCATATGAGAATTTACCATGTTAAAGAATGGGGTAGGGGGTTTTCTAGAATAGGAAATAGCATGTTTGAGGCTATTTAAGCATGTAGAGGTGAGGGTTTGTCAAAGTGTGGTAGATCAGTTGAATAGTGTCTGTCAAAAATTCATGTCTACCATGAACCTAAGAATATGAGCTTATTTGGAAACAGGGTATTTGCAGATATAATGGTTGGGAACCCAGAAGTTAAAGGAGGCAGGGGAAGATTCTTTCCTAAAGCCTTCGGCGGGAACACAGCCCTAATGACACCTTGATTTTGGACTTCTGACCTCCAGAACTGTGGGAGAAAAAAGAATTTGCTGTTTTAAACACCTAGTTTGTGTTAAATTGTTATGAAAATTCTTGGAAACTAATACAGGAGGTTTTTATCAAAGTATAGTCAATGGAGGTTTGGGGAGTGGGCAGTAACACTGTCCCACGAAACTCATGATGGCTCTGTTGTTGCAAATAAAGTGGGAACAATTTAAACTGGTTTACCAGATGAACTGATACTCTTAATGCCCTCTGTACAGGATACTGATGGATACCCACGCTTGACTGAACACTTCGTGCTGGTAGATTACTCTGTGGCCCAAATACTACTTTCAGGAGTTGAGCTGTGTGCTTACCAAGAATCAATTGTGTTTGTTCCCAAATCTGTTTTTGTCAATTGTACTTGTAATTTTGCAATATTATTATAATATATATTTAATGAGTAAAGTATGAGTATGGCAGAAGAGTTATTTCTTTGCAAAATAATAAAATATTTTGCAAAGATTGGAGTTTGATTTAAAAATTGTAAAAATTAAGAAAGTTTTTGCAGTCAGATTGCGTTTAAAGTGCCCTAATGTTTTGCATATTAAAAAAATTGAAACCGCCAATTGTAAAGGAGGCATTTTGGGAGTGGTTTATACAAAATAAACTTTGAGGAAATTTAGTTAGTGGCTGCTCCATTATATATCAGAGGTGGATATATGAATGAATGTATACTTACATATTTGACATTTAAATAAAATATTTAAGATATGTATTTTTAATAGTTTTTTACTTGAACCAAATTTTATACTTACTTTTTTCGATTGTATTGAAAAAGAAAGTTTTTTTTATTGCGCATTGCTAAAAAAGATTGTGTAGAAAGGCTAACAAGTGCTCTCTTTAGGGATAATAAGTTTTCTTTCAATTACAGTGAGTGTGGAATAAATTTCTTTCTAACCTGACAGTGGCTTTATAACTTTAGAAGCTGGAATTTGTGTTCCTGGTGAAGGGGGACTCATGTTTCCTAAATAAACAATATCTTAAATAGATCTTATTTCCCACGCCTGGGAATCTATTTATCGCAAGGTCATAGAGGCTGTTATAGAGAGAAGCAGAGATGGAAGCAGGTTCTTCTTTTACTCTGTCATGTTCTTTACAATGTGCTTCACCAGCACAAAGGGAATTTTACACCAGCCACTTTTCTCTTTCTTTTTACTCCTCCTCTTCCTCCTCTTGTTACTTTTTCTCCTCCAGAATGTATCTTTCAAGTTCTAGCTCTTAGTCTGCATATGTTCTGTCAGAATGTCATCTATTTGCAAGTTGGAATTATCTTGTATGTGTATTTTTAGCATATTTGAGTTTCAAAGTATATGTTGCTTGGATAAACATTAGTATTTGTTTAAGTTCTTTGAACAATAATCAATTGATTGATTATTGAGGATGTGGCCTTGACATTGGAAATAGGCCAAGAGATAGGGAAATTTAGCCTGATTTGAAATTTTGTCATGGATAATTCATCAATGAATAATTACAAAACTATTAATCTGTCAGCAAACATTTTTTAAATGACTATCATATGCCAGGCACTGTGCTAAGTGCTGTGGAAGATAAACATGAATAAGAAAGACTCCTTCAGTCTTTTAAAACTCTGAAGATTTTATATTAGCATCTCTTTCTTCTGAGATCAAAACCAAGATTGCCAGGGACAGTAGTTGTAAGCCTTAAAACCCTGTTGGAATATTTAGTACCATATAAATGCTATTAGTGGGAGAGAGAGTGCTAAAATTTAGGTCTGAAGATATAAGAACACGCTTTCCAAGTTTGAAATCACCAGTTAACTATTCAGGAGCATATAAGTGCCTGGGCATAATATTCGCTTTGAGTTAGTGTGGTGTGTTGTAAAGAACACGAGAGAGAGAAAAAGAAGTGACTGTTTCTAGTTTTAGCTCGTCCAGTAACTGGCTCTGTGACCTTGGGCAATTCACTCTGATTCTTAGGTCCCCATATTCCCCTTAGTACTGATTGGGGTGAGGTGGGGTCTACAGTCTCTTCCAGTTGTAAAAATCTCATTTAGTGTAGAATTTCAAGACTGTTTAAAGGACCTAGAGCATCCTATATAGACTTTCTGAACTACTTCATTACCCTCACCACATAGTGTGATATTTGAAAGTATAGTTTTTGTCACAGAGACATTTTCTTCCACCTTGTTTGTACTCTTGTTGGAGAAGGAGGTGAAAAGAGGCCAGTATCTGCTTGGTGATTTGACAAATAGTTGAAGGAATTAGAAATTCTTAGCCTGAACTAGCATGACTGATATGATTTGGCTGTGTCTGCACCCAAAATTTCATCTTGAGTTGTAATCCCCATAATCCCCATGTGTCAAGGGTGGGACCAGGTAGAGGTAATTGAATCATGATGGGGGGTCTCCCTTATGCTGTTCTCATGATAGTGAGTGAATCTCACGAGATCTGATGGTTTTATAAGTGTCTGGCATTTCTCCTGCTTGCACTCAGTCCATCCTGCCACCCTGTGAAGAAGGTGCCTGCTTCTCCTTTGCCTTCTACCATTATTATAAGTTTCCTGAGGCCTCCCCAGCAATGCAGAACTGTGAGTCAATGAAATCTTTTTCTTTTATAAATTACCCAGTCTTAGGTATTTCTTCACAGCAGTGTGAGAACAAACTAATACAGTAAATTGGTACCAAGGTAATGAGGTGCAGCATAAAGATATCTGAAAATGTGGAAACAACTTTGCAACTGGGTAACACACAGGGACTGCAACAGTTTGGGAGGCTCAAAAAAATGTGGGAAAGTTTGGAACTTCCTAGAGACTTGTTGAATGGCTTTGACCAAAATGCTAATAGTAATATGGACAATGAAGTCCAGGCTGGTCTCAGATGGAGATGAGGAACTTGTTGATCACTCTTGCTTTGCTTTAGCAAAGAGACTGGTAGCAATTTGTCCCTGCCCTAGAGATTTGTGGAAATTTGAACTTGAGAGAGATGATTTAGGGTATCTGGTGGAAGAAATTTCTAAGCAGCAAAGCATTCAAAAGGAAGCAGAGCATAAAAGTTTGGAAAATTTGCAGCCTGATAATGCAGTAGAAAAGAAAATCCTATTTTCTGGGGAGAAATTCAAGCCTGCTCCAGAAATTTGTAAAAGTAACGAGGAACCGAGTGTTAATCACCAAGACAATGGGGAAAATGTCTCCAGGGCATGTCAGAGACCTTGGGGCAGCCCCTCCTGTCTCAGGCCCAGAGGCCTAGGAGGAAAAAATGGTTTTCTGGGCCCAGGGCCCCTCTGCTCTGTGCAGCCTTGGGACATGATGCCCTGCATCCCAGCTGCTTCAGCTCTAGCTGTGGCTAAAAGGGGCCAAGATACAGCTCAAGCCATTGCTTCAGAGGGTGCAAGTCCCAAGCCTTGGCAGCTTCTATATTGTGTTGAGCCTGTGGGTGCACAGAAGTCAACAACTGAGGTTTGGGAAACTCTGCCTAGATTTCAGAGGATGTATGGAAATGCCTGGATGTCCAGGCAGAAGTTTGCTGCAGGGGCTGAGCTGTCATGGAGAACCTCTGCTAGAGCAGTGCAGGAGGGAAATGTAGGAGCCCCCACACAGAGTCTCCACTGGGGGACTGCTTAGTGGAGGTGTGAGAAGAGGGCCACTGTCCTCCAGACTTCAGAATGGTAGATCCACTGACAGCTCGCAGCATGTGCCTGCAAAAGCCACAGACATTCAACGCCAGCCTGTAAAAGCAGCCAGGAGAGGGGCTGTACCCTGCAAAGCCACAGGTGAGGAGCTGCCCAAGGCCATGGGAGCTCACCTCTTGCTTGCATCAGTGTGACCTGGATGTGAGACATGGATTCAAAAGAGATCATTCTGGAACTTTAAGGTTTAATGACTGCCTTATTGGATTTTGGACTTGAATGGGGCCTGTAGCCCCTTAGTTTTGGCCATTTTCTCCCATTTGGAATGGGTGTATTTACCCAATGCCAGTATCTTCCTTGTATCTAGGAAGTAACTAACTTGCTTTTGATTTTACAGGCTCATAGACAGAAGGGACATGCTTTGTCTCAGAGATTTTGGACTTGGACTTTTGGGTTAATGCTGGAATGAGTTAAAACTTTGGGGGACTATTGGAAAGGCATGACTGTGTTTTGAAATGTGAGGACATGAGATTTGAGAGGGGCTGGGGTGGAATGACATGGTTTGGCTCTGTGTCCCCATCCAAAATCTCATCTTGAGTTGTAATCCCCATAATCTCCTTGGGTCAAGGGCTGGACTAGACGAAGGTAATCAAATCATGAAGGCAGTTTTCCCCATGCTGTTCTCATGACAGTGAGTCTCATAAGATCTGTTGGTTTTATAAGCATCTGGCATTTACCCTGCTTGTACTCACTCTGTCCTGCTTCCCTGTGAAGAAGGTGCCCGCTTCTTCCCTTTCCTTTACAAATTATCCAGTCTTGGCCATTTCTTCATAGCAGTGTGAGAACAGACTAATACAATGACCAAGGGAGAAAGACAAAGCAGCACGGAGTATTTGAAGGTGTGTCACTAAACATAAGCACTCATGATTCAAAGAATGGGACATGTGTTTTGTCTTCCAGAAGCTCCATTTGGTGAAGGAGACAGACACATGAAAAACAAGTGATGAGTCTCATGTGATGAGGCAGGAAGGACTGGGTACTAGACGACCCCAGTAGAGATAAAATGGGAATACAGGAAAGAAAGTTTTTTTTTATTCCTTAGAGAGCAGAACGCTAATAGATGGATCAAATCTACAGGTGGGCAGATTTTTACTCATTGTAAGAAAGGATTCTCTAATAATTTAAGTAATCCAGCATTAGAGGGCACATCTCTTGGAAATAAGTGGGAGACTATCTTTGCTTTCCACTAATCAAAAAGATGCTGGATGCATTTATTAGAATCTGCACCAGGTGGGAGTTGGATTCGGTGATCTCTAGCTTATCTTTAGAAACTCAAACTTTGTAAGACAACTTTCAGTTGACCAAATAGCTTCCTTTCATTGGATTCATCCTATAAGAGGCCACAGGGTAGATTTCATGTTATAACGAAAACCACCACCACTACCATCACAACAACAACAGAAAAATGAGAATACCTTATTGAAAAGGAGAGTCATTATTTCCATGGGCATTGCTATTCCCATTAAATAGTTCCTATTGTCTATAGACAGAATGCCTGATGCCAAACCAGGATAATAGATACAGAAAAAGTCCAAGAAAACATAATTCCTGAGCAAATAGTGGACTCCATGACTTCTGAAAAGGGGGATGCTGGAATGCGGCTTGCATAGAAGGTGGCTGTGATAGGATTTACACCAAAGTGCTAAGCTAAGATTTCCTTTGAGGCTATTGCCTTTAAGCTGCATGACTCACCGGCAAAATTCACAAAACAAAAATGTGATCACTGAGGATTATGCTGCCATTGCTGGTAACACGCTGGCAATGATCATAACAGGACTTGCCAAGCACACATTGACCCTGTGAGTCACATTGGTTCCCATGGAGATTAACACCATCAGCAGTGGGGGCAACAGCCCAGAAGTGCGATTGGCATTAGACAGAGAAGAGAAAAATGGCAGTATGATCCTCTAGAAATGCAGCAATTGGAATGAAAAAGGAGCATGGGCTGGCGTAACCCGGGAGAGAAAATGACTTGTAATGGCATAGCAACCTACTTCTCTTCCTGCAAATGGCTGGGGAAAAAGTGTGCTTCCTGGCAGATAGGCTACAATCTACTGTTATTTATCTGGCTATTTCCAGCAAGTTCTCTTCTTATCCTAGATAGCTTATCTCTTCAAAGGAGTCTGTCCAAGGTGAACTCACCATGGGCCAAGAGGTCCTGCCTCTGGGACTGCACATCTGATTAACATGTTGGGGCTTAGGGGTGGGAAGGGCACAGTTTACTTAGATATATCTTGCTAGGTTTAAATTTTCTTTCTGGATACAAATATTTTTTACTGTTATTAAAAAAACCCCATGACTTCAATTTCACAATTTTTGTAGTTATTTCATGTATTTTAATAGGGCAATTGGGTTTCTGATAATTATAGTCTATTTTTCCTTTGGAAGTTGTCATGGGAGGGGTTGATGCCCCACACCCTCTTGTCCTTTGCAACCAGGTCTACTTGCACACTTTTATGCAGGCTGCAGCAGCCTTGTGCATGAGTTGATCCCTCTGGTGCCCGACTTGCCAGCCCTCTCCCATACAGAGAGAGGAAAAAGTCTGAAGACACACATATTTCCCAAATTCAATATCTTGAGTAGCTGAATCATGCCCAGCTCAGATGAATCAGGGTATTTAAGGTGAGCTGCACTTTTTCTTGTCTCTTTTGTATCTGCAGTTGTGGAAAATGCCTGTTAGTTGATGAATGGTCAAACAGATGTAAGAAGAATAACTGGTTCCTAGCAAAATCAGATTAAACTGCCTCAAAAGTAACCAAGCTAAAATGACAACATGTCACCCTGGAAAAGAAGGAAAATAATGGCTTTCAAAGGAATGAGAAAGCACTTTTCAAGAAAATTAGAGTTAATAAGATATCTGAAGATGGAAAACATGCCATCATCCTTCCAAATGTTAGTTGTTGATGACTGTTCCATCTAGTGGGAGATGTCACTTGGCATAGAGAAAAATGCACTGGGCTGTTGATAACCATGGTCTTACCTGTACCATTGACTGTTGGTGAGGTGTTGGGTACATGTTCCAAGTTCACTGAACCTCCGTTTACTCATCTGTAAAATAAGCACTTTTACTCACACAGTCTCAGAGCACTGAACACTGTGCCTGAAAGGGAGGACACTCAGTGTGTGGTAGAGAAGATGATGATGGTGATGTTGAGGGTGACCACAATGATGATGACAATGTGATGATGACATAATGAGCCATCACATTAGTAAGGGTTTTCTAGAGAAACAGCCAATAGAATGTCCTAAGATATGCAGTTGGCAAGCTGGAGACCCAAGAAGAGCCAATATTTCAGTTTGAGTCTGAAGGCAGGAAAAGACTGATGTCCCATCTCAAAGCAGTCAGGCAGAGGGAGTTCCCTCTTGTTCTCACTCAAGGAAGGGTGAGTCGTTGTGTTCTACTCAGTCTTTTGACCTATTGGATGAGGTCTGCCACATTTAGGAATGCAATCTGCTTCACTCAGTCTCTCAATTCAAATACTAATTTCATCGAGAAACACCCTTATAGACACACTTAGAATTATGTTTGACCAAGTATCTGAGAATTTTGTGGCCCAGTAAGTCAACACATAAAATTAACTACCACAATTATGATCATCAAGGGATCTTGCCCTTTACTTCCAAATTCGGTGATTCTAATAAGGGTGCTTTTTTTTGTAAAGCAGTCTTCAAAAACTTGCTTTTTGTAAAGGTTCTGACTTATAGGAAGCTCAGAGTTTTGCATTCTTTTGCTTGGGGAAGCAATTTGAAAAAGGAATCTTACACTTTCAGAACATGCTTTTCAAAATCCTGTTTTCTGACCTCTTGCTTAATGACACCCAATCTCACGGTGCTACATTGTATATATCAGAGAAGCAGCCTAGCCTAGTGCCTAAGAGCTTAAGAACATTGTTAAATTCTTGCTTTGCCACGTACCAACTTGTGTAACTTTGGGCAAGTTACTGAACCTCTCTGTTTCAGTTTCCTCACCTGTAAAACGGGATGGAAATAGTGCCTATCTTATAGGATTGTTGTGAGGATGACATATGTTAATGCATGTAAAGTACATAGACTAGCACCTACCTGGCACAGGGTACACACCCATTAACTATCAGATATTATATATACAACTGAAAAATTAAAGATTTACAGTGGTACCACATTTCAATCCTGTTCATTTATAATCTGTTGTGAAACTTACCAGATAATATCTTTAATTGATGGTATTTTGTAGTTGTCACTCAGCTTCGGGATTTGTTCTCGAGTCTTCCTTGAAAAGCATTTGTGTGTGTGTGTGTGTGTGTGTGTGTGTGTGTGTAAAAGCCTCTGCTAATGAACGTTGATGCAGTGCATCTGCCCACCAGATGGCGCAGTGCTCCCGCTGTTCCGAGGCTCAGCTACCCTGAGGGAGGCAGGGAATTTTGATCAGCTTCTGAAGAATCACCTCATCTCTCCCCGCAGAGAGCACAGAGCACAGGACTTCACGTTATGTCAAGTACATGTCGCTAGTTCTTGTTTGTGACTTTGTAAGAACTCGTAGGCTATAGCATTATATTTTGCAAGAAATTTGTATTATAGAAAAATGATTCATAAATTAAATAAATTAAAATGGTCATATATATGTATGTATGTATATACACACACAGATATCAACATGTGCACAGGTCTAACATAGTTTTTCTGTCTGCAGCATCTCTTGCAAAAGCCCAGCTCCTAGAGAGCAGGAGCCTTCCCAGACTGTGTCAAATTACCTCGGGGATGGAGAGACTTACATGGCATTAATAGAAATCAAATGGCAGAGCTCGGGTTTCTGGTAAGAGCGGGTCCTGGCTCCTTCCTTACATGAAGACCTGTCCAACACTGCTTGCTATCTCCTCCTGTGCCATCTGAAATCTGTGCCTCAAACCGACCAGCAGCCTTCTAAATCTCTTTATTCTAAATTTGGCGCAAACTTCTTTCATCTGTGACTTTTGGAGTCTTCTGCTGCATCACCCCATGATCCAACTTGGAGTTGGGCTCTGTTTCATTGACTTACCAGCTCTCATCATAAAGAACCTTTTTTAGCCCCCAAAGAGTCTGAACAACAGACCTCCTCCACATGGAAATGGTGAATTGATCACACTGAAAACTATTTTGAAGTCAAGCAAGGCCAGCTTATGTCACTCTCCTGCAGCAGAGAATGACTTTCACTTGCTCACTTTCACACTTGCAACCTTCCATTTTCCACAAACTGTCACTGTGGTCTGTTAGAAATATAAATTATGTCATTTCACTCTTCTCCCTAAAACTCTTCATAGATTGCACATTCTTTATTCCTAACATCTTTTATACACTCATTTCAGAGTACTAATGGCATTTGTAACACTATTACTTGCTTATTTATTTTATAACTTCTCACCTAGAGTGTAGGCTCTAAGAGTGGGAACTTTGTTGCTCTTGTTCTCCAAAGTATCCCTTTGAGCTAATGCAAAGTTAAATATAGGAGACACTCAATAAATAATTATGGAACCACACTGTTCTTTCAGCTGCCTGCCACTTTTCATGACTTAGAGCCCCTAAAGTCCATATCCAAAGAAAATTACAAAGTGACGATAATGAAAAACAAAGAACAATGATCATTTATTGAGCACATACTATACACCAGGCATTTCATGCACAATAACTCTATTTCTTGGATTTCCAAGTGTGCTATTATCAGTTCAGTTTTATAAATAAGAAAGTTAAGGTGAAGTAATTGATCAGAAGGTACATGGAGCTGGGATAAAACCCACATCTCTTTGGTCTCAGAGTCGATACTTTTTCTTTTATTCTAGGCTCTGTCTTTATCACACTCTCCTTACATTTTCCCCTGACTCTGAAGACGTTATTAATGTTTATAGCATGGAATATAGTGACATTAGATAAATGTAGAATATATCTGCATATTTTCTATCCTGACTCTAGACACAGACATATCAGAAAAAAAGCTCTTTTTAAAAAATTAATAAAGCAACTATGTTGCTCTAAAAAAATCTTTCAAACTGTACAATAGCTTGTAGGCTGGTCTAGTGGCAAGCCCCTAGGGTCCAGAGGAAGTTTCATGCAGTGTAAAGCTTCAGATAGATCCCTGATGTCACCCTCATTTCATCTGCATTCTGGAAATAGAGAAGACTGAATGTAAAACAAATCCAAATTTATTTATTTATTTATTTGTTTATTTGTTCGTTTGTTTATTTTTTCGAGACTGAGTTTTGCTCTTATTGCCCAGGCTGGAGTCCAATGGCACAACCTCGGTTCACTGCAACCTCTGCCTCCCAGGTTCAAGCGATTCTCCTGCCTCAGCCTCCTGGGTTGCTGGAATTGCAGGCGCCCACCACCATGCCGGGCTGATTTTTTTTTGGTATTTTTTAGTAGAGACATGGTTTCACCATGTTGGCCAGGCTGGTCTCGAACTCCTGACCTCAGGTGATCCACCTGCCTCGGCCTCCCAAAGTGCTGGGATTATAGGCATGAGCCACCACCCTTGGCCAAATTGGTGTTCTTTCCTTTTCTTTCTTTCTTTCTTTCTTTCTTTCTTTCTTTCTTTCTTTCTTTCTTTCTTTCTTTCTTTCTTTCCTTCCTTCCTTCCTTCCTTCCTTCCTTCCTTCCTTCCTTCTTTCCTTCTTTCCTTCTTTCTTTCTTTCTTTCTTTCTTTCTTTCTTTCTTTCTTTCTTTCTTTCTTTCTTTCTTTCTTATCTCTCTCCCTCTCTTTTTTTTTTTTTTTGACAGAGCCTCGCTCTGTTGCCCAGACTGGAGTGCAGTGCCATGACCTTGGCTCACTGCAACCTCTGCTGCCTGGGTTCAAGCTATTCTCTTGCCTCAGCCTCCCGAGTAGCTGGGACTACAGGCACATGCCACCACACCGGGCTAATTTTTATATTTTTTTAGTAGAGACGGGGTTTCACCATGTTGGCCAGGTTGGTCTAAAACTCCTGACCTCGTGATTCACCCCCCTCAGCCCCCTAAAGTGCTGGGATTACAGGAGTGAGCCACCGTGCCTGCCCTGATGTTTTCTTAAGAAATGAGAGACACCAAGGCACAAGCATTCCTGTTTTGATGACCTGTTGAAAAGGTACAATTGCCCCAAGTGGAGAGAGTCACTTTCCTTCTACAATCTCAACCAGTACTTCAGTAATGCAAAAATGCAGGGGGAGCAGCACACTAGCTGAAGAGCAACTAGAGGCCAGGAGGAAATGCAAGGGAGGCTACCGACAGTGATGATGCCCAGCCTATGTGGCGGCACACAATGAAAGTCTAGTGCCCAGCAAAGGTGGCAGTACTGGGCAGATACAGAAGCTGCCAGCAGACCTGGCAGCTGTCTCTTCATGATCCATGCCTAGCAGAAGGGACAGTGATATCTGGCAGATGCAAGAGGCCTCTGACCAACGGGCTTTGTGCATGTGCAATCTCTTGGCATATGTTTCAGTGAGCTGATTTTCCATTTGGTCTCACATATCTTTCTTTTATCTTTGCTGTGATTTCTTTGATTTATTTACATTTTTATATATAACTGCATTCATTCTTGCTGGTTGATTCAAATCCTTGGAAGTGGAGTGGAGTGAGTGAGTTTGGAGTTACATCCCCTCCAAGAGGCATGGAGATAGCCTTGGAGACCCAGAGGCAAAGATGGAGAGATTTTGTCGGGGTGGGTTCTGTATTAACTGATGATGGTGGGATGATTACTGAGGATGTGATGCAATTTGCACTCACAGGCTGGTTAAGCTTGTTTTAGGGCACAAATAATACTTCTACCTTATCAGATAGTTGTGAGGACTGAATAAGACCGCATGTATGAAGTGTTTGATCGGTGCCTGGCATGCAGTAGGTGATCAAAAGGGTTAATCTCCTTCCCCTTCCTTATTGTATTCTCATGGAACTGTAGACTTCCTTAATGCATTGTACCATAGCAGCATTCCTATCTAAAAGGTACTTTTAAGGAAGAGCGTAATTAT
The DNA here is from genome assembly GCF_000001405.40 of Homo sapiens. Taxonomy (NCBI): domain Eukaryota; kingdom Metazoa; phylum Chordata; class Mammalia; order Primates; family Hominidae; genus Homo; species Homo sapiens. Next base: position 57,430,585 of record NC_000004.12, read on the forward strand.
TTGAATAGTCTATTAAGAACATTAAAATAGAAATCCACCTGGATATTTTCTACACTGGAATAAACCAGAATAATACTAATGCAGAATGTTTGTACCAGGGACTGTTCTGAGTTCTTTACATACATAAAGTACTTAATCCTATTAGGTGTGCACCTTTACTATCTTTGTTTTATAGATGAGGAATACAGGTGCCAAAAGGTTACATAACTTTTCCAAGGTCACACAGTTGGCTAGTGGCAGAGCTAGAATTCATATCCAGGCAGGGACATGCATGCATAACCCCTGTGTTTGCTGCATGGGTATGTTTAGGTAATAAAGCAAATATTGACTGAATGCTTTCTACAAGGAAGACAGTATGTGGCGTGCTGCAAGCTGCCTTGCTAAGCCCCAGAGGGGCCCCACTGACCATAGTCTAGTTAAATGCAGTGCATAGCCTGCACAGCTGTACACAGCAACCCTAGAGCACACCAAGATGTGATCCTTTGCCTGAAATCGGTCAGTCTGTAAAGCTGCCATTATGGAGAGCAAAAAATGTAGGAGCAGAGAGGACTGAAAGATTAATTTTGAGCCTTTTATCTATTTAAAAAGCACAGAGTTATGGGGTAAGTTTGTAGGTACATGTTTCAAACTCATAGATTTCCCTTTACGGGTGTCAGCAGGAGTCATGACTCGAAGAGTTTAGTGCCTGGAAGCATTGCTTTCTCGGAAAACAGGTATTATTTTATTTTACAGAGAATGTGTCTCCTATAATAGATTAAATAATACTTTCTTGGATGCATAGAAACTCAGAACCACATTAAGATTCCTATTTTTATAACTGTGTGCAATCTCTTGGCATACGTTTCAGTGAGCTGATTTTCCATTCGGTCTCACGTACCTTTCTTTTATCTTTGCTGTGATGTCTTTGACCTATTTACATTTTTATACATAACTGCATTCATTCTTGCTGGTTGATTCAAATCCTTGAAAGTGCAGTGGAGTGAGTGCGTTTGGAGTTACATCCCCTCCGAGAGGTATCAGGTAGGCTCTTGTGTGCAGTTCTCATTCACCGTACGGAATGACTAGGTACAAGAAATTGTGCACCAGTCAATGTTTGATGTAAATGTTTCCTGGCTATATTGGAAGGAAGAATATTTTTTCTGCTCTTTGTAGGGGAAGTTTTATTGTTCTTGTGGTAGATTGATTGATTGTATGATGACAATCCAGCTGTAAAGACCATCATTTTGACACATTTAATATTTCTTTTGGTCCACTGAGGGCTGGCTTGATTTTGAAAACAAAGAGCTGAAAGGGAAAGTCTACTTTTGATAGGGCAGCCATGGAAGTTTTTTACAACAAGAAAGCAGGTGGTACTATTGGAGTAAAGATCAAGACAACAGCATACAATTCCCCCAGGTCTACTCTGTTCTCTTTATGTGCCGTGAGATACCACATTTAACATCTGCCAGGCTTGAGACTTGGTATCTATTTCCACTGGAGAGGAAAGAAAAATACAGGAAAATGTTCCAGGAGATTTCCATCTTGCTTAGTCTTTATTACAACCTTAAAAGATAATCATTTCTAATATTTTAGTCAATAATATAGAGATAGTAAAGCTTTGGTGAGATTAAGGAAGGTGCCCAAGGTCACAGAAAAGTTGGGATTAGAAATTGGATAGGTATGGCCTCAAACAGGATCAGCAAGCTCCTATTAACATACAGTATAGTACTTGCCTAATAGCAAAACAAAATCATTTGCTACCATATCTTTGCTTATTGAAGCTATGAACAAAGAGGGAAATTACAGTACTTTCAGGGAGAAAAAGTACCTCTGTAGCCCTGTCTGCTGGTGCAGTTCATGTACAGAAAGACAACAGATCTCCTTGAATCCTGAACTGCTTGTCAGCCTCGAAAGGGTCTTTGAAGTGGCTTGTATATTGATTGACTGAAGTTGCATGTAGGGTGCGTTGTCATCAAAAGGCAAGGTACCAACAGGCCACAGCTGCCATTAGTGCTGCCAGAGGACAGCCTATTTGGACAAGGAAAATAATCCATTGCTTGTTGCAGAGGAAAATGCCTTTGCTCTGTGCTGCCTTCTTCTGACTCGGTTAGGAACTTATCAATCCAGAAGATAATATAACGTGACTTTGTTTTTCTGATTTGGTGTTATTATTTCAGTCATTTAGGGCATTGTACATTAAAAAAAAATCCACAGCATGCAAAAAGTATACAGTTTTATTTTCTAAAGGTGAATCACAGTCACTGCTATTTCTCTGAGAAAGCAGGAGGCTTAACTGCTATCATTGACCTTGGCCTTTCAGAATCCTCTGTGGCCATTGTGGAGAAAAGAGAGCCAGCATCATCGGTTCTAGATTAGAATAGTGTCTGCAAGTCTTAGAGGGCACCTTGATGCTTTGGCGGTCTCAATTCGCCACATGGGGTGAGAAAAACCTCTGTATGTCATGGGGACAGGGACTAGATAAACAATGCAAACAGTGTGTTTACAGATATGCAAATAAGCATGCAAATTAGACTCCTGTCGGCTTCATTTAGAATGTAATTTAAAATTAATTAAAAATTAAGAGGTAAATTAGACGCTAACATTCAACACCATATGGGAAAATATACATATTTATCAGAATGGCATATATGTATAATGCACGGGTGGGAGCCAATTGTGATGTGTGCAAAACTCCTCCATTTTGATATTGCATAAAATCAATGCGGGGAAGCCCAATATGTTGCAAGAATTATGTTTTAGCACTCTATGAATTAAAATTCACTCTAATTTAAGGATTAAATGAATATATTTTATGTGCATTAAATTCTCTGCAAACTTATACTAGCAGACATAGAGTTTCACAATTGGAAAGTGAAATGATAAATCAGGTACAGTTTACCTCCATATGCTATAAAATATCTGTGAAACTCATTTTTCTCAAATGGGGTCATTGAGCACATTCACCCTGGCAGGCCTTTTGCATATTGTTAATATGCGATCTATACTTGGAAAGTAATGATTTCCCTCTCTCAGTCACTGAGGAGTTCTGGGTGATTAATGAGTTAATGGCTGCATCCACACAAGGCCAAAACAACTCATTGAAAAGTGAAAAATTCAATCACTCCGCTGACTGTTTTGTCTACAAAGCAACCAAACTACCTCTGTGATTGATTTTCTTTTCACTGAATTGATTGCTATTTTTTGGCAACTTTGTCAAATTAACCAATTGTTTGATCCAACCAGAGTGCAGACCTTCTGTGAATGTAGCAAAACATTTTTATACTAACTTTCTCCCATCCCTGAAGATACACATAAGCAAGGAATCAACATATATATGCAGTACCTGTGTAAGAAAATTAGAATTATTCCATATTTTGGCTACCTTGTAGAATAAAAATTTAATTTTGTTCAGAGGGACATAGTTCTTTTAAAATAATGACAAGTAATGCAAAGGATCTTTTTTCATTTGATTTCAAAATCTTCAGACAAGGCTCTGAAATAAACCTGAATAAAGTGACCACAGAGTAGGCATATTATAGAGACAAAGGAAAACGAGCAACAATAATGAGACAAAAATAAAACAAAACCCCTGCAAAGACTGAAAGAGGTTTCAGAAAACAATGCAATGAATGAGCAAATTAGGAATTTTGAAGCACATTCTAAGAGCTAGAATGGCCAGTGTCAAAATTGGGAGATAGGTGTGGGAAGTAAAAGAAAGATTTAAGAAAAAATGTGTGTTCTTGGCTGATATATAGATGTACACACTGCCCTGATATAATTGAACACTCTGGACAAAAATAGCTTCTTGTGTTCATTTATCTCTGTTAAATTTGATTGCTTTATTTTTAATAATGCTGGCACGCTCTGGCTAATGTGATGAAAAATATTATTCTTTAAAATGTTGGAGTGGAGAGCAGGTTAAAGCACACCTGTTAAAGAGTCAATTAAAATTTGGAAAGGAAAGAAAGAAAGCTACATTGTTAGAAGCTTTGCTTTTAATTCATCCTAATTTGATGGTACAGCAGGTGTACAAAGAGGAAAGGGAAGTTCTCATTATTGTTTGCCTCAACTGAATACAAAGAGTCGTGTTTAAAAAGGATAGAAATTTATTGAAACAAATGGTATTAGAGTAGAAATGAGTTCTGCCATCACTTACTTCAAACCTTCTTAATTTACAGATGAGTCTCCTGAGGTTCAGAAGGGTGAGATGACACATTCAAGGTCACATGGCTCATTTGTGTTGGAGTCAGAAGTTTCCAGATTTCTTGACTTTTAGTCCAAGGAGCAGTCCCTGTGCATGTGTCAGAGTTGAACAAGCCAGGTAAAAATTTTAAAAGTTAAAAGAAAAAAGTATGAATTCATTTCAAGAATTGTATTTGAATAGAGACTGCAGTAGACAGAGGTTCTGATACTGAGACCTAAGAAAGTTGAGGCCAGGTGAGAGTCCCGTTTCTGAGCTGCAAAATTTAATGTCACAAGCAGTTGCAAAATTGCGTCTAAATGGGCCTCCCAGGTTCCAGGAGAGCAGATGGTCCTGAAGAAGGTCTTCCTGGCTGATCTGAGAGGTGACACAGAAGAATAAAGAAGGGAAGGATGAGATGAGCTTCTGAGTTTGGAAACTGCATTGATGTTGAAGATGGTCTCAAAGTTGTGTAAGCAAATTTCCATTTTTTGGAGAAAAAAGAATTATAGAAGAGGATTTTTTAAAAAAGCTAGTGCTACAAGTACTATAGTGCTGAGGGTAAAGGTGAAGGCAGAGAAGAATTGAGCTCAGATGAAGCCAGGCGATGTGGGAAACCTCAGACTGGGAGTGGTTATGGTTGAATTTGTGATAGATAGAAGAGGAAAGGTCAGATGTGCATTTGACTAAATGCCTTTTGACAAAGCATCCGTATAACTCTGATGCTTCTCTTAGGAAAATTGACAGCTTGTCACTAGGCATTGCAATTCCATTGTGGCATGATGCATTCATATTCAGGAGACACGACAGAGGTGTTTACCTACCATCAGCCTGAACCAATGGCAAATAAAACAAGGCAGGCATAGTTTTATTTAAAAGGAAGAGCTGCTTTTAATTAGATAATTGAAAGAATAATATTTTTCATCAGAGAATTTTCACAGGATCACAAGATGGCTTATATATTGATAGGATAAAGAATCATTTAGTAAAGGCACTGTCGGCTGGGGAGGGGGCTAAAGATGGGGGCTGGTTTGGCACTTCAGTTGAGCTTTCTTTTCCAAAAAAGAGTGAGAAGAGGTAGGACAGAAGACAGAAAGAAGTGAGGTGGTCAGCGTGTATTTTTCTTTTTCTGTTGTTTTTGCCTGAGGGTAGGGAGTAGGAAGACACGTAAGATATCCAGTGAGGATAATGGGTTTTTGTTTTGAGATTCTGGGAGGGGCCAACACTAACCATCATGGGATAGGCCCACATAGTTAAGAAGGGAGAGCAGTTGGTTGGAGAAGAGAATCTAGTTGGCACACTGAGGGTCTCTGGTTTCCTCTTAATGGGGATGCCTAGTCAAAAACCAACAGGTCTGATGTGGCAGCTGCGGGACACCTAAGCCCCCTTCCCCCTCCACGCACCCCCACACTCACTGCCATCATCGTGAGAGAAGCAGGGTAATAGGAAGGCTGTTCGAAAGAGCAATTTTATTCAAGAGAGACTGGGTATTCCCTAAAGCGGCTGTTTAAATTATTGGATCAAGCTAAATTTAAACCAGGTTAGACATTTAGTTAATTTATTTTTCTCTAACCAGCAGGTGGAAGTTCAGAGAAAGACAAGATTATAGACAAAATAAAGGCACTACATTTTCTCTGGTAAAAATGTCTCAACATTTTCATATCCTGTTGGTTTTCCAGGAAACATAGAAATACGCTGTAAGAAATAATCCCAAAATTGACGTGATGGATTAAAGATGAAAAAACATGCCTTGGAATACCTAATGGGAACATTAGTCTATCTCTACACCCAGATCAACATGACTGAATATAGCTTTCTTAAAAAAGCAGTTGAATTCAGCAAGGCAATTATTCTATTGCTCAATAAGACTTAATATTTGGATTGATTGAATTTCCTTTGCTTTTTATTTTGGAGTCTATGTTCATAGCCTCAATATAAGAGTGAAAATTTTCACACAGAAACAATACATAATCCAATAAAGAGCCAGATACAAGACATTCTTTTATTTGGAAATATTCAAGGGAGTGTTTAAGCAAGGGATGTCTTCTGATAGAGATAAGTACAGTCTAATTGGACAAATGTTGACAGTGCCCCATTAAGTGTGGGCACATGATAGGCACTGAGATCCACAGGGCATGAGGGGTGGAGGGGAGCACCCTGAGGAAACAGAAGTCATGGAGAATAATTCTGATTGAGGAAGTCAGGAGGGCTTCACAGAGGAGGAGACCTTTGAGCTGGGCCTTGAAGAAAGACTATGATTTACAGAGGGGGAGATTTTTCACAGGAAGGGCATTTGAGCTGAAGAAATATGGACAAAGGAATATAAATGAATCAGTGCCCACTGGGCTTACAGTCAGCCCAATAGTCTGATGTACCTGGAGTGCAGGATGGGTATAAGGTGGGGTAGGGGAGGTGTGGCCGGGAAATAATGTTAGAAAGAATGATTGGAGCTGAGGAATAGAGGGACTCAAATGGCTTGTGATTTAAAAACAACTGTTTGGCCAGGCATGGTGTCTCACGCCTATAATACCAGCACCTTGGGAGGCCGAAGAGGGTGGATCAGGAGGTCAGGGGTTTGAGACCAGGCTGACCAACATGATGAAACCTTGTCTCTACTAAAAATACAAAAATTAGCCGGGTGTTATGGCATGTACCTGTAATCCCAGCTACTCAGGAGGCTGAGGCAAGAGAATCACTTGAACCCGGGAGGCAAAGGTTGCACTGAGCTGAGATCGTGCCATTGCACTCCAGCCTGGATGACAGAGCAAGACTCCATCTCAGAAAACAAAATGAAATAAAACAAAACAAAAAACTCTTTGTCCGGGGGGATTTAGAAAGAAGGCCAGCACAACCCACTTTATCTGACACTGCCTAGACTTGGGAGATGCTGGTATCTCTGTGACTGGGGCCAAATGTAGAGATTCAGAGCCTGTGATTCTTGTTCTGGGGCCTGCAGTGTAGAACAAGTAGCCCCAGGTTTGTGTTGCTTGTGTGACTGTTTTGATGCGCTCCCTTGCCTTGGACTGACTGGATCTCCTATGCGTTATCAAATTTGCCCGGGAGACGCATGTGAGTTGCCACTCAGGGACCATGGACAGCCGCCATTGGCTGGAGGATCAAAGGAAACAGAGGAAGACTCAGTAAAAAGACATGCGGTCAACAACAAGCCCTCCAATGCCCATATTGGATAGAGAATAGAGGTGGCAAAACCTCAAAATAACCATAAACCCTGTTTTATGTATGAGGTTCACAGAAAGCAACAAACTCTTGCGGGTGTATTGCAAAATCTCTCTGAGGACGGGTGTATTTAATTTGTTATTTGAGTGTAGCACCTGTGTTGGTTCATTCTTACACAAATTCCTGAGGTAATTAGTTTCACAGAATATTGCCAGGTTGGCACATCTCCCCTGCTCTCATCACTTTTGGGAATATTGGAACTAGAAGACAGGTATTCTTATCGCAGAGTTATATTAATAAATTTAATTAGCATAAAACAACATTAATTCCGTGGCTGGCACCTGAGGCTGGAGAGTGCTCCGTTCCTTCACACCACCAAATTGCTGATCTTGTGAGTGTCTGCCAGCTAGCAGTTTTTTAAAAGCCAGAGTTATTGAGGTATAATTTACATCTAATAAAATTCCCTTGTTTAGGAGTATAGTTCCAAGAATGTTGACAAATATAGAGTTGTGTGATCACCACAGTAAGGACAGAGACTATTTCCATTATCCAAAAAGCCCCTCATGTTCTTTTACAGTCAATCCCCTCCACTCCCGTCAGCTCCTGGAAGCAACTGATTCCTGTCAGCATAGTTTTGCCTTTTTCTTAATGCCGTATGAATGAAAGCATGCCATATGTAGCCTTTTGATTGTGGTTTCTTCCACTAGGCATAATCTGCTTTTTGGATTCATTCATGTTGTGGAATGGATCGTTTTGTTTCTTTTTATTGCTAAGTAGTTTCCCATTGTACAACATAATGTGATTGAATTTGTTTATTCACTTACCATTTGATAAACATTTGGGTTGTTTCCAGTATCTGGTGATTAGGATTAAAGTTGCTCTAAAAATTCACCTACAGGCTTTCATGTGTATATATGTGTCAAATTCTTTTGACGACCTAGAAGTCGGTCATATGGAAAAGGGTATGCATAATTTAATAAGAATTTTCCAATTCTTTTTGAAAGAGGCTTCACCATTTTGCACTTGTACTAGCAATGTATAAGAGTTCCACTTGTTCCTCATTTTCTCCATCGCTTTATATTTTTAATTTTTTTTTTTTTTGGGATGGAGTCTCGCTCCGTCGCCCAGGCTGGAGTGCTGTGGCTCCATCTCAGCTCACTGCAAACTCCGTCTACTGGGTTGACGGCATTCTCCTGCCTCAGCCTCCCGAGTAGTTGGGACTACAGGTGCCCGCCACCATGCCTGGCTATGTTTTTTGTATTTTTAGTAAAGGCGGGGTTTCACTGCGTTAGCCAGATGATCTCGATCTCCTGACCTCGTGATCCACCCGCCTCTGCCTCCCAAAGTGCTGGGATTATAGGCATGAGCCACTGTGCCTTGCCTCAACATTTTTTATGTTATCCATGCTAACAGGTGTGTAGTGGCATCTCATTGTGGATTTAATTGGTATTTCCCTAATGAGAAATGATGTTGGGCATATTTTCATGTGCTTATTTGCCATTCACATTTTTTTTTTTTGTGGTTGAGGCATCTGTGGCATTGGTGAAAAAATAGGCATATAGATTAATGGAACAGAAGAGAGTCCAGAAATAGTCTACTCACATATGGGCAATTGATTTCCTACAAGGTACCATAGTAATTCAATAAAGAAAGGATGGTTTTCTCAACAAGTGTTGTGGAGAGCATCGGACATTGGTATAAAAGAATGAACCCAGACTTATACCTAACACCATATACAAAAAAATTATCCCAAAATGTTTTATAGACCAAAAGTTAAAACCTAAAACTGTACAAATTGGAGAAGAAAACCCAAGAGAACATGTTTGTAATGGTGGGTTAAAGAAAGCATTTGTAGATAGGACATAAGCAGCATGGACCATAAACAAGAAAGATTGGTGAATTAGACTTCCACAAACTTAGGAACTCTCACCCTTTGAAAGACACTATTAAGAAAATGAAAAGACAAACCACAGGCTGGGACAATATATTTGTGAAATACATATCTTACTAGGACTTACATGTGGAATACATAAAGCACTCTGAAAAGTCAATAAGAAGCGGGGCACGGTGGCTTATGACTGTAATCCCAGCACTTTGGGAGGCCGAGGCTAGTGGATCATGAGGTCAAGAGATGGAGACGAACCCGGACAACATGGTGAAACCCTGTCTCTACTAAAAATGCAAAAAATTAGCCAGGCATGGTGGCAGGCGCCTGTAGTCCCAACTACTCGGGAGGCTGAAGCTGAAGAATCACTTGAACCCGGGAGGCGGAGGTTGCAATGAGCTGAGATTGCACCACTGCACTCCAGCCTGGGGACAGAGCGAGACTCCATCTAAAAAAAAAAAAAAAAAAAAGAAAAGAAAAAGACAACCCAGTAAAAAATGGCCAATAGATTTGAACAGGCCCTTCACCAACTAACTTTTGAGGTTGAATGTGTGACTTTTTTTTCAGGCTGCCTGAGCACTGGTGCTGATGATCTTGAGCCGGATGTGTTCATTGTGACCTACCCTCTGGTCTTGCAGACCCTGTGCATTGTCCACCTCTGTGTGCTGGCCTCCCCTCCTGTGTGTCCCCAGCAAAGCACCTCTGTGCCTCCAAACACCAACTTTCCTGGACCACGTAACACCCCATCTTCACACAAACCACCCTCTTTCTCTCTCCTTCCTCCTTCTACCTTTTTTATTTTTTCCTAACAGGAAGAGCATCAGTTTCAGCTCTAACAGCTTTGTCGTACTACATAAGAAAATCTTTTTTATACTGTGAAATTTTTAGTACAGCCAGGGAAACGTGGGGTCTAGCTTCAGTTTGGAGGGTGTTGAGTGTCATGTACTCTGTAAGAGAGTAAAACTCTTCTAAAGTGCTCCCTTAAACTCTAACACCCAATGTTTCCGATTACTATACTTTCAGGCTTTATTTTTCTGTCGTGTCTCCAAGAGAAGAGTAAAGAGAAGAACTGGCAATGACTTGTGAGGGGCTTCACGCTGCCACTCTGAGTGGCACAATGCCCAGCTTGTGGTTCACAGTGTGCTCCATCTTGGTGAACATGCCTCCAGAGCTGGATGGGACCGTTCCTGTGGTCCTCCTGCAGCCGGCTGGTGCAGGGAAGCAAGAGAGGTCTGAGGCCGAGCTGGGCCCCAGGGGCAAGCTGCCGTCGAACATTTCCTGCTGCCATCCACCTTTCTAAGGGCAGGAGAATGTTGGTTTTACAGAGCTGGCAGATCTGACTCATAAAAATCACTTAACCCGGTATTTTAATTGCCCAGAATCCAGGTTGCTGCCTCAATTTTTTTTTTTTTGAGATGGGGTTTTGCTCTTGTTGCCCAGGCTGGAGTGCAATGGGCGATCTTGTCCCACTACAACCTCTGCCTCCCGGGTTCAAGCAATTCTTCTGCCTCCTGAGTAGCTGGGATTACGGGTGCCCACCACCACACCCGGCTAAAATTCGTATTTTTAGTCGAGACAGGGTTTTGCCATGTTGGCCAGGCTGGTCTAGAACTCCTGACCTCAGGTGATCAACCTGCTTCGGCTCCCAAAGTGCTGGGATTACAGGCATAAGCCACCATGCCCAGCCACTGCCTCAATTTTTTCGTAAAGGAGAAGTAGTCTGGAGCTGTGATTCTCCTTCCTGGCAACTCCTCAGAGCAAAAGCCAAGAAAAGAGCCTTAGGGTTGACTGAACCATATTATGGGCTGGCAGATTAAAATAAGAAAACTTGGCTTTTTAAAAATACGTATTTCACGCACGTTAGAGATGTGTGAGGGAGAGGAGGGCATTGTGTGGGGCCCAGGTAAGGAAATAGACTTCAAAATGACAACTCCTAAATCAGCCTTCAGTAGCTCATGAGCTTATTCACCGATAGTGGCTTATTGCACTTATGGATTTTCCTCCTCACCAATTAGAAATGTCCCAAAGATTCAGCTGGCTTGTCACTGACTGCAGCTCATTGTAGGGGCTCTTTGTTCTATGTTTAATTGCTGATTGCTTTTAGTACTGAATTTCAGATGGAGTAGGTGTGTGTGTCTGTGTGTGTGTACAAAGCTTTCATGTGAGAGCTTTATTTCTAGGGAATTTTGTGATTAAGCCTTGAACTATAAGATTTTAAACCCTTTTAGTAGAGGATCTTTCTTAAAAAATAAAAACTTGTCTTCTGCTAACAATCACGTTTCTGTTATCTGTTAAGTAAGAAAATGCAAAAAGATTCCATGACTTCAGTATGTCGAATTAAAGAAGAATCATACCAGCAATTAGAAGTGTGAGGCAGGACTGTAGACCCTTTTGCCCTAACTCCAAGGACCCTCAATTGGGGTGAGCCCACAGGTTGTAGAAAACGGATGGGCTGGCGTGACGTTCTTATTTTATTTTATTCTTTTCTTTGCTCCATTTATTTCTTTTGGAGCACTTATACTGCTGGCTGAGAGTACAAAATGAAGGTCATGGATCATAACATGTCTTGGCTGGAAGGAATCTCAGGCATCCTTCAGCCAGGCACCTGATTTTACGGATGAAGAAACTGAGTCCAACAGCAGGCGAGTACCTTGCCCAATTTCAGGCAGCAAATCTTGTGATGGAGCCAGGAGTGTTCCTGTTCCTACGCCTCTCAACTGCCACTTTCATATTTTTTCTTCTTTAGCTGTGTGGAGAATGGCTGCTTGTCTCCCTCATCCAAAAACGCATTGGATTCAGCTAACAGTTTGTATCAGTCTAATGCACCTATTCACAGATTCTTGTAGTATTAGAAATCTTGTTTCTCAAGTTCAGTTTATTTAAAGTCATATTTCAAAGACTTTGCTTATGTGAGCAGGCAGCTTAAACAAGACTCTCTCCTGGTTTGTTGCTTCTTTCCTAATGCACTGGTGCCTGGGAGAATATTGCTCAAGGACAAGACCTTAGGCAGCGTCCACCTGAAAGCAGATGTGGCTTTTCATTCCTGATCTTTCATCCAAGGTCTGTCTCCAGAGTGCAACTTGCTGCCTTCTGAAGCAGCAGTTGTCATCCCCAGAGCACCCTGACGAGGGCAGCCTTTACTTTCTTGTGTTTTACTGTTGCTGGAAAAAGCTCTGGTCTTTACCTGGAATGGAATGGGCTTGTTTGTCACCTAAGTGCAAATGTCATTTTAGCACTTCGCTGGTCACAACACCCTTTCTGGCCTTTATAGAAAATGACATATTCCTGTGTTCTTTGTCTCTAACACATGCTTCAGAAAGGCACGGTCTGTTATTATGCTTTAAAAGGTTGGAGAGAAAATGCAGAGACCTGTAGGCCAAATACCAGGGAGCACAGAGAACACAAATCAGGCGATTGTGTCACCTGGGCCTCCTGGAAAGTAGAGAAAAGAAAGGGTTGGCTCTGTGTCCTGTTGCTGTTAACAAGCTTTCCACTGTCATTTCTCTTTCTGGGGTCAGAAGGATATTAAAACAAGATTGGGCACTCCCGCAGCCACTGGCTTCCTTGCTTCCATCTCTCTCACTTCCCTTTCCCCCCTGCCCCCAGCCTCTCTTCCCCCTGCCCTCTTGTCAGCCTGGGTTGTGTGGCCCTAGCACTTAGGTCTCTTTATCAGCCCCTTGAGCTGTTCTTGGCATGGGTGCAGCAGCAGAGAGGTACTGTTGAAAGAGCGCCGAAATTGCTGGCAATAGCAGGTGCCAGGGAGGCATCGATCCGGCAGCATGTGACAACTTAGGAACGGAAGGTTAGAGCAATTTTGTGGCCTGTTACAGCGTTGCCTTCTCACAAGGCAAAACCTATGACAAGTGGCTCCATCCTACTTGGGTCTCTGAGACACTGAAACTTGCTTTTAATTACAATAATTACTGCTCCCCGCCAGGCCTGGCCCACGGTGGCCAGAAATACAGGGACATTCTTCACTAGCTGGTTTTCCCTCTTGGCATTTCCCCTTATTCTCATCCTACAGGACTTCCATCCAACATCACACTTGGATAATACTGTTACTAAATAAACACCGACACAGCACATCCCAAGCCAAGCATGCCCTACATGCTGTACTCATGTTACCTTATTCAATTCTCACCTCTCAACACTCCTTTGAGGGAGGTAATATTATAAGCCTTGTATTTTAAGATCAAGAAACTGAGACTCAGAGAGGTTAAACAATTTGCTCCAGGTCATGTAACTAGTGATTAGCAGAGCTGGGCTGAGCTTGGAACGCAGGAAGTCTGGCTCTCCTCCCTGTCTCTAAGCACCATGTTCTGTTATCCCCACAGTCAGCAGTGAGCTCCCTTTCTATAAGCAGAGAGGAAAGTTTACCTTAAGAAAGTATAAGAATGTTGTGCTGCATTAGTTTCTCCAAGATGTTCTGTCTTGAGAGGGAAAATGGATTAAATACAACAGATGGCAGTAACCATTGGCGTTATTAACCTCCCCTTCCAGCAGGACCACCCTGATTTGCTAGCTGTGTGCCATTGACTTGTGTGCCATCTGTCACCATGCACATTGTGCTGTTGGTTCCTCATCAAAAACAAAACTGCCCATCCTCATCTTCCTGTGGGGACTGCTGAAATGCTTCCAAGAACAAGGGACTTATCTTTAAATCAATTTATTAAACAAATACTGATAGTGTGTCTACTACATGCCAGCACTAGGCTTGGTTCTGGGGATATGGATATTCATAAGACATGGTTTTGCCATCTGGCATCACATGGTTTGGAGCAGGAGACAGATAAGTAAGGAGTAAGGTGACCAGGAGTTTGTCTCTTTGCACCCCAAGGCTGGGTTCAAGGAGATGGATGCAAAGTTCTTGCAAGTTGGATGTGACCCAGAATCTTAGTAAATAGAACTGTAAGTTCTGGACTGAAGAAATTGCCATCTATGCCAAGGAAGCTGGCCTGAGATATACTACACTATACCTCATTATAAACTTCCAACAGCAAAGAGAGGAAGTTGTGACCCATATATGAACTGGCTGGACGAAGCTTTAATTTCAAAAGCATTTTTCACTGCTCGTTTATCAATACCACCAGCAAACATCTCCAGGGAACAAGACTGCTATGCTCAAGTTTCATCAGGTTAACCTTGTAAATACATATCGGTCCCTTGGTTTGGAATCCTGACATTTCGAGGAATGTTCCTCTTGTTTTCCCATCATAGCTCACATATGCCACCAAGAAAGAAGAGAAGAAAGAAGATGACATCATTGGATGTGAACATGGAGGTGAAAGGGATGATGATGGAAGAGAAGCAGAAGCCATGAGAGCTAAAATGCCAGAAAAGAGGAGCAGAACAGGCAGGGCTGGCTGGGGCTGTGACGGGAAACACTCCAGGGCGCCACATCCACCCTTGCTGCTGCCTAAATGCATATTGTTCTACCGTTTACACTGAAGCCTATCAGGAATGAACTATTATTATGTCCACTTCATAGATAAGCAAAGTGAAGCACAGAGTGGATGACTTTTCTTAGGGAACATAATACCCAAGTGGTGGAACTAGGATTCAAACCCGGCTGTCTGTTTACAGATCCTGGGCTAATAACCATCCAGCACACTGCCTCTGCAAGTAAAGATGAACTTTGCAAGCTGCATATTATGACAGTGACAGCAGTGAGACAAGCACAGGTAAATATGAGGATGCTTGGCTGAAAGTCAACTGAAACCATGAAATGGTTATGCTCAGTAGGGCTGGCTTCGTTTTTCTATCTGGGCAGTGGCTATGATTTAGCCTGCTGTTGGAAGGTTCAGTTTCAAATTCAACTGAGTGCCACAGATGGCCAACTGTTTGGGTGGCAGGCAGGAGGCTTGGATCCTGGTGAATGGGACTTGGCTGTGACCAGGTCCACTGGCCATGAGCATGTCAGTTGAGGATAACTCCCCCTTTTCAGGACAGAAGAGTCCACTGACAAAAAGTCCTCATGCACAAATCCTGCCAGGGCTCTCTGTTCAGGCAGGAAATGGAATTCAGTTCAGAGTTACACAGTGCTGGACTGAAGAGGGAGGGCTCTAGGGAAACCACAGGCTGATCAACACAGGAGATGGAGGGGATATTTTCTTTCTAAGTGATTCAGTGAAGCTTGTCCTGACTTTTACTGCATTCCCTACTCCCCAGAGTATCTTTCCTCTGTGGTATAATAAGGTGCTGCAGTCATTTAGATGTCTTCCTCCTCCAATTGCTTGTGATTCTAAAGTAGCAGACTGTACTTTATTCACCTTAACATTTCTGGAGCCTGAGGTGGTGTCTGTCTAATCGTAGGGATTCGAAAGTACCAATTACATGAGTGGACAATTAAGGGATACATTTCTCTGTTAGTCCAAGAAGTGACATGTAAAACAAAACATCACTGTGTATTATGAAGATAAACTTTGTATTTTTTAGTAAACGTTCTGCCTGGGTTCTTAGAAAGGAGAGAAGTAGGTGTGAGAAAAAGTGTAGACTATTATACATGCAGCATGCATCCTACACGTGCGTGCACACACATACACACACACACAATTGTATTCATCATGTTTATTCCTATGCTGTTTTGGAATCTGGAAGCGAGAATGTCACATCAGGTGATTGTGCTTTTGAGTGTTCTCCAATTCAAGAAGCCTGCCATGCTTACAGTTTGCATAATACCTTGTTCATTAAGACCCATAAATTAGCACTGTTTTAATTGATTCCCTAGAGTCAGTAAATAAAGTGACACAAAATGACATCAAAGGGGGAGAAATGACACTAAGTAAGTGTTTGTCTTCTTCCCCTTAATGCCTGCTTTCTCCCTCTCTGTATTGTGTGAGGTCTGACAACCCTTGCCCTCATGCACTCCTTGGCCTGGCCTTCCTTCATTCAAGAAAGGACCAATACCCTGAACAGTTTCTAGGGCTCAGAGGGAGCCTCACCTCCTGTGTTTTGTCTCATGGGTTGCCAGGGCAGGCTGGGCATGCAAAAGAAGTAGGTATAATCAGATCTCAAACTAGGGGTGGCAATTTTGCTAATTATGGAAACACCTCTAGTTGTGACGTCAAAGTCTCTATCCCTTATTAAAGCAATTTTAGCCATTACGTGCAGGTGTTATTAGAGTTACTCTAGCTCACTGGTCTCTGGCCATAAACCAGGATGCTTTGGGAATGGCAAGAAAGCTCATGTTTACTGAGGGCTGACTGGGCACAATCCTGCTTTAGGGGCTTACACATGCAATCTTGCTCTATAATCCTGATATATTGATATTGATTTCTCTATTTCTCCAGATGAAAGCACAGAGATTCGGAGAAGTTAGTTATCTTACTCTGGATCACAGAGCTTGCAAGTAAATGGAGTTATCTTTAAACCCCGTATTTGTAGCTGCAATGTGTGTGTTCTTTCTAAAAAATTATGTTGTCATAATAACTTTTGTGATTTGACCACAGGAGAACCAAAAGGGCTAGAGCTGCTCCTTAAATCGTTCCCCCTGTCTGCCTACTGATGCATGACTTTCACAAAAAAATTGATGATGTGCATGAATAATTCAGCATTTATGTAAATCTGTGTGTTACCTCTCAGCAATATTGCATTCAAAGGGAACCCTAATTGTGGAATAAAAATATTTGCCCCATATTTTAATGTTTTGTTTGCTGTTCTATCCCCAATGCCTAGAACTGTGCCTGTCACATGGTAGAGGCTCAGTACATCTTGATTGAATAAAGTAAAGCATTGTAAGTCATTATGGATATTACGGAAAAAAATTTTGGTAATAGAGGAATGTAGAATTTAGGTGTCTTGTTTCCTGGAACCCTTGAAATCACATGCCTTAGGCAGTGGCTCACTCTACTCATAGATAAAACTGGATTTGTGTCTTTAAGCAATGCTGACAGAAACTTCAACAGGAAGCCCAAGACATAGACAGGAATATGCAAAAACTGAAGTAATTAAAGACAAAAGAAAGAGTAACAGGAGGGAAACGTGTAAGAGAGAAAATGGGAAAAGGATGCAGGACTGTGAAGAGCAAGAGTATGCCACAGTGTTTCCAGAGTCTGTCCATACTTTGCAAAGTTAATTATACTCTGCAAAATATCAGTCTTCTTTTGGGGCAGTAGAGGACCCTGAAGGGCTAATGGGATGAGGTAAGGAGGCTGTAGGGCTTCCAGGATACTATAGTTTTCAGGGAGTTGCTGGGTATGACCGGCAGAGGCCAAGAAGGCTCAGCCTCACGGGTGCCTTCCTCACCAGTTTCCTGGGGCAGCAATGGAGAGGGCTGTACCACTGCTGGAATGGATAAGAGATCTGTGAGAGAAGGGGATACTACTGATGATTTTGGAAGGTAATAGAGATTGATGGGAATTTGCAGTTAAATTATTGTAGCTCTTAAAGATATCAAGGTGACTTGGACAGAGTGTAGGCAAAAAGATTTCATTGTTTAGATCCAGTGAACTGTGAGTTCAATGAGGGCTGATTCTGATGGTAAATTTTTTTTTCTAAGTTTTAAAAAAATGTAGTTTTTTTTTTTTACATTGACAGATAAAATTGTATGTATTTACTATGTACAACATGATGTTTTGAAGTATACATACATTGTAGAAAGACTAACTCTAGGTAATTAACATATGCATTATCTCACACAGTAATTTTTGTCGAAAGAATACTTTACAGCCACTCTTAGCATTTTTCAAGAATACAATATATTGTTAACTACAGTCACCATGTTGTACAGTAGATCTCTTGAACATATTCTTCCTGTTTAACTGAAAGTTGGATCCTTTGACAAAACATATTTTCAATTCCTCCTTCAACTCATAACCACCACAGCTTGTAACCACCCGTCTACTCTCTCTTTATATGAGATCAACTTTTTTAGCTCCCACACGCGAATGAGAACATGTGGTACTTGTCTTCCTGTGTCTAGCTTATTTCACTTTACATAATGTCCTCCAGATTCATCCATGTTGTTGCAAATAACAAGATTTTCTTCTTTTTAAAGGCTGAATAGATTTCCATTGGGTATATATACACCACATTTTCTTTATCAGTTCATTTATTGATGAACATTTAGACTGATTCCGTATCTTAGCTTTTGTGAATAATCACAATCAATTGGCTATAAATGCATGAATTTATTTCTGGGCTCTTGGTTCCATTGATCAATGCATCTGTTTTTATGCCAGTACTATGCTTTATGGTTAATACAGTTTATGGCGTATTTTGAAGTCAGATTGTGTGATGCCTCCAGCTTTGTTCTTTTTCTCAAGATTGCTTTGGCTATTTTGGATCTTTTGTTATCCCACAGGAATTTTAGGATTGTTTTTTCTACTTATGTGATGAACATCATTGGTATTTCTATAAGGATTGCATTGAATCTGCAGATCACTTTGGGTAGTACGAGCTTTTTTTTAATTTAAAAACTTCTTTATTAATTTTTGTATATGCATAGTAGGTGTATATATTTATAGGATATATGAGATAGTTTGATACAGGCATACAATGTATAATAAGCACATCAGGGTAAATGGGTTACCCATCACCTCAAGCATTTATCTTTTCTTTGTGTTTCAAACAATCCGATTATACTCTTTTAATTACTTTAAAATGTGCAGTAAATTATTGTTGACTGTAGTTGCCCTGTTGTGCTATCAAATACTAGATCTTATTTAGTCTAACTACATTTTTGTATTCATTAATCATCCTCACTCTCTGCCCCACTGCTTGGGTAGAATGAACATTAACAATATTAATATTATTTTTTTCAATCCATGAACACAGGACACCTTTCCATTTATTTGTGTCTTCCTCAATTTTTTCATTAATGTTTTGTAATTTTCAGTGTACAGATCTTTCACCTTCTTGGATAAGTTTATTTCTAATATTTTTAACTATTATAAATGAGATCTTCTCTTGATTTCTTTTTCAGATAGCTTGCTATTAATGTACAGAAATGCCACTGATTTTTGTATGTTAATTTTGTATCCTGAAACTTTACTGAATTTATTTATTAGTTCTAAAGTCTTTAAGGTTTTCTTTACATAAGAATATGCCATCTACAAACAGAGACAATTTAATTTCTGTGTTTTCAATTTGGATGGCTTTTATTTTTTTCCCTCGCCTAATTGCATTGGCTAGGACCTCTAGTACTATACTTTGGATACTAGTGACAAGAATGGGCATCTTTGTCTTGTACCAGATCTTAGAGAAAAAGCTTCCAACTCTTCTCCATTGAGTATGATATTAGCTGTGGGTTTGTCATATGTGACCTTTATTCTGTTGAGGTACATTACTTCTATACCTAATTTGCTGAGAGATTTTTAATCATGAAAGAAAGTTGAATTTTGTCATTTTTTTTTTTTTTTAAGATGGAGTCTTGCTCTGTTGCCAGGTTGGAGTGCAGTGGCATGATCTCAGCTCACTGCAACCTCTACCTGTCGGGTTCAAGTGATTCTGCCTCAGTCTCTTGGGTAGCTGGGATTACAAGTGCCCACCACCATGCCCAGCTAATTTTCTGTATTTTTAGTAGAGATGCAGTTTCACCGTGTTGGCCAGGTTGGCCTTGAATTCCTGACCTCAGGTGATCCACCCGCCTCGGCCTCCCAAAGTGCTGGGATTACAGGTGTGAGCCACTGTGCCTGGCCAGAATTTTGTCAAATGCTTTTTCTGCAGGTATTGAGATATTCATTTGGTATTATCCTTCATTCTGTTAATATAATGTATCACATCTATTGATTTACATGTGTTGAACCATCCTTGCATCCCTGGGATAAATCTCAATTGATGATGGTAAATGATATTTTTAATATTATGTGAAATTTGGTTTACTAGAACTTTATTGAGGATTATTGCAGCTATGTTCATCAGGGATATTGGTCTGTAGTCTTTTTTTGTAGTGTCTTTGACTTTAGTATCAGCGTTGTGCTGTTCTTGTAAAATAAATATGGACATACTTTTTCCTCTTCAGTTTTTTGGAAGAGTTTGAGAATAATTAGTATCAGTTCTTCATTAAATTTGGTAGAATTCATCGGTGAAGCCACCAGGTCCTGGGCTTTTCTTTGATGGGAGAGTTTTGATTACTGATTTAATAGCTTTACTTGTTATTGGTGTGTTAAGGTTTTTTACTTTTTCATAATTCAGTCTTGGTAGTTTGTATGCATCAAAATATATCTATTTCTTGTAAGTTATCTCATTTGTTGATATATAATGTTTCATAATAGTCTCATATGATCCTTTGTATTTCTATTGTGTCAATTGTAATGTCTACTTTTTATTTACGATTTTATTTATTTGAGTTTTCTCTCTTTATTTCTCAGCCTAGCTAAAAGGTTTGTTGATTGTGTTTCTTTTCGAAAAAACAATTTTTAGTTTTGTTGATTTTAAAAATTGTTTTTCTAGTTTCAATTTTATTTATTGCCACTCTAATCTTTATTATTTTTCTTCCTCCTTAAGTTTGGGTTTAGTTTGTTTTTGTTTTCCTAGCTCCTTGAAGTACAATATTAAGTTGTTTATTTGAGATTTTTCTTCTTTATGATGTAGGCATTTACGGCTATAAACTTTCAGCTTAGTACTATTGTTGTTGTATCTCATAGGTTTTGGTACATTGTGTTTCCATTTTTGTCTGTCTCAATAAGTTTTTTCTTTCTCTTTTAATTTTTTTATTGACCTATTGGTTGTTTAGAGGGCGTGCTGTTTAATTTCCATGTATTTGAGAATTTTCTGAAGTTCCTCCTGTTATTTAATTTTAGTTTTATATTATTGTGTTCTGAAAAAATACTTGATATAATTTCAATCTTCTTAAATTTGTTAAGGTTTTTTTGGCTTAATGTATAATCTATCCTGGAGAATGTTCTGTATGCACTTGAGAAGAATATGGATTCTGCTGCTGTTGGATGGAATATTCTGTGTATGTATGTTAGGTCCATTTGATCTAGAATGCAGTTTATTCCAAGTTTTCTTATGGATTTTCTGTCTGAATGATCTGTACATTGCTGAAAGTTGGGAGTTGAAGTTTTTTACTATTGTTGTATTGCAGTCTATCTTTTTCCTTTAGATCTATAAATATTTGCATTGTGTGTTTAGAAGCCCTGATGTCAGGTGCATATATATTTATAATTGTTATATCCTCTTGCCAAATTGACTCTTCTTATCATTATATAATGATCTTTTTACATTTTTGACTTAAAGTTTATTTTATCTCATGTAAGTGTAGCTACTTTTGCTCTCTTTTGGTTCTCATATACATGGAATATCTTTTTCCATCTCTTCACTGTCAGTTTATATGTGTTCTTACAGGCCAAGGTAAGTCTCTCGTCTCTTGTAAGCAGCATATAATTGTGCCTTTTTTTCAACTCATCAGCTATTCTATGTTTTTAGTTGGATGTTTTAATCTATTTATGTTCAAAGTAATTCTTAATAAGTAAGAACTTACCACTGCCATTTCATCAATTGTGTTCTAATTGTTTAGTAGATCTTTGCTTCTTTCTTCCTCTTTGACTGTATTATTTTTTTGGCTAAGTGATTTTCTCTAGTGGTATGTTTTGTTTCCTTGATTTTAATGTTTTTGCCTATCTATTATGTTTTTGTTTTTGGTTATCATGAGGCTTACAAGAACCATCTTATAGATATAATAGGTTATTTTAAGCTGACACCAACATAACTTTGATCACACAAAAAAGCTCTATACTTTGACACCACTTCCCACCCACATTTTAAAAATTTACTTCCTTTTATATTGAATAACCCTTAAGAAATTCTTGTAGGTATTATTATTATTTTTTATGGCTTTGTTTTTTAATTTTCAAACTAAAGATACCAGGAATTTACATACCACCATTACAGTTTTAGGTGTTTTTTGGCATTTGACTGAGTGTTTACTTTTACCAGTGAGTTTATACTTTCAGATCTTTTTGTATTACTCATTAGTATCCTTTTCTTTCAGCTTGAAGAACTCTCTTGAGCATTTCTTGCAAGACAGGTTAGATGATAATGAACTCCCTCAGCTTTTGTTTGTCTGGGAAAGTCTTTATCTCTCTTTTATTTCTAAAGAAGAGCCTTAAAAGTACAGTGTTCTTGGTTGCCAGTTTTTTTCAAATCCTTCATAATTTTGAATATATCTTCACACTTTATCCTGGCCTTTAAGGTTTCTGCTAAGAAGCTTGCTGCAAGCTGTATTAGAAGTTCTTATAAGCTATTTGCTTCTTTTGTTTTGCTGCTTTCAGTATCCTCTCTTTATCTTTAATTTTTGAGAGTTTGATTACAATATGTCTTGGTGTATTGATTGAATCTAATTAAAGACCTTTGACCTACCTGTACCTGGATATTTACTTCTTTCTCCAGGTTTTAAAAGTTTTCTGCTACTATTTCTATAAATAAGCTTTCTAACCCTTTATTTGTTTCTTCCCTTTCTTAAATTCCCATGACTTAGAAATTTGCTCTTTTGATACTGACTCATAAATCTCATAAGCTTCCTTCATTTCTTTTCATTCCTTTTTTCTCCTAAGATTGTATATTTTAAAATAAATGTCTTTCAGGTCACAGATTTTTCTTCTGTCTGATCAGTTCTGTGGTTGATGTTCTCTGTTGCATTGTTTATTTCATTAATTGTATTTTCAGTTCTATATTTTCAGTTTGATTTTTTGAAAAATATTTAAATATCTCCATTAAAATGTAAGTCACTTATTGTTTTCCTCACATCATCGAATTGTTTCTCTGTATTTTCTTGAAATTCACTGAGCTTCCTTATAAAGTTATTTTGAATTCTTTGTTAAGCAGTCTATACATCTTTATTTCTTTATTGTCAGTCACTAGCACATATTTCATTCATTTGGTGATGTCATTCTACTCTGATTGTTCTTGATCCTTGTGGTTATGCATTGATATCTGTGCATTTGAAGAAGTAGGTACTTATTTCAGTTTTCACAGACTGGCTTTGACTGGGAAAGCTCTGTGGCAGGTGTAGTGCTGACCAACTAGAAGCCTGGGGCAGCTGTGGCCAGTGTGGTGTTGCCAGAAACCTGGACCAATTATGGCAGGTGCAGGACAGTGGTGTGCCGGAAGCCTGAGGCCACGAAGCCTGCCTGCTAGTGAGGGCTGTCAGAACCTGGGACTGTCGACATCATCCAGGCAGTGGTGTAAGCAGGATATTGTAAAGCAAGCCTGAAGCCTGAGGCTGTGTGGTCCTACCTGGCAGTAGGCTGGTAGAGGCTCAGTCCATAGGTACCAGCCTGAAATATGAGGCCATTATGGTCTTTCCTATGCTGGGTTATTTGTGGCAGGCCCAATGTTGGGGTTTAAGGCAAAGTCTTATGCTCACTTCATTTTCTTTCCCCTAAATGGATGATATCTCTCTTTCTGCTGTGTGCTGCCTGAGACTGGGGGAGAAACGACATGGGTAATATAAAACTGTCTTTCCTACTCTCTTCGTTGTATCTTTTTTTTTATGGTGCTACAACCAGGTAGTAGGATCTTTCACCTGGTTTCCTCTGTTCTTGTAAAGGTATTTTTTTTGCATGGATAGTTGTTGAAATGTAAGTTTTGGTTGGGGGATGACTCCTAGAGAGCCCTACTCTGTTATCTTGCTCCACCGCTCTCTCTGATAATGAATTTTATGTGTCAACTTGACTGAATCACAGGGTACCCACATTAAACACTATTTGTGCATGTTTATGTGAGGGTTTTTCTGGATGAGATCAGCATTTGATTCTGTGGAGTCAGTGATGTATATTGCTATCCCCAGTGTGGGTGAACATTGTCCAATTCATGGAGGAACTGAATAGAATAAAAGGTGGATAAAGGAGGAATTCTTCCCTTTATTTTTCTACCTCAGTGATTGAGTTGGGATGTCTCATCTCATCTTTTCCTGCCCTTGAACTGAGATTTATACCATTGGCTCCCCTGGTTTTCAGGCCTCAGACTAAGACTGAACTCTATTACTGCCTTTCCTGGCTTTCCAGCTTGCAAACAGCAAATCATAGGACTACTCGGTTTTCATAATTGTTTAAGAAAATTTCTCCTAATAAATATATATATCTCCCACATTCCAATGACATCATCCCAGCAGTGGTGTTAGCTACAGTTCAGTCAACCAAAATTAATCTTCAAGTGCATACTACAATATTGTTGAATAGAGGCAACATGCTACACAGCAGATCTCTAGAACTAAGTCATCTTGCATAACTGTAACTTTATAGGAATTGAACAATAAGTCCCCTTTTCTCCCTCATCTCAATCCCTGGTAACCATAGTTCTATTCTTGGCTTTTATGTGTTTGATTACTTGGGTACCTCATATAAGTGGAATCAAACTATGTTTGCTCATATTTGACTGGTTTATTTCACTTACTGCAATATTATCCATGTTGTCACCAATGGCAGGATGGTCTTTCTTTTTAAAGATTGAATAATATGGCACTATATGTGTATATCACATTATTGTATCTATTATCTGTTGACTGACATTTATTGAGAGAATACATCTCACGTTAAGTGTTCTTACTATATAAAAACACAAAATACAAACAAAAAACAACAAAAACATTCAAACCACAAAGGAACATAAAGAAAATTTGGAAGTGATGGATGTATCTATTAACTTGATTGGGGTGGTGGTTTCATGAATGTATTCATGTGTCCAAGCTCATCAAATTGTACAATTAAATATTTTTGTATGTTAAATATACCTCAAAGAAGCTGTTTTTTCCCCCAAAAAGTAATGTTTTCAATAGAAGGTGAGAAATTTAGTTCAGCTGTGTTCTGGAAAAAGACAAAGTATTTTGGTTAATAGATAAAATCCCCACCACATCTTCTCCATCTATAACCAAGTGCTTTTGCAGAAACACTCTTCAAGTGGTAGTGCCAGAGCAAAATTCTCATGATTAATAGTCTGACTCTTTTGCTTTCTCAGGACCCAAGACAATTTTTAAAACCTTGATAATTATAGATAATGGTGCCTCCTGCTTCAGATAACTCTCAGCATTTCAGATGATTTTTACTGAGTACAAGAAAAAGTCTCAGACTGTTCCTCATTCAAAGTGGTCCCAGAAGTCAAGAGATTGGTGGATATTTGGGGAGGGTACCCAGGCTTTGTCATTCTTTATTCTTTTATTAGTAGGCAGTAAGTATAGCAGGTAAAAATTTACCTGACTTGGATTGGCCATGCAGTAAATGTTATATCTAGGTTAGCCAATATCCTTATTGTCTTTAATTGATTTGAAAAAATAATGCCTTTTTGTCCCTTCTGCTGATAACAAGGATAATATTAGGCTGAGTGTAAGCAGAATAGAAGCAACAGACTTTTATGAGAAAGGGAGGCGTATTAGTTCGTTTTCATGATGCTCATAAAGAAATACCTGAGACTGGGAAGAAAAGGAGGTTTAATTGAACTTATAGTTCCACATGGCTGAGGAGGCCTCAGAATCATGGCAGGAGGTGAAAGGTACTTCTTACATGGTGGTGGCAAGAGAAAATGAGGAAGATGCAACAGTGGAAACCCCTGATAAAACCATCAGAACTTGTGAGACTTATCCACTGCCACGAGAACAGTGCGGGAGGAATTACCCCCATGATTCAAATTATCTCCCACTGGGTCCCTCCCACAACACGCGGTAATTATGGGAGTATAATTCATGATGAGATTTGGGTGGGGACACAGAGCCAAACCATATCAGGAGGAGCTTTGAGAAAGAAGAAAAAAATGTGTAAGCTAAGTGAAAAAGAAGAGGAAGAAAAGTCAGAAAATGGAAGAAAAAACAATGAACGATGTAAGAGGAAGAGAACAGAGAAGGGATAAAAATTAGGTACAATACAAGACATTTCAATAACCGGAATGTTCCTAATAATGCAGGATCCTATGTGCTGTATTTTTGTGCACTAACTCTCCCTACCTTTATTGATATTCCTTTTTGCTTACCCCTGGCTTATATATCATTTGGGAAGTCTTGAAGGATTACTTTTATTTTTGTAATCTACCTGATGACTGAAGTGAGGGTATTAATATATACATAAATAGTAAATGAGTTGCTCTAGGAATCTACTTAATTACTACCTGCCCATTGAAGAAACAGGCCTCAAAATAATAAGAACCTTTTATGACAAACCCATAGCCAATATCATACTGAACAGGCAAAAGCTGAAAGCATTCCCCTTGAAAACTGGCACAAGACAAGGATGTCTTCTCTCACCACTCCTATTCAACATTGTATTGGAAGTTCTGACCAGGGCAATCAGGCAAGAGAAAGAAACAAAGAGTATTCACATAGGAACAATGGAATTCAAATTGACTTTGTTTGCAGATGACCTGATTCTATATCTAGAATATCCCATTGTCTCAGCCCCAAAGCTTCTTAAGCTGATAAACAACTTCAGCAAAGTCTCAGGATACAAAATCAATGTGCAAAAATCATATCATAAGCATTCCTATACACTAAAAACAGACAAGCAGAGAGCCAAATCATTAGTGAACTCCCATTCATAATTCCTACAAAGAGAACAAAATACCTAGAAATAAAACCAACAAGGGGAATGAAGGACCTCTTCAAGTAGAACTACAAACCACTGTTCGAGGAAATCAGAGAGCACACAAACAAATGGAAAAACATTCCATGGTTATGGATAGGAAGAATCAATATCGTGAGAATGGCCACACTGCCCGAAGTAATTTACAGATTCAATGCTTTTCCCATCAAAACACCATTGACATTCTTTACAGAATTAGAAAAACTATTTTAAAATTTATGTGGAAACAAAAAAGAGCTCATATAGCCAAGATAACCCTAAGCAAAAAGAACAAAGCTGGAGACATCACGCTACCTGACTTCAAATTATACTACAAGGCTACAGTAACCAAAACAGCATGGTACTGATACAAAAACAGACACATAGAACAATCGAACAGAATAGAAAACACAGAACTAAGACTGCACATCTACTACCACCTGATTTTTGATAAACCTGACAAAAATAAAATAGAAATACATGTACCATTCAGGACATAGGCATGGGCAAAAATTTCATGACCAAGACATCAAAAGCAATTGCAACGAAAGCAAAAATTGACAAATGGGATCTAATTAAACTAAAGAGCTTCTGCACAGCAAAAGAAACTAACATCAGGGAGAACAGACAACCTACAGAATGGGAGGACATTTTTGCCACCTATTTATCTGGCAAAGTTCTAATATCTGGAATCTATGAGGAATTTAAACAAATTTACAAGAAAATAACAAACAACTCCATTAAAAATTGGGCAAAGGAAATGAACAGACACTTCTCAGAAGAAGATATTTATATGTCCAAGAAGCATATGAAAAGAAGCTCAGCATGTGTATTGGTCTGTATTCATGCTGCTGATAAAGACATACCCGAGACTGGGAAGAAAAAGAGGTTTAATTGGACTTACAGTTCCACACGGCTGGGGAGGTTTCAGAATACTGGTGGAGGGCAAAGGGCACTTCTTACGTTGGTGGTGGCAAGAGAGAATGAGGAGGAAGCAAAGGTGGAAACCCCTGATAAACCCATCAGATCCTGTGAGACTTGTTCACTATCATGAGACTAGCATGGGAAAGACTGGCCCTTATGGTTCAATTACCTCCCCCTGGGTACCTCCCACAACACATGGAAATTTTGGGAGATACAATTCGAGTTGAGATTTGGGCAGGGACACAGCCAAACTATATCAGCATCACTGATCATTAGAGATACACAAATCAAAACCACAATGAGATACTATCTCACACCAGTCAGAATGACAATGATTAAAAACTCAAGAAGCAACGGATGCTGGCAAGGCTGCAGAGAAAAAGGAATACTTTCACACTGCTGGTGGGATTGTAAATTAGTTCAATCATTGTGGAAGACAGTGTGGTGATTCCTTAAAAACCTAAACACAGAAATACCATTTGACCCAGCAATCCCATTACTAGGTATATCCCCAAAGGAATATAAATCATTCTATTATAAAGATAAATGCATGCATGTGTTTATTGCAGTACTATTCACAGTAGCAAAGATGTGGAATCAACCCAAATGCCACCAATGATAAACTGGTTACAGAAAATGTGGTACGTATACATTATAGAATACTATGCAACCATACAAAAAGATGAGATCAAATCCTTTGCAGGGACTTGGGTGCAGCTGGAAGCTATTATCCTCAGCAAACTAATGCAGGAACAGAAAACCAAACACCACATGTTCTTACTCATAAGTGGGAGCTGAACAATGAGAACAAATACACACAGGGAGGGGAACAACATTCATTGGGGCCTGTTGGGAGGGTGGTGGGAGGAGGGAGAGCATCAGGAAAAATAGCTAATGCATGCTGGGCTTAATACTTAGGTGATGGGTTGATAGGTGCAGCAAACCACTATGACACACATTTACCTATGTAACAAACCTGCACATCCTGCACATGTACCCTGGAACTTAAAATAAAATAAAGTTAAATTAAAAAAATTACTATCTATCATTTTTCAGCATGAGCAAATGATAGCACAAATTTATACAGGTCACTTATTTGAATATCACTCATTTATCTAATTAACCCCCACTCCTTCTTGGTCAGGTAGATAAAATATGCATTGTTATTTTAGCAGGAAATGGATGCCCAAAGAAGAACAATATAGTGATGAAACTCACCACTTGGCTGAGAAGTGGAGCTATTTATTTATTTATTTAACAAATGTTTATTGAGGTACTATTGTGTGGGAGATAATAGAAGGGATACAGAGAATAAAAGATAGTTATTTCCTTTAAGAGGGAGGTGACAAATGAATGTTCACTATGTGTCAAGGGCTATGCTAGGTATGTCCCATGCTTTTAATTCTCACACCCGCCCTGCAAGGCAGGACTCTCACAATTTCTCAGATAAGGAAGGTCAGGAAATTTGTATAATCTGTCTACGGAGACAAAAGTAATTAAGTGGAGAAGGTGGTATTTGAGCTCGGATGTCACTGAGTTCTGAGCTCAACTTTCTTCCATCATGTTGTTGCTTTTTATTGCAAGGAGCTCGTCTTATACCTATAAAAACAGAATTAACAAATCAAGACCACCATTTATTTCCTTAGACCCACAAGTTAGTCAAACTAAGTGTCATTCCCTAAGCATTCTGCGTTCTCTTGTCTCTTTATCTTTGCTCATGTCTTTTCCTAAGCTTAAAACGCCCTCCAGTCTCCACCATTTATTACAGTGCTGTCCGTTTATGAAGACTCAGTTTAAAACCTATCTCTTTCATGAGGCTGAAACCTACTCTCATTTTTCCAGCAGGAATGATTTCTCCCTCCTTAAAACTTGTATTTATCATGAAAGATAATTTGCTTAGTTGTTTTTGCACTTCTTATTGTGTCTTTGTAGTAGGTAATCTCAAGGACATCCCTCAATGATCTCCATCTTCTATTGTTATACCTAGTGTACTTATTGTAATCCTCTCTCCTTGAATGTGGGCTGGATTTATTGATCTAGTCTAAAGAACAGTATATAACAGAAGTTTTGGGATGTCACTTCTGACATTAGCTAACAAAAAGGTTGTGACTCCTGTGTTAAGCTCTCACTTTCACTTTCTTTTGGATTTTTTGCTCTGGAGAAAGGAAGTTGTTATGTAGAGAGGTCCATGTGGCAAGGGATCATGGTGAGTGAGTGAGTGAGTGAGTGAGGAAGTAGATTCCCCCTCATTGAGCTTTCAGATGAGACTTCAGCCCTAGTTGACAGCTTGTCTGCTACCTCATGAGAGGCCTTGATACAGAGGCACTCAGCTAATATGTAGCCAGATTCTGACCCACAGAAATTATACAATTATGATAAATATTTGTTGTACTATATGACTACATTTTGGAGCAATTTATTATGAATCAATAGATAGCCAATATAGTACTACTAGACAGCAAATGGCTTATAAGTTGGAGTCTTTTTCTTCTTTGTCTTTATCTGCATAATCAAGCAGGACATTTTGCATTAGTGGCAGGAAGAAATACCCTCCCTCATGTTTATGATACTGGTGAGAAAAATTTGTAATAAAAAAGATCTTATTAGAATTGATAACATCTCTCCTAGATAGCAAAGAAAGAGCTAGTCTCAATTACTATGGTGGCTCAGGGAAGGGCCAAAAACATCTAGTCCTGAAATATCAAGATTCTTGTTTCATAAAGGACAGCACCTCAAGTCAGGTTGATAGAAGAAATGTCTTTTCTTCACAAATGATTAGATTTGATTATCCTCCGGGAAAAATTCTTGGTTACCTTGGCATGTGTTTGTTTATGAGATAAAGTAATGAGAAAACCAGTTGCAGTTCACCCTGACAGGGTGGAGGAAACAGAATTGTGGAAATATCTTTGCTTTTGCTCTTGACACCAGATCTCACCTTTTCCCTTCTCCCTCCTTTCCTGTGTTTGCAGCTGAGCACCTCAATTAACACCTCAATAAAGCCTGGGGACTTTAGTGTTGAAGCCTCAGGAGAAGCTACCAAGAATTCTCCTTTTTCCAGTGGGGTAGTGCAGTTTCCCAAGTGTGTTAGTTCATTTTGTGCTGCTATAACAGAATACCAAAGACTGGATAATTTATAAACATTAAAATAGAAATTTATTTCTTATGGTTCTGGAGGATGAGAGGTACAAGATCAAGGTGCCAGCATATTTGGTGTCTGGTGAGGGCTTGGTTTCCACTTTCAGGATGGTGCCTTGAATGCTGCATCCTCTGGAGAAAAGGAATGTTTTTCCTCACATGGCAGAGGAACAGAAGAGAGCAAACTCACTCTTAGAAGTCCTCCTTATAGTGACATTAAATCCATCCATTAGGATGGAGTCCTCATGACCTAAACACCACTCATTAGACTGCATCCAACTCTGTTCCATTGGGGATTAAGTTTTGCCATGAGTTTTGGAGGGAACAAACATTCAAACCATGGCACCATGGGAAGGAGTAAGATCACCAACCTAGCTTGATGAAGGGAGGGACTACTTGAGATGAAAAAGTAGCTAAGAGATGGTAAATATTCCTGTATGCTAATTTATAATCTTTTGTCAAAAGTCAGGGACTGCAAGCCCTCTTCCTCAGGGCACAAAGCAAAGGTGAATCTAAAGGAAAGTTACAACCACTGTTCCTTCTGGACCATCCCTCTTTTAAGAGTTATTTGGCCATTACATAAAGATTGAATCAGATAAACCTGGGCAGGTTAGGATAAAGGTATTCAGGAAGGTGTGGCCACTATAATGCTTCCCAAGCATCTTGCAGGAGCCTCCAGGAGCAAGGTGAAAGACAGACTGTATCTTTGCTCCTTTTATTCCTCAACTCCCAACTCTGGGGATTATTAGAAGAAGTCTTTTAGATTAGTGCTCAAATTCCTTATTTCATTGTAGACTTGTGGGTAACAGTTTCTGGACCAACTCCTTGCTGTCAGCACAGGAAGGACCTATGAGCTGACAGTGGCTCCAAACGTTCCAAAGGCACAAGGAACAGTGTGATTATATCCCCCAATTTCTCTCTTTAGGTCAGTGGTCCCAAACTGGAGGCATTAGCACTTTTGGAATGTGCACCTCTAGAATGAGTATGTGGCAAGAATGATTTAAAAAATTAATTTCTTTATAGGGTTTTGGCTTAAAGTCTGACTGTATGAGGGCATGTCAAGAAGAGGTAAGAAAATTTATCTTAAAAATTAACCTTAAAACTGCATTGATGAAAACCCTTATTTTGTTTTGCCGTGTGAGTTTATTACCACTGCTGTAGCTCAAGTTCTCATGCAGGGTAAAGAAATGTTCTGTTTTTTCCAATATGTTCTCATTTGTTTGCTGCCAATGTTTTTCACTATTATGAACATATTTGTTGTGTGTGTGTATGTGTGTGTCTGTGTGTTTTAATTAAATCTGGCTTTGTCAGGCTAACAAGTTTCTCATTATTGGCAAATACAGAAATACTAAGGTAATGTGCTATTTGTTGACCACGGAAAAGTGAAGGATTAGATGTTTTGTGCTGGGTTGGGGGGGACCTCAATTAATAACCTTCTGCTCCTTATGAAAAATCTGTAGAATATTATCTTAAAAGTAATCATAGAAAAAACTTCAAGAAATGTTTAAAAAAGAGAGAGAGAAAAAGAAAAAAAGCTTATTTAACCAAAATAAACACAGATTGAAGGAACAATCCAAAAGAATTATCTTCATTATTCCACAGCCAACAGTAAAGGCTTATATCCCATTATGGTAATGAGCAAACCTTTGAACTTTGCATTGTTCACTGCCAGGCATCAGCACTTAAGGCTTAGGCAAACAATGTTGTACAATTGCTTTAGGGAGTTGCTAGGATAATACCTCGGCTTGTGTTTCTGAGTAGGCTTGATCCTTCCTTCCCAGTCTGCATTTCCCAAAGCAGAGGCTGGAAAGGCATAACACTGGATTAAAAAGTAGACTGTTAGGAGTCACACATCAAGATTCTCTCATGCTGTAGTACTTCCCCTTGTTGGTAAGCGGTGGATGGACATGGAGGCAGGTGATTTGCCCTGTCAAGTCTTGATAGTGCTATTAATTCTAAGTCTCTGCAAACCTTTTTGAGCTCATATAGAGAATATCCAAATACTCAGATGGAGTCTTAACTGAAGCATGCAACTTATCCAAACATTTGAAGTGGCCAACTGGGAAAAGTGTACCACAGGGGAAACCACAGTACTTTGGAATTAGATGGGCCTGGGTTTGAATCTTACCTAGAACAAATTATTCATCTTTCTGTTTTCCCCTTTGCAATATGGGTGACATAATAGTATCATGCCCCATAAGTCTGTGTCTGATGAAGAGCAAATGCTCAGTAAGTAGAAGTTTCTAAGGAAATGGTCAATCCAATCATATAAGATTGTTCCAATGACTAATTGAATATATTTAGTTTTAAGGCTGAACTTCCTGGAAAGTTTGATTAGAAATCTGATTGGATATATGTGGGTATGTAGTTTTAATGAAAAAAAAAAATCAGCCAAAACCAATATTTGCCTTGATGGGTTGTAATGCTCATTGCAAATACTCGATTTATTGCTTGGATTTATTATTTATTAAATTATGACATTAGCTACATCTTTAATCTTAGAAGTCCTTAGTTGGCTTGAGAGGAGCGATGTGTCTCTCTGATTTTCTAATTGTCTAATCATGGAAGAATTTGAGTATATAAATAAGATTTCATCAAAGCTATTATTTATTATTTGAATCCTGGGATTTTTAAAAACATAATTTAGGTATATCATAGAGGCTAAGATAGATTCTGTACCACTCAAGTGGTATGTCCTGTTTTTCCTGGAAATTCAGCCAGATTTTGCCTCCCAGCATCCCTTTGCAGTTAGTTGAGGCCATGTGACTGAATTCTAGCCAGTGGATTGTGAATGAAAATGTTATGCTCCACCATCTGCTTGCCTGGCTAATTGAAACTTGTATGTGCTTCTCCATGCTCCTTTTTTGCTTCTAGCTGGACTGAGTGCCCATGACCTCAGGGACATCTTGGAAGCTATATGTAGAAGATGGAAAAGCCTCTGTCATCTCCATCAATTTAATCTCCAAATAACTACTTAGAAAAGGGACAGCTTACTAACTCCTTCATTGCCCAGTACTATTAGGTGAGTAAGAAATAAACCTCTTTTATATTAGACAAAATATATATTTTGGGGCTTTTTTGTTCCAGCAGTTAGCTTGACCTCACTATTATGTGTATTCTATTACCATAGACTAGGGAGTGCCTTTAAGTTTTATCTATTCAGATATTCTGCCTTTGTCAGTAACAGGATGTCTACTGGGTTTCATGAAGAAATTGAGATTGAGGAAAGGCAGAAAGAGGCTTCAAAGAATAGTTAATATATTTCATAGCCACATTTTCTCAGCTGATAGTACTTCATAATGTTAAAACTTCTTCTCAAGTTCTTTGAGATTGTTTCCCTTTGTGCCTGGTACAGAACTGTCCATATTACTCATATGAGTGAAAATTACCATTGAGGTTGCTTCTGTCTGTTTGGGATGATATAAAGAACAGTTACCAAGATCAAAGTAGAATTTCTGGCTGAGAGAAAAAAGTGATTTAGAGAAAGGGAGAGAGAGCAAGTGGGAGTTCACTAGGTATTGACTGTGTGCTAAGATGGTGACAGCTGAGTGAAAACCCAAATGTTAAAAAAGTACTTTCATGCTACTGAATGCTGGGTGCATTGTCAAGGGAGAAGGGTGAGGCCTTGGCACACATCAGATATGTGACTTTGGCAAATCACTAAAATTCTCTGGGCTGAGTTTTCTAATTATGAAGGGGGATCTGACCAGATAATTTCTAAGATGCCTTTACTCTAAATATTTGACCCCAAGCCATATGAGTAAAAATTTTATGTGCTAATAGCCATATATTGGTGCTGTAGTATAATAAACAGGTGAATACGCCGTCTTCTCCCTATTCTTCCACAAATACTCCACGGCTTATTAGTATACAGGCATAATATAATTTTTCAGGGCTTGTTGGTGATGCTCAGTGACATCTTGTGCAGATCCACACGGGCAGGGCATCTGGGGCAGCTACATTCAATTTTAAATAAAACAAAGCAAAGTAGCAGCTGTTTGGCATTAGAGGGAATTTTAAGACTGCATTCCGATTCCACCAAGGGAAGGAGCAAACAAAAGTGAATAACATTTTAAGCCAGTGAGTCTGAAATATTTAATGCCATCTGCATTCTCTCAGTAAGTGGCCATCACCTGCAATGTACTCTCATTTTCCCTTAAAAGCAGAATTGACAATAATTTACGATAGGATAAAAGATGCATTGGCATTCAAAATACTGCATTCTTAGTTCATCTTCAGTGCTCTTGCCATAATTATGAGTTACTCATCTAAGTCTGTTTTCCATTATAGCTAAAAACATTATAACAGGAGATTCAAATTCTACATGGTGGGAGCAAAAGTGGATCTTGTTTTTCTATAGCAACATGGTTGACCTTCATAGTGAAGTTTGAATCTGACAGCATTCATGCTCAAATGTCCAAGCCCTGCATTTCTGATACCATGGAATCACAAGCACGCTGTGTGATACTGTGCAGCATTTGATCCTGCCTGACTTCTGTGTCTCAGCCTATCAACGAAGATATTTATAGCTGCCTTATGCCAACGTACTTTTTAAAGCTGGGTAATACCAGTGTAAGATGGTCACATTTATCTTGAAAGCCGAGGTAGGGTACCATGTGTGCTCCCTGAACTACTGTCTCCTTGTTCCTTTTGTTTTTTCCTAACTCATTCATTCATTCATTGAACAAATATTTCTTGAGAGGTGGCCCTATGCTAGATATTTTAGTAAGTGTTGGAGATACAGGGGCAAATAGGATAGACCTATTTCCTCTCTTTACCATCTAGTGCAGAAAATAGACACTGAACAATTAGTTACAGGGATAATAAATGAAGAGTTTGCAAAGCAAGAGAGAGTGGCTGAGCCTTAAGGGTTGGGTGGAAATTAGTCAGGCAAAGAGCGTAGAGAGGGCATTTGAAGAGGTAAGGACAGCTCCAGCAAGTAAATTTATGTAGAATGTATTCAGTAAACATATGTGTGATTCCTTCAGGGGCTTTGGTGTCTGTGTCTTGTTGGAGTATGAGAACAAGTCAGTAGGTTCAGGACATGAGCCTGGAGGGACCGGCAGCGGTCTGATCCCAGATGCTCTGATGTGCCGTTTTGGGGAGTTTAGACTATATCTGGTAGATAAACGTCATTGAAGGGTTAAACAGGAAAGTCGGATGATATTATTATCTTTTATAAGACTCAGTGGTAGGGAAATTGGATTTGAGGGAATAGACGAGAGAGCAGGACTTTCATACGAAGCTTTATCTCTTCTGTGGAAGCAGTCACAGATCTACACATGCTTCTCTCTGACGGAAAGGCTGCCCGTGAGCCTCTTCTAATTTGTGCTGGGTGGTATCCACCCGTATTTCAATGCCCATCCTAAGTACCACTCCCTTGGCGGACCTTCACTCTCAGAATTTGCCTCTTCATTTGAAATTCTTTTTTTTTTTTTTTTTTTAAATTCCTCACCCACCTCTTACCCTTTTCCCAGAGTCCCCAAAGTCCATTATATCATTCTTTTTTTTTTTTGAGACAGTCTCACTTTGTCGCCCAGGCAGGAGTGCAGTGGCATGATCTCCGCTCACTGCAACTTTCGCTACCCAGGCTCAGGCAATTCTCTTGCCACAGCCTCCCAAGTAGCTGGGATTACAGGCATGTGCCACCATGCCCAGCTATTTTTTTTTTGTATTTTTAGTAGCGACGGGGTTTCACCATGTTGGCCAGGCCGGTCTTGAACTCCTAACCTCAAGTGATCCACCTGCCTCGGCCCCACCACAAAGTGCTGAGATTACAGGAGTAGAGCCACTGTGCCCTGCCCATTATATGATTCTTATGCCTTTGCTTCCTCACAGCTTGTCTCCCACTTATATGTGAGAACATATGATATTTGGTTTTCCATTCCTGTATTACTTCACTTAGAAAGACCATCTCCAGGGCAACAGAGCGAGACTCCATCTCAAAAAAAAAAAAAAAAAGAATGATGGTCTCCAATTCCATCCAGTTTGCTGCGAATGCCAATATTTAATTCCTTTTTATGGCTGAGTAGCATTTCATGGTGTATACACACCACAATTTTTTTTTATTATACTTTAAGTTCTGGTGTACATGTGCAGAATGTGCATGTTTTATTACATAGGTATACATGTGCCATGGTGGTTTGCTGCACCCATCAACCCGTCACCCACATTAGGTATTTCTCCTAATGCTATCCCACCCCTAGCCCCCCACCCCACATCAGGCCCTGGTGTATGATGTTCCCCTCCCTGTGTCCATGTGTTCTCCTTGTTCAACTCCCACTTGTGAGTGAGAACATGTGGTGTTTGGTTTTCTGTTCTTGTGATAGTTTGCTGAGAATGATGGTTTCCAGCCTCATCCATGTCCCTGCAAAGGACATGAACTCATCCCTTTTTTATGGCTGCATTGTATTCCATCATGTATATGTGCCACATTTTCTTTATCCAGTCTATTATTGATGGACTTTTGGATTAGTTCCAAGTCTTTGCTATTGAGAATAGTGCCACAATAAACATACGTGTACATGTGTCTTTATAGTAGAATGATTTACAAACCTTTGGGTATATACCCAATAATGGGATTGCTGGGTCAAATGGTGTTTCTAGTTCTAGAACCTTAAGGAATTGCCACACTGTCTTCCACAATGGTTGAACTAATTTACACTCCCACCAACAGTGTAAAAGCATTCCTATTTCTCCACATCCTCTCCAGCACCTGTTGTTTCCTGACTTTTTAATGATTGCCATTCTAACTGGTGTGAGATGGTATCTCATTGTGGTTTTGATTTGCATTTCTCTAATGACCAGTGATGATGAGCATTTTTTCATGTTTGTTGGCTGCATAAATGTCTTCTTTTAGGAAGTGTCTGTGTATATCCTTCACCCACTTTTTGATCGGGTTGTTCGTTTTTTTCTTGTAAATTTGTTTAAGCTTTTTGTAAATTCTGGATATTAGCCCTTTGTCAGATGGATAGATTGCAAAATTTTCTCCCATTCTGTAGGCTGCCTGTTCATTCTGATGATAGTTTCTTTTGCTGT
Source organism: Homo sapiens (assembly GCF_000001405.40). NCBI lineage: Eukaryota > Metazoa > Chordata > Mammalia > Primates > Hominidae > Homo > Homo sapiens. The sequence continues at coordinate 57,468,389 of NC_000004.12, forward strand.
GCAGAAGCTCTTTAGTTTAATTAGATCCTATTTGTCAATTTTGGCTTTTGTTTCCATTGCTTTCGGTGTTTTAGACATGAAGTCTTTGCCATGCCTATGTACTGAATGGTATTGCCCAGGTTTTCTTCGAGAATTTTTATGGTTTTAGGTCTTATATGTAAGTCTTTAATCCATCTTGAGTTGATATTTGTATAAGGTGTAAGGAAGAGGTCCAGTTTCAGCTTTCTGCATATGGCTAGCCAGTTTTCCGAACACCATTTATTAAATAGGGAATCTTTCCCCATTGCTTGTTTGTGTCAGGTTTGTCAAAGATCAGATGGTTGTAGATGTGTGGTGTTATTTCTGAGGTCTCTGGTCTGTTCCATTGGTCTATATATCTGTTTTGATACCAGTACCATGCTGTTTTTGTTACTGTAGCCTTGTAGTATAGTTTGAAGTCAGGTACTGTGATGCCTCCAGCTTTGTACTTTTTGCTTAGGATTGACTTCACTGTGTGAGATCCTTTTTGGTTCCATATAAAGTTTAAAGCAGTTTTCTTCAATTCTGTGACCTAGTCAGTGGTAGCTTGATGGGGATAGCATTGAATCTATAAATTATTTTGGGCAGTATGGCCATTTTCATGATATTGATTCTTCTTATCTATGAGCATGGAATGTTTTTCCATTTGTTTGTGTCCTCTCTTATTTCCTTGAACAGTGGTTTGTAGTTCTCCTTGAAGAGGTCCTTCACATCCCTTGTAAGGTGTATTTCTAGGTATTTTATTCTCTTAGTAGCAATTGTGAATGGGAGTTCACTCATGATTTGGCTCACTGTCTGTTATTGGTGTATAGGAATGCTTGTGATTTTTGCATATTGATTTTGTATCCTGAGACTTTGCTGAATTTGCTTATTAGCTTAATGAGATTTTGGGCTGAGATGATGGCATTTTCTAAATATACAATCATGTCATCTGTAAACAGAGACAATTTGACTTCCTCTCCTCCTATTTGAATAGGCTTTATTTCGTTCTCTTGCCTGATTGCCCTGGCCAGAACTTCCAACACTATGTTGAATAGGAGTGGTGACAGAGGGCATCCTTGTCTTGTTCCAGTTTTCAAAGGGAATGCTTCCATTTTTTGCCCATTCAGTATGAAATTGCCTGTGGGTTTGTCATAAATAGCTCTTATTATTTTGAGATATGTTCCATCGATTCCTAGTTTATTGAGAGTTTTTAGCATGAAGGGGTGTTGAGTTTTGTCGAAGGCCTTTTCTGCATCTATTGAGATAATCATGTGGTTTTTGTCATTGGTTCTGTTTATGTGATGGATTACATTTATTGATTTGCATATGTTGAACCATTCTTGCATCTCAGGTACGAAGCTGACTTGATCACGGTGGATAAGCTTATTGATGTGCTGCTTGATTCGGTTTGGCAGTATTTTACTGAGCATTTTTGCATTGATGTTCATCAGGGATATTGGCCTGAAATTTTCGTTTTTTGTTGTGTCTCTGCCAGGTTTTGGTATCAGGATGATGCTGGTCTCATAAAATGAGTTAGGGAGGATTCCTCTTTTTCTATTGTTTGGAATAGTTTCATAAGAAATGGTACCAGCTCCTCTTTGTACCTCTGGTAGAATTCAGCTGTTAATCTGTCTGGTCCTGGACTTTTTTTGGTTGGTAGGCTACTAATTACTGCCTCAATTTCAGAACTTGTTTTTGGTCTATTCAGGGATTTGACTTCTTTCTGGTTTAGACTTGGGAGGATGTACGTGTCCAGGCATTTATCCATTTCTTGTAGGTTTTCTAGTTTATTTGCATAGAGGTGTTTATAGCATTCTCTGATGGTAGTTTGTATTTCTGTGGGATCAGTGGTGATATCCCCTATATCATTTTTTATTGCATTTATTTGATTCTTCTCTCTTTTCTTCTTTATTAGTCTGGCTAGCGGTCTATTTATTTTGTTGATCTTTTCAACAAACTAGCTCCTTGATTCACTGATTTTTTGAAAGGCTTTTCGTGTCTCTATTGCCTTCAGTTCCACTCTGAGGTTAGTTATTTCTTGTCTTTTGCTAGGTTTTGAATTTGTTTGGGGCATTTAGTCCATTTACATTTAAGATTAATATTGTTATGTGTGAATTTGATCCTTTCATTAACATGCTAGCTGGTTGTTTTGCCCATTAGTTGATTCAGTTTCTTCATAGTGCCGATGTTCTTTACAATTTGGTAGGTATTTGCAGTGGCTGGTACTGGTTGTTCCTTTCCATGTTTAGTGCCTCCTTCAGGAGCTCTTCTAAGGCAGGCTTGGTGGTTATAAAATCTCTCAGCATTTGCTTGTCTGTAAAGGATTTTATTTCTCCTTTGCTTATGAAGCTTAGTTTGGCTGGATATGAAATTCTGGTTTGAAAATTATTTTCTTTAAGAATGTTGAATATTGGCCCCGACTCTCTTCTAGCTTGTAGGGTTTCTGCAGAGAGATCTGCTGTTAGTCTGATAGGGTATCCCGACCTTTCTCTCTGGCTGCCCTTAACATTTTTTCCTTCATTTCAACCTTGGTGAATCTAACGATTATGTGTCTTGGGGTTGCTCTTCTCAAGGAGTATCTTTATGGTGTTCTCTGTATTTCCTGAATTTGAATGTTGGCCTGTCTTGCTAGGTTGGGGAAGTTCTCCCGGATAATAACCTGAAGAGTGTTTTACAACTTGGTTTCATTCTCCCCATCACTTTCAGGTACACCAATCAAACATAGGTTTGGTCTTTTCACATAGTTCCATATTTCTTGGAGGCTTTGTTGGTTCCTTTTTATTCTTTTTTCTCTAATCTTGTCTTCTTGCTTTATTTCATTAAGTTGATCTTCTTTTTTTTTCTCTTATTGTTCCTTTATATATTTTTTATTATACTTTAAGTTATAGGGTACATGTGCACAATGTGCAGGTTTGTTACATATGTATACATGTGCGATGTTGGTTTGCCGCACCCATTAACTCGTCATTTACATTAAGTATTTCTCCTAATGCTATCCCTCCCCACTCTCCCCACCCCACAACAGGCCTCGGTGTGTGATGTTCCCCTTCCTGTGTCCAAATGTTCTCATTGTTCAATTCCCACCTATGAGTGATAACATGCGGTATTTGGTTTTTTGTCCTTGCAATAGTTTGCTGAGAATGATGGTTTCCATCTTCATCCATGTCCCTACAAAGGACATGAACTCATCATTTTTTATGGCTGCATAGTATTCCATGGTGTATATGTGTCACATTTTCTTTCATTAAGTTGATCTTCAATCACTGATAGCCTTTCTTCTGCTTGATCGATTTGGCTATTGATACTTGTGTATGCTTCACGAAGTTCTCGTGCTGTGTTTTTTATTTCCATCAGGTCATTTATGGTCTTTTCTACATTGGTTATTCTAGTGAGCAATTTGAATAACCTTATTTCAGAGTTCTTAACTTCCTTGCCTTGGGTTAGAACATGCTCCTTTAGCTCGGAGGAGTTTGTTATTACCCACCTTCTGAAGCCCACCTCAGTCTATTCGTCAGACTCATTCTCCATTCAATTTTGTTCCCATGCTGGCGAGGAGTTGTGATCCTTTGGAGGAGAAGAGGCATTCTTGTTTTTGGAATTTTCAGGCTTTTTGCGCTGGTTTCTCCCCATCTTTGTGGATTTATCTACCTTTGGTCTTTGATGTTGGTGACCTTCAGATGGGGTCTTTGAGTGGACGTGCTATCCTTTCTGTTTGTTAGTTTTCCTTCTAACAGTCAGGCCCCTCTGCTGCAGGTCTGCTGGAGTTTGCTGGAGGTCCACTCCAGATGCTGATTGCCTGGAGATCACCAGTGGAGGCGCAGGATAGCAAAGACTGCTGCCTGTTCTTTCCTCTGGAAGCTTCGTCCCAGAGGGACACCTGCCAGATGCCAGCCAGAGCCCTCCTGTATGAGGTGTCTGTTGGCCCCTAATGGGAGGTGTCTCCCAGTCAGGATACATGGGGGTCAGGGACCCACTTGAGGAGGCGGTCTGACCCTAAGCAGAGCTCGAACACTGTGCTGGGAGGTCCGCTGCTCTCTTCAGAGCGGTCAGGCAGGGACGTTTAAGTCTGCTGAAGCTGCACCCACAGCTGCCCCTTCCCCCAGGTGCTCTGTTCCAGGGAGATGGGAGTTTTATCTATAAGTCCCTGACTGGGGCTGCTGCCTTTGTGTCAGAGATGCCCAGCCCAGAGAGGAGAAATCTGGCAGTCTGGCTATAGCAGCCTTGCTGAATTTCAGTGAGCTTTGCCGAGTTCGAGCTTCCTGGCTGCTTTGTTTATACTGTGAGTGTAAAACCACCTACTCAAGCTTCAGCAATGATGGATGCCCCTCCCCAACAAGCTCCAGTGTCAGGGTTGATCTCAGACTGCTGCTGTGCTGGCAGCGAGAATTTTAAGCCAGTGGATCTTAGTTTGCTGGGCTCTGTGGGGGTGGGAGTCGCTGAGCCAGATCACTTGGCTCTCTGGCTTCAGCACCCCTTTCCAGGGAAGTGGATGGTTCTGTCTTGCTGGTGATCCAGGCGCCATAGGGGTATGGAAAAACAAACAACAACAACAACAAAAACTCCTGCAGCTAGCTCAGTGTCTGCCCAAATGGCTGCCCAGTTTTGTGCTTGAAACCCAGGGCCCTGGTAGGGTAGGCACCAGAGGGAATCTCCTGGTCTGTGGGTTATGAAGGTCATGGGACAAGCTCAGTATCTGGGCCGGAGTGCACATGGTTCCTCAGGCTCAGTCCCTCACAGCTTCCCTTGGGTAGGGGAGAAAATTCCCTGACCCCTTGCTCTTCCCAGATGAGGTGACAGCCCACTCTGCTTTGGCTTGCCCTCCGTGGGCTGCACCCCCTGTCCAACCAGTCCCAGTGAGATGAACCAGGTACCTTACTTGGAAATGCAGAAATCATCTGCCTTCTGCATTGATCTCGCTGGGAGCTGCAGACCAGAGCTGTTTCTATTCAGCCACCTTGCCAGAAATTCTATTTTTTGTCTGTTCTCTTATTGCGCATTTAGTACAACCAGCTTGAAAAACTATTTGTTGTGTTTCTCTAGGAACCCCCTTTCCTCTACAAAACTCCTAAAGAATAGATAATTGTCTATATTTCTTCAAATCTTTGGCATCCCGGAAGTACCTTGAATAAATCATCAAGTTTTAGGGCTAAAGGAATCTCAGAAATCATCTAATCCCTTTCATTTGATGGATCAAGAAGTTGAAACCCAGAAAAAAATGAGTGTCTTCCTGGATCTCTCAGCTGCCAATTTGTTATCTGTTCAGGTATCCAGCAAGATGATTATTTTTGTGGTTGATGATGATGAATTAGATTTCCATGACTTTATTAGAGAAAAATCTTCCTGTTAATGTAGTCTAATGGGTGACATTATTCTTTGAGGATTCAAGGATGAGTCTGATTTATTCATACCCTTTTTGCTAATAACAAAAGGCTAAGTTAATGTACTTTGTTTTCCTCCCACGAGAAACCCCAGCAAATTCTACAAAATATTTGAGCCCCAGAATGAACTCATGCATTCAGTGTAATAGCAGCACTGGCTGTAGTAAGCATGTTTTTCTTTCTTCTTCTTCCCCTACCTTTTAAATTTTTTTGAGAACATAGCATAGGTAGACCAGCTCTCAGTTGGAGAATAAAGTAAGAAACAATTTTTTCTTCCTAAGCTATGCATGCCCTCAGTTTATACCACATGTCTTTATAGGCCACCCTCTTATTTTCTATTCTCCCATAAATAATGGTTAAGTCCTTGATAGTGCCTTCAAATGTGGAGTAAAGAATGCAAGCCATGCAGAATGCAAATTATTTGCTCAACTGGGGTACATGGGAATTTGGAGATGACAAATCCTTTACTAAGATCTCCATGCTTAAAATAGGTTGCAAACTCAATGCAGAGGTCTCATAGGTAATGCAAATGAGTAAAATCATCTCAGTTGACACTAGGAACCTGGACAGTGAAAGCCCTAATATGATGATAGCTCCTTCTCAAATCCAGTCATTTGTTGCTATGAGGGAATTTGTACAAATTGTACCCAGTTGTCTGATTTTCCATGCCAGTGCATAAATCTAGGTTTTTATGTGACGTGTATCAAATCTGAAATAATGAGCATAGATTTAAAGTTTTAAAACTCTATGCAGGCAAATAAATGAACAAAATACTCTTCAAGACTGGCCTGAAGTTCTGTTAGCTTGCAACTTCTTGTTTCAAACATTCTAGAAAATTTCTTCTAGTTATTAGATATGTAAACTAATCAATCTATTATCAATAGTTTGGAGGTATTTTGTGTGTGTCAAATATTATTTAGGATATTTAAGGGAACTTACAGAAATTAAAGGCATGTTTTGGTCTGCAAAAATCTTTCAGTCTAGTTGGATAACATGAAATCCCTTACGAAAACATAACTAAGAAGTTACAGCGTAAATGCAAAGTGAGGGAGCCTACAAGTTAAATGAAGTCTCTAGACCCCACCCTTTGAGGCCAAGTTATGCCTCACCTATGAGTTACATAATATGCTCTGCAAGCATGTACATCTCTCTGTAAGTCCATTCAGCTCATTATAGTACAATTAAGAATTAAGAACCTGCTTGAATCTTTTAAAATTCAAAACTTTGAGATCTGACTGTCACAATTTATATTTCGACTTCCCACCCTTAGCACAGTGACTGTACATGACAGTGTAAACTAAATGTTTGTTGAATGAATCAATAGCAAATTGAATTTTATAGGAGTAATTGATCATTACAAATGATTCATTAATTGGGAAGGAAATGGTGCAGATGGTAAAGAAAAACTTTGTAGAGAAAGTAACATTTTAAGTTGGACTTTGATGTGAGTGAATAGGATTCCATACATGGAGAACACTATGGAGAATATTTTAGATGGGCAACATTACCAATGAGGTTATAATGAGACTAAATAGACTGACTGATTTGGAATATGGAATTCCATTTTTATACCATAATTTTATTTGAATATGGTTTTGAGATGGTTCATATATTGCACCTCAATGTTATGTGTCCATACTTTTCAGAGTATTCCCATCTCAGTTGATTAGCACATTTAGTAATACACCCGTCATCCTCCAGGGAGATGAGGCTAAAGAGGTGGGGTTGTGTTTGTTGTAATGATAAATTTTTCCTTTATCCACTTCATTAATTGGGAGATGAATACTGAGCAAGGGGAAATGTTTTATTAGCTAGAAACAATTTTGAATTGCTTATTTCCCTCTTTATAGTGCTGATAAGGCATAATTTTTAGAGATGGCTAATATGAGAAGCTAATAGCTTTTAGGGATTGGGCTTTATTCTTTCAAGCATTTCCCTATTTTCTGGTTAATTGAATGTTCTCAAGAAGCCCTAGTGGGGAAATTTATCCCTCTGGGATGGATGGTGCCTCCTCTACATAACATGCCCAACAAGGAATTGGGTTGAGAGAACTAGAATTGAGCTTTCTACAATTTTCTGGGTGCCTTTGTAACATGGAAATCTTGTCCATAAAATTCTCTGTCCTTGAAATTTTCTTTACCTCTTCTCTGATATCACAGCCTTATTCTAGAAGCTTCTTGAAGTTCTTTATAGAGCAAAAGGATAGTTACATGTCAGAGCCCAGATCACTGTTAGCTGTAGGCTTTTTCTTGGAGACTATGACAATAATATTTTAAGAATTCAAAAAAGTAAAATTATCAGCAAGTTTAAAGGCTTATTTTTTTACTGTAATTTTATTTATTCATGTGTATTCCAAGTGATCAATCATTCTGCCAAGCATCTTGTACTAAATGTGCTAATGAACTAGTGAATCAAATATTTTGAAAGTATGGACATGTATAACATTGATTTTCAATATTTGAATCACATCAACAATCTTCTCAAGGAAAACAACTTTATAAGGATGGATTTCCATATACTTTATTAATAGTTGGCAGGCAGAACACTTGTGAGATTCATCACTAATTTATTTCCTTTAACTCTCCATCTCTTCAATTCTCTAAGTCTTTAGTGACAATATTAGTAATAATGGAATTGTAATATTCATTATCTACCGAGTGCTAATGAAGCCGTTCTTTAGGCTTACCTGAATTATTACCATGAGTAATGCACAGGTTTCTCAGGTTATTTTAAGAAATGGATCATTGATACTAGTTGAATGCTGGTAGAAAGCAAACAAACAACAACAAGAAGAAGCAACAGTGAAGGGAAGAATTAAATGGAGAAGAGGGGCAAGGCAATGCACTGTGATGCAGAAAATGTAGAAAGGATATGGAAAAATGAGGATTGAGTTTCAATATGCTCTAACTCTTAACTGGGTGAGCCCCTTAAACTCTCTGAGTCTCAGCTCCTTCATCTCTACACCAGGGACAACAATATCTTTGTATCTCTAACAGGAATGTGAACAATTAAGTGGATACAAATATCTGGAAAGCACCCAGCCCAGAGTAGCCCAAGATAATTTGGTTCTCTTTGTCTTTCCACTTCTCTTCATCCTCTGACCCTCTCTTTTTCTTTTCACTGCTCATTTCTTTCTAAAAATAAAGAGATAAATCTGACTTATATTTGTAGAAATGGATGTATTTGATGTGTCAAATAACACATGGTTTCAAAAGAATGACAATGTTAACTCGGTAGACTGACGAGAATAGGAAGTCAGTTTTGTCTGACACCCAAGCTTTCTTATTTTCTGTCATAGATGGAGAGAAAAATGACATTTGTGGAGTGCTTACTATGTACCAAGCACTGTGCTCATCTAATTTAAATCTCATAATAACTATATTAGTCCGTTTTCATGCTACTGTGAAGAAATACCCAAGACTGCATGTATTAGTCTGTTTTCATGCTGCTGATAAAGACGTACCTGAGACTGGGCAATTTACAAATGAAAGAGGCTTAATGGACTTACAGTTCCATGTGGCTGGGGAGGCCTCAGGATCATGGCAGATGACAAGGAGGAACAAGTCACGTCTTTCATGGATGGCAGCAGGAAAAAGAGAGCTTGTGCAAGGAAACTCCCCCTTTTAAAACCATCAGCTCTCATGAGACTTATTCACTATCACAAGAACAGCATGGGAAAGATCTGACCCCATGATTCAATTACCTCCCACTGGGTCTCTCCCACAACATATGGGAATTCAAGGTGAGATTTGGGTGGGGACAGAGCCAAATCATATCACAGGGTAATGTATTAATATTAAGGAAAGAGGATTAATTGACTCAGTTCAGCATGGGTGGGAAGGCCTCAGGAAAGTTACAATCATGGCAGAAGGAGAAGAAAACACGTCCCTCTTCACATTGCGGCAGCAAGGAGAAGTGCTGAGCAAAAGGGGGAATAGCCCCTTATAAAACCATCAGATCTCATGAGAACTCACTATCACTTGAGGGTAACTGTCACCATGATTAATTTACCACCCACTGGTAAATTAAACCACCCTTCCACAACACACAGGGATTATGGGAACTACAATTCAAGATGAGATTTGCATGGGAACACCAAGCCTAGCCATAATTAATAATTCTGTAAGGTATCAGTGTCTTCATTTTGCAGATGAGGAACTGAAGTGAAGAAAGGTTATTAACTTTCTGATTTTGCACAGGTAATGAATGCATCAACTGTTATTTAGACCATGTTGGCTATTACTACTAAATCATGCTGTCTGTCTCCGTGGCTCTTAGCTGGTGAGAGAAGTACATCTCAATCATCTGTGGAAGCATATGACTGGTTTGAAAAATTTCCCCCAGTAATCCCGATGGGCCCTTCTTTGGGTGGGAACCTTGACCTGGGATCCTTGAGAGTCTCTGCTGGCTCTCCTTTCCAGCCTGGGGAGGGGGAAATACTGACTCTCCTCAGTGATCATCAAAACAACCTGCAAATCTGAAGCAACATTATTTATTTTTTAATGGATTTCGAGTCCTTTGTGGATGTTTTCTGAGTAATGTTTACCAAAGCAAATGCATTAAAGAATTAAAACTTGAGTATAGTATCTTTAGGATCTATTTTAGAATAACAAAAAAAAAAATAAGAGAACAATGTTTACATCTTTTTTAAGGCAAGAGAAACCTTTTTCTTACAGTTTGGCAGAAGAGATGAGGAGGTAATCATGGGCACTGGTGCTGTTGTTTACTAGCTGAGGTGCCAAAGATACCAATCTGTCAAGAAAATGTGTAGGATGTTGATCAAGCCTGGAGCCTCTGACACTGAACAACCCGCTGGGGACTAAAGATGCCACTCCAGTGAGAGAGCACCTGCCTGATGGTGCACTGCATCTGTGAGGAGGAATTTCCATCCATCTTCCCACTGAAAAATAGGGCTTTTATTACAGCTGAGAAAAGGGCACGAGAAAATTGCCTTAATCTTCAAAACAGGAGATGCAACCTTAGTGTTACATACGTCAGAAACTCTTCTTGAAAGATCGTTTCATTTTGGACTTTGACAAACCAAAGCAACTGGCATTTTAAATACAATGAAAATAGTCACCTTTCACCCCAGCCACTCCTGAGTGTAGGTCTAAAAAGGCAGATATTTGAATAGGGCAAAGATATGGCTTCAGGCTTCCATGACCTGTATCTTCTCCTTTTTTTCTCCCTCATCAATGCTGTAAGTTGTCTCTAATATCATATATATTATATATATCATATATATTATATAATTATTATATGTTATTATATATTATAATATATAATATATAATATATATTATATATTATATATAATATATATTATATATTATATATTATATAATATATATTATATATTATATATAATATATATTATATATATAATATATAATATTATAATATATATTATATATAAAATATATATTATATATATAAAATATTATATTATATACATTATATATATAAAATATCATATATATATATAGCCACCTACTAATAGGTATATAATTGTTGGGTAATTACATTCTTTTGTTGATAGATACTAGACATTGGGAAAAAAAACTTGGACTTGGGCTGCTGTAAGGATACCAACTTCCCAGGAGCTCATGAATTGACATTTGCAGTGCACCTGGGGAGGTGTCACACCATGCCCAGAGCCTAGAGAAAATGACAGGGACATGAGCATCACCTGGAGACAAGATCTTCCTTGTGGGGTGAAGGTAATATTGTTTTAGACTTGTTCTTCCTCTCTACCCTATGTAAAAAGCAAAAATACTCTATTTGTTTTGCATATACGTTGTCATGGTGATAGAGGTGAAAATGCAAGATGAGCAGAGTTTGAGAAAATAAGGCAAAGGGTTTTTATCTCTCTACAACTTTGTCTGAAAGCACTCTTTTTTGTTGAGCTTAAGACATGGGATTACTTATGGCCATGTTGCTGGTAGGCATCTTAGGAACTGGACAGTAGGGAATGCTAATCATTGGTCTATGATTCCAGAACGGCTAAAGCTTCCAAGAACAGTGTCTGGGGTAGTCTCTGGAGCTTAAGAACACAGATAAGGCCGTTGCTTGTTGTCCGCTGGGTAGAACAGCTAGCAGTAATTAAACTCTTTACTTTTCAGTTAATTTCTTTGATATTAGGAGTTGTGTAATTATTCTCATTATTCTCCCCCGTTCCCACCTTCTCCACTGCCTTTTTCTGATGTTCTTAGGGAGGCACTATGATGATCACTTGGAAGGTTTGCTTCAAGAGTGCATCAAGTTTGTGTAAACTATTCCTCTACCTGCTCACTGCCTCTCCCCCTTCACCTGGTTAACTCCTATTCATGCTTTGGATCTCATTTCAAATGTCATTTCTCCAAGAAAGCCTTCTTGGACATCTCTTTTACCTGGCCCTGTATTTTTTCCTTGCTTATAATTGGTAATTATAACTTGTTTGAAAAATGCAATCTCCCCCTCAAGAATACAGGCTCCATGAGGGCAAAACTGCTCCTGTTTTGTGGACATTACATACAGTAAACCACCCAGCGCCTACAGCAGTGTCTGCCACATGGATTCTAGAAATATTGATGGAAGGAGTCAATGAAGTGCTGCATTACACCTATTGACCGGTGTTCACCAAATGCTTCACGGCAAGCCCTGTGTTGTGTTCTTGGCAATGTAGGGGATATAAAAGAAGTAGAAGCATGGATCATGTTCCCAAAGAGCTTACAACTGGTTGGGGAAAGACAGTTCTTCAGAACAGCAATCTTGTGATTTTTAAAAGTGCATTGATGTGTTAAGTACATTGCTTCAAAACTATTATTAATAGAATAATATTAACGTTTTGCCATAGAAGTGTAATAAGAGCAAAATTTACATCATATGTGTAGACACATTTCTATGGCTTACGGCTACATTTATTTTGTCATATTCTACTACCTTCTTTCTAGTTCTTATGAACATAACTATACGATCTTCTTCCTCTCTTGTTCTATCACCATCACTTCTTTGCATTTATTCTGGTCTTGTCTTAGTCCATTTGCGTTGTGTTAAAGGAATACTTGAGGTTGGATAATTTATAAAGAAAATAGTTTATTTGGCTCATGTATCTGCAGGTTGTTTGAGAAGCATGGCATCATCATCTGCTTCTGGTGAGGGCCTCAGGAATCTTCCATTCATGGTGTAGGGTGAAGGGGAGCATCACATAGTGAGAAAGGAAGGAAGACAGAGAGGGGAGGGAGGTGCTGCATTCTTTTCAACAATCAGTTCTTGTGAGAACCAATAGAGTGAGAGCTCACTCATTCCTGGGAAGACAGCACCAAGCCATTCATGAAGGATTCACTCCCATGACCCAAACACCTCTCACCAGGCCCACCTCCAACACTGGGGACTAAATTTCAATGTGGGACTTGAGGGGGCGGCAAACAAACCCTATCCAAACCACAGAAGGTCTCATTGTGCACTGCTGTGACTGGTGATTTGAAAAGTTGTTTGACAATATATACCATGATAAATCCAGACAGTTTAGAAAGACAACTATTTATAGGTAGAGGTCTCATTCTTATGTGGGATATAAAATAGTTGATCTAATAGAAGTAGAGAGTAGAACAGCAGTTACCAGAAGATGGGGAGAGGTTGGTCAATGGGTGAAAGTTACGCTTAGATAGGAGGAATAAGTTCTGGTATTCCATTGCACAGTAGGGTGACTATAGGCAACAATAATATATTGTGTACTTCAAAATAGCTAGAAGAGGTTGGGCGAGGTGGCTCATGCCTGTAATCCCAGAACTTTAGGAGGCTGAGTCGGGCAGATCACCTGAGGTCAGGAGTTCAAGACCAGCCTGGTCAACTTGGCGAAACCCTGTCTCTACTAAAAATACAAAAATTAGTCCAGCATAGTGGTGGGTGCCTGTAATCCCAGCTACTCAGGAGGCTGAAGCAGGAGAATTGGTTGAACCTGGGAGGCGGAGGTTGCAGTGAACTGAGATCACATGACTGCACTCCAGCCTGGGCAATAGAGCGAGACTCCATCTCAACAACAACAACAACAACAACAACAACAAATAGCTAGAAGAAAGAATTTTGAATATTCTCATCACAAACAAATGGCACATGTTTGAAGTGATGGATATGCCAGTTCCCCTAATTTGATCATTATACAATATATATGTGTATCAAAACATCATACTGCACTCCATAAAGAGTTATTATTTCAATGAAATAGAAAATAAAACTTATAAAATGCAGAAGGAAATAAATTAGAAATTTGTTAAAACCTTGAAAAAGAGATCGACTTTCTATGGTTTAAAATGAGAGAAGAAATGATAAGAAACAAACCTATGGATTTTAGTTGTGAAAATCTTTAGTTCCTTTATCAGCAAAGTGTTAAGTATAGCTGGCACAGAGTAAATATACCAAAATGTTATTTATTATTATTGTTTTATTATTGTGTTGTAACACTAGACAAACTTTTTAAAAACAGAAAATACAGCAAAGTATACAGTTAATAGTTTTTTCTTAATTTTAAAATATTAATGACAATAAAGATTGTATATATTCAAGGTGCTTAATGTGATAATTTGATATATGCATACACTGTGTAATGATTATCAAAATCAAATTAATATACATGTCCATACCACCCATGCTGTACATCAGATTCCTGAACTTTATCTTATAACTATGTTAGTGTCCTTTGACCAAAATCTCCCCATTTCCCCCAACCCTAAGCTCCTGGCAACCCATCGTTCCACTCTATGTTTCTGTAAGTTTGACTTTTTTAGGTTTCACATATAGGTGAGATCATACAGTATTCATTCTTCTGTGTCTGGCTTATTTCGCTTAGCATAATGTCCTACAGGTTCGTCTATGTAGTCACAAATGGCAGGATTTCCTGCTTTTTCATGACTGACTAATATTCATTGTATGCGTGTGTGTATGTGTGTATATATATATACGTATAATATGTACATCTGGCATTTTCTTGATCTAGTCATCTGTACATGGACAAGTAGACTGTTTCCTTACCTCGGCTATTGTAAACAATGCTGCAGTAAACATGGAGGTGTCAATATCTCTTTGAGCTACTGATTCCATTTCCTTTGGGTATATATCCAGAAGTGGGATTGCTAGAGTATATAGTAGTGCTACTTTTAAGTTTTTGAGGAATCTCCATACTGTTTTCCATTCTGCTGTATGATGTCAATAGTTTAAGAGTTCATGCTCTTCATAATTAGACAAAAGTCCCTATATACCTAATGTTCAAAAGAATAAATCCTAGAAAATATACATATAGAAAAAATATTCCATCTCCTTAGGTTCGTATATTAAGTTTAGTGAATAGGATCACACAAGTAATAAAACCATGTAAGTTGGAAAGGGATTTGATAGTATACATGAACAATAAACCATGCTAAGAAATCATCACCTAAAACATTGAAAACCCATGTGCTCAGAGAATTTCACCACAGCATTGTTTTTCATATTGGTGAAAAACCAGCATCCACTTACAATTTAACAACAGAGAAACAGTTAAAGTATTTTTTATTTATGTGCCCAATATCACAAAACTATGAAAAAGGTCAGGTACAGAATTTTAAGCAACAGTATATACAGATGAGATTAGCTTTGGAGGCAATGTGGCAGTATTTATCATAATTTCAAGTATCCCCTGACCCACTACTTTCACTTCCGGGTATCTGTTTAATATAGCATGTGCAAAAAGACACATGTACA
The DNA here is from genome assembly GCF_000001405.40 of Homo sapiens. Taxonomy (NCBI): domain Eukaryota; kingdom Metazoa; phylum Chordata; class Mammalia; order Primates; family Hominidae; genus Homo; species Homo sapiens. The sequence goes on from NC_000004.12 coordinate 57,483,483, forward strand.
ACATACACACTGCTTGTAAGGGTGTTGATTTTAGAGCAAAAAGTAGAAATAACCTAAATATCGGGGTGTGGTTGAAATGAGTTTTGATTTTTAGTGTGATGGAATGTTATATAGGCAATCAAAAGAATGATGTTCCAGTGTGGAAAAATGTCCAAATTATACTGTTAAGTTTAAAAAATCAAACTGCTAAATAATATGTATGATATGACCTATTTTTATAAAAACAGGACAAGCTATATATGTGTCATTCAAACACATGGCTATGTATAAATCCATAGAATAAATTTGAGAACAACATGCACCAAGATGCTTCCAGATCTGGCCTCTGGGAAGGTAGAAGGTTTGGGAATGAGAGATGAGAAATGATGGAAATTTTCATTTGTTACTCGTTAGGCACTTCTGAATTTGTTTAAAACAAAGACTTAAAATAATGTATTTATTTCATAACATTAAAAGAATGTAAGAACAAAAACTTAAAAAAAAGCAATTATGGTTATTTTACTTCATGAGATTAAGGGCATTGTTTTTTCTTTTTGTTTTCCTTCACAACTTCTAGGAGGTTAGACTCTTTTCATCTTTAAAATTCAGAAATAAAGTTTTTATTAGGTACAACTTTTCCCCTTGGACAATGGCTTGCAACCTCAGTTTTATAACATGCAGTGGGAAGAGGATGGGAGGAGGACCTTGGTTATCCCAGCTGGGATTATAAAATTCCTCTCAACTGGAATAGTTTCAATTTACATAAGATGAAAGTTCACATAATTTTAAACATTCTTATCCTCTCCTTACTTTTTCTGGTTGGGGGCAGAGAGGTTGGGGTAGGGCAGTTGTCACATAACAAGCAATAGGGATTTTCAGTTCTCTAAAGGCTGGAGATCACTGCTTTAAGAACTAACCACCTAAGACAGATGACATGTGACACAGCTATAAAAAAAGACAAGTAGACAACTTTACAACTATTGAAAAAATGAAGTATTTACATTATGCATGAATAATATATCTTTGTGCACATCTCCTGGGTGAACTTGTCAAGTTTTCTCTCTCCCGTCTGCTTTGGTGTTTATTTTCAAACCATTTCCACCCTGGAAAATCTTTCTGTATTACTTTGGACCCTCTGGAAATGGCTATGACATACACTTTTCTCCTATCCAGTGTTTGTAAGGCTTCATTTCCCCATACTTTTCACTTTCTGATTTGTTAGTTTAATTTAAGCTAGATGCTGACTGAATAAGGATGATTCCATCTACCTTAATGTTCTTTGTGTCATCCTCACCACATTCTGGCATCTAATGATTAAATAATTTACCACCACTGCAGGAAATATTTTCTGAGACCTTACATATAAACTGGTTTAAACACCCTCCTCAGGAACACCCAAATGGTTGAAGTCACTCCTAACCATATTATTTTCAAAATAGCAGCAGCAACAACAACAAAAACAACACTGAGAAACAGTAATGGTTGTTTCAGGTAAAGAAATTAAGGGTGATTCTCTCCTCTCTTTTCACCACTATTAACACCATGTGGTTAGACTCCTACATGTTTAGAATTCAGAGGGAAAGATCCAGAAATAAAACAATCAGCAGTTATTTGCTTTAAAAATAATAGTTGCAGACCGGATCAACCCCAGAGCCTTTCTTCATGCCTTTCTTTTGTGTTGTAGAAACTGCCTTAGATTTGTGTGCTGCGTGTGTTTTCCCATGTTACTATTTCTCACACTGTGTGGAAATTCCAGCAAGGGTATTAATAATTCAACGTAAAGGAGGAACAATATTATGGTTGAAAATTAGCCTGAGAAAGGTGAATGTAACCTTTTTATACAAGAAAAATAATGGGTGAGAAGGAGCCAAATTAGCTGAACAAAGAGCTGCATAATGACGTGATACACAAATAGGAATGTCATATAAATTGGAAACTAGAGCGTGCGCTGAAGAAAAATGTGGAGACAATCACTTTTAAGTGTAAAATCAGAAGAGTTAAGGCAAGAAACAAGATGCTACCAGCAAGATATTAAAAAGCAATAATATTTCAGAGGCTTAATCTCTCCACGTCTCTTTTAAGCTCAGGTACATAGCAGGCTCCCAAAGGTGTCTGAGCCTAAGTAGGGTGTTCAGGATTGTTTTTCCTTGCCACCATGGTTGGTGTCAAAGGAAGTGGATGGTTCACTTGGAGAACCCATGTGCTGGAGACCCAGCCTTTGTTCTGATTCTGTTTGCTGTGGCAGCGAACTTGAACATTTGCAGCAGCACTAGTACCTAAAGCCAGGAGCCTGGCACCTCTCCCTGAAGCCTGAACCAGATCCTGGGCAGTGGTGTGCCTTTCAAATCTTATCCTTGGCTCCTGGGTGAGTAAAAATCCTGTCTTTTCCTAAAGGCCGACCTTGGCATAGAGCTCACCTCCTCCCTTTCTCCCAATTTTCCCTTGGGCTGGAGTGGGGTTATAGCATAGGTGAGTTTCATAGCTGGAATGTCAGGCTCAGCCATTGTTTTGCATTTTCCCATGGTAGACATTTCCTGTCTTACCCTCAAAAGTCCAGGTTTTATCTTTTTTCTTCTTTCTTTCTCTTTTTAAAAAATATGTCAGCAGAAAAGGATCTGATAACACTTAATGACTCTAAGGTAAAGTGCTGATAAGGTTTGAATTGTGACCCAACTTTCTGGTATGCTTGCAACTGGCTTGAAAGCAAAGTGGGCAAAGGATGTCTAACTGAGGCATTATAGCAGCTGGTGGTCTAGTGATTGCAAAACTCTTCACCCCAAATCACTGTTGTAAATAGAGATTTCCCCACTTACAAACCATAAGCCTGAAAAGTCTATATTTATTAAAATGAATTCATCAAGTGGTTTCCCCCATAATCATCTTATGAGTTGATATAATTTGAATCAAAAGCAAAGAAACTTAATATAGAATATGTAGTTTTATACTGGACAAAAGTATAATTTGTTTTAATAATATTGGCTCTTAATCCACAGTTTAAACATTAGCTCAAGACAACATGATTTCTCATCTGCAATACTACAGAGTCTCCTAATTATTCTGTTTACACATTTGCACCTCACTTTCTGCACCTCTACTCTTTATAAAGTAATAGGCTCAAAGCATAATTCATGTCACATCACTCCTCACTTAAAATCCTCCAATGGCTTCCCAGTCCAATTAAGATAAGACACAGGCTGGGTGCGGTGGCTCACGCCTGTAATCCCAGCACTGTGGGAGGCCAAGGCAGGCGGATCACCTGAGGTCAGGAGTTCGAGACCAGCCTGGCCAACATGGCAAAACCCTGTCTCTACTGAAAAATACAAAAATTAGCCGGGTGTGGTGGCATGCACCTGTAATCTCAGCTATCCAGGAGGCCGAGGCAGGGGAATCACTGGAACTCGGGAGGCAGAGGCTGCAGTGAGGCAAGATGGCGCCACTGCACTCCAACCTGGGCAACAGAGCAAGACTCCATCTCATATAAAAATAAAAATAAAAAAGATAAAACCCAAACTTCTTTTCAAGGCAGATCTGAGTGATTTGTCCACAGATTTCCTCACTGATTTAATTTTCTCTTATTCCCCACCTCATTCTCTGAATTATAGCAATGATTTTTCTTTTTTTTTTTTTTTGTTTTGCTTTTTTTTTTTTCTACGTTAAGGCCCTTGTTCCAGCTGTCCATTGTCCATTCTGCCTGGAATTCACTTCCCTGAGATCTTTATGTGACTGCCTTCTTTTTAGAACTTACGTTTCAGTGCCATGTCTTCTTCTCAGAGAGGTTGTTTCTGACCGAAGCCCCCTCAACCCTCACATTCCCCTGCTCACTCAATCTGATTGTTCGTTTTATGTTTCAGTTATTAGCTCTGTCTGAAATCATCTCATTCACTTGTTTATTTGTTGTCTCTTTCCACAAGACCATATGTTTCATGAGAACAGAGTCCTTGTCTTTGGTGCAATTCCAGAGTCTGGAACAATGTATGCCACTTAGTTGGTGCTTAGTAAATATTTGCTGAATATTTGAGGAAAAATAGTAGAAAGTATATCAGCTTAATTTGTACACCCATATAGTATTAGAGCAAGTCACCAGATATCATTTATAAGCAACTGGAAAAACACAGAGCAATGTCTGGAAGTAAGATGTTTTAGTACAATGTTTAGCCTAAAGAAAACAAAGGGGATTTATTTTGGACAGTCCAAAAGTGAATGCACTTAAATCATGGCTGGTTGGATTGGGTTTGTCATCAAGTAACAAAATGAACATCAGTCAAATTGGAGATTTTAGTATGTTTTGTTCTCTTCTATTAAAACAGCACTATTTTTAAATGACTTGGAGCTTGCAGTTCTGTTACAATGACTCGTCAAGTTGAAAAATGTGTTTCTTTAGGGTGGGAAAAGAATTTTAATTCATAATTCATTTATTGTAATGTTTATTAAAACAAAGACATACTCTCTTATACTCTTTTTCATGACATTATGCCTTTTGTCTCTTCTATGTATTATACTTTATATATGTGCACACATATAAATAAGAAATTACAAAATGCAGTTTATGTTAGCAGAAAGAGTTTTTTTTTTTAATATGTCCTTGTGTAGAGTGGAACATGCTCTATTTCATTATAATTTGGCTTGCCATTTTAAGGCATAGAGAGAGTATGAACACAAAGAACATATACTTTTCTGCCTCTCTATTTATGGCTCCAAACAAGAATTTCATTGAGTTCACATTTGAAAATATAACTTAAACAAAGCAGGGACCAAAGATCACAGAGATCTCTGAATTAATTGGATTACTCAGTTTCATACAAACCCAATAAAACAACAGATCCCCTGTAGGGTAGAAGGTATAATCTATGCATTTACCTCTGTGTACTACCCTTCTTACTAAGGTTCTATTACCCTACTGCAATCATTAAGCCTGTGTACAAACCACCAAGCTAAACAAAGAGGCTATTTTTACAGAAGGGGATGAGAGGCAAGGCAAAACATTTTTTAAAATAAAAAATAATTTTTCCTCAAAGCCCAGAACAGTAGCAGAAGGCTTTAAGAACATAAACATAACCAATCTGTCTATTCCAGGGGATAAAGGCTATGTTTCTTAAACATAAAAGAACAAAATTTCTAAGTAGCAAGCAAGTTGGAAGCATTTGCATAATGGATTCTATTTACATAAATTACGTTGCTTATAGCAGTCATCTGATAAGACTTGGCAAAGGTGGAGGCAGAAGTTGAAGTGGAATGAAAAGGGTGAGTGTGTAGTTCTAGGATTCCTTTTAGCCCTTTGTGGACTTTCTCCATTCTTTGAAGTCTGTGTTTATTTAGGGGTTAACGTGTGCATTTGCCCCAAACTTTATAACCATGAGTGTCAAGAAGAATTAGATTTGGTCATTGCTACACGCTCCCCCTACCCTGTTTTGTTCTCTTTTATGAAGGTAAAAATGAGTGCATCTGTCAACTACTGGAGCATGTTAACTCATGTATGTTGGGATTTGACAGCCACTGGCTGTGAATTTTCTCACCATAACAACCAAATGAAAATGTCAGAAATGAATCTTTTTGCTAAGTGCCAGATTTTCTTTCTCATATGCACCATTTCCCTATGACCAAATACAAAGTTTTAGTGTTTTACATAGCTCCAGCCAAGAGCTTATTTCTAATGGTATAACATGATAGCTGACAATGCACAGTCTCTACAAGAATGGGTAAGTACTAGGTATTTTAGGTAGAACTTTAAGTGTGTCTTTATTGGAATCTCAAGTTCAAGAAAGACAGTGTGGCCTCATAGATATCTGGATACAGAGAACTTATGTGTCTAAGTGGGCTATTCTTTAAGAATTTTTGCCTTTCTACTCCAGTTCTCCAGAACCAGTGAGGCTTCATCTGAGGGAAAGAGGTGAATGTTGGAAGGAGCCAGCTGTTCACATCCTGCTTTTTCCCTACTAATTCAAGGTCTTTGATCTGATGAGAATTTGGCATAGCAGGACTTATTTACTCCTGAAGTTCTAGCTTTCTGGAATTTCATAAGCATTGACAAACTACTTCATCCACAGCGAGACTGGGTTTTGCAAATGTGTAAACCTTTGGCCGTGCTTATGGGACTCATTAGGAATGTTTTTGGCTGCAGCTAACAGCTTATCCAACTAAAGGTGTCTTAAGCAAATAAGAATTTATTTTTGTACATAACAAAAAGTTTAGGATTGTACAGTTCTGGCATTTTTTGGCTCCTTAGTGGTGTCACAAGAAACTTAGGTTTTTTTTTTTTCCCTTCTTTTTCCACTCTAACATGCTTAATGTGGTGGCTTTACTTCCCATGCTCATTGCTTCATGATTGCAAGATGGCTGTGACGGCATCATATATGGAGATTTCATTTGATGCAGAAAGAAGGGAAAGTGGGAAAAATGAGCCAGGCCAGGTTTTTTATCAGGAAAAAAAAAATTTATCCCACCTCACCCCACCCCAAATTGTCCCCGCCCTTGCTCTCAGCCACTTTTCTCTCAAGGTTTTTGGTTGTTTTGCTTAGGTTTTGTTGGCCAGAATTGTATAAAATGATCTCTCCTATCTGCAAGTGAGGCTGAAGACATGAGTATTTGGCTTTTACAGGCATCCAATGAAGGGAAGCCAAGGGAAAAATGTACCAAGTGAGTCAAGCAATAAGGTTGCCACATGACCAAGGAATTATAATGCTCAGGATAGATTAACATTATCTTGCATTCAAAGTCAGGAATTGTTCTTCTGAGTAGTTCAGGGCCAGTCTGACTTTTCCCTAATTCCTACTTGCCTCTTAGGAAGAGTGTACACTGATCCTCTGTTTCTTTCTCAGAAGGACGGCTGAAGTTCTTGAAAGATTACTTTCTTCAGGAAGCTGCAATGTGATTCTAAACACACTTTAACAAAGAATATATGGGATGCAGTTTTTAGTAGAAAAAAGGAAATGTTGCTTTCAGTATTTAAAGTTTTGGTGTCACAATGTTGGAGTCAGTTTAGATTTCGGAGAATTTTTGTCTGTCTGTAAACTGCCTTAAGTTATTAACTTATCAACACAACTCCCGATCGTTTCTCCTCCCTCCTGCAGAATGCATATCCAAAACCTTAGGGTATAAACTCTTGAAAACATTTATTCAGCCCCCTCATCTAAGTTTCACCCTATGGCATATTGCATCATTCCTAGTAGAATCTTCCCAACTTGTGCAACAAAGAGAAAGCAATGCATCTTGTAGTGAAAAGACAAATACTTCTCGCTCTTCCTTGGCATGAAGCAGGAGGCTGCCAAGTAAAAGTACCTGGCAGGATTCCCAGAGACAGGGCTTGGGCCACGGGTTGGGCAGAGGAGAAGTTGCTGTCTCATTATTTCATTGTCATGTGGTTGCTGGGCACACTAGCTGACATGAAGAATCAAAGTAAAAATTACCACTGTCAGAGAAGTGATACTAATGGCGGTGAGTCTGTTCAGTCCTTCCCTGTTTTCCAGGGACAGCCGCCTCAATTTAGTGGACCTGTTTCCAGCTTCATTAAACCCCTAGGAAGATGACTGGAATATGCTTCCTGAATTGGTGATGCTGGGTGATTTGTTGTAATAATGGTTTCAGGGCAAGATGAATTAATCACTGTCACTTGAAGGAAGAAGAAGAAAGTGTATTCAAAAGCATCACCATATAATGCCAGCAGGGGGGAAAGAAAGACTGAATGCCAGAAAAACAAGATACTCTTTTAGCCCTTTTAAAAGAGAAAGCATGACAAACATACACCTCAGGGAACCCTAACACAAAAATATCAGAGAAGTGAATAATTCACTCATCATGATGTTTGTCAATAGGAAGTCAATTCTTGCACCATTAGTGTTTGTGTTTGTTAGTCTTCTCCTTGTATTTGTTAGTCTTCTCCTTGTGTTTGTTATTGCCCTCTCCTCATTTCTCTCTTTCAATCTTTCTTTTTATTAGGACTACTGATTGTTTGGGGACATCCGAAATCACTCAGGATTGTGGTGACCAGTTGAACAGAGATATGCCAAAAGCAGGCAGTGATTTATATCCCTGCAGGTGAGATCTGGGTGCTGTCGAAAGGTTTGTTATATCCTCTGATATTCTTTCACATGACCCTACCAGCAGATGTGAGCACACATTCTTGCCTTGGTGTGTCACTCTGTACTCAAGTGTTATCATATCATACAGGGACATTAAAAGAAGAGTTTGATTATACTCTGAGCAACTTTTCTTATTGTGTATGCACATGTGTATACGCTTGTGATTCTATGTGTATAATTACCCCATTGACAGCAACAACAAAAACCTTAAAATGTGTGAGTATATAGGATCATAAGACAAAGAGTGAAAAAAATGGAATCAGAATGAAGAGAAAAAGGAAGTAGAAAAATAAAGCCCTAGAAAATGGTAGTATATATAATAAATGATCTGAAATATAAATTGTTCACTTGAGGTAGGCTGCAAATTTGGCTCTGAGCTTTCTAGCAGCCAAATAAAAGAGATAAACTTGATATTATTGTCAATTCTCTGTAAGGGAAACAAAACAATTGCTGAAAAGAAGCAAAAAACTCTGTCTCATTTTGAAATCTGAGATAATTTTTTCCTATTCCAAAAAGTTTCATTTCATAGGTGCTCTATGTTAAAAAATGTGCTACTGATATAGAAAGTAGGTAGTGCTACAAAAAACAAACAAACAACAAACACATCAATCCAGATTTATCCCTTTCTTTGAAATGTTAAATTGTTATCAATTGGATGGTTACTTAGGGCTCTGGACAGTGAAATAAACGTCACTGAAAGGAGAGCTTCCCATCAATACTTACATGTTTTCATATCAGATGGGTAATGTGCTTATATTGTAACATGGTTTGAGGGAGGCACATCTCACACATGAGCATAAAAACCCAATCATTACATTTTATACATTACAAAAGAATGTTCCCACCAATACTTTCAAGAAAGATTAGATGGCATAAATACTGTCAGTATGTTTTTATTTTTAGAGAATAAGGATGATTCAGAAGCTGAGCTGAGTCATTGAAAAACATTGAAAGAGAACACATGAGAGCCGAAGAGAATCTAGCAATCTGAATGTCCTCCACTCTCTAAAAGACGTTCAGATGACCCCCAGAGAGTTGCCACTGGTTGTGCTGTGTCCACTCAGTCACCAGTCAGAACCTGCAGCCAGCAGCACCTGCTTACTACAAGGTGGTTGACCATGGTCTGTGGACAAGAGGTTAGCTGATAACTGTTGCTATAATTGGTCCTCCTGCACTTAAGAGTTCAGGCATGTCTACAGCATTTGGCCCATAAAGGACAATGCGTAATTCTGTCACTGGGAATACCTCCCAGGATTTGAGTGAACTACCAGTGTCTATCACTCTTTGGCAATTCATACTTATTTTCTTTGTTGGAGGAATACAGCGATCTTTCCGTGTTTTCTGATGTGAAACTTTTGGCTGAATGTTTGGATCTTCTCCCATGTTTAGCATCGTCACAACTTAGTAGATCAGTTAAACATACTGCTAAATAGCAAAGACTAGAAGGTACTAAGGCCTTAAAAAAACTTGGACTTTAATTGTTTGAAATAAAGTGAGTAGGAATGACCCATAAAATGGGCAGAGTTCAAGAGACAAGACAACAAGTCAAATGGGTAGAACCATATGCATGTGTGTATATATACATGCATGTATATAATGTATTCGTCTGTTCTCACACTGCAGTGAAGAACTGCCAAGACTGGGTAATTTATAAAGAAAAGAGGTTTGATTGAATCAGTTCCGCATGGCTGGGGAGGCCTCAGGAAGCTAACAATCATGGCGGAAGGCACCTCTTCACAGGGCGGCAGGAAAGAAAATGAACGCAGAGGAAACTACCAAATCCTTATAAAACCATCAGATCTCATGAGAAATCACTCACTATCATGAGAACAGCATGGGGGTAACCGCTGTCATGATTCAATTACCTCCACCTGGTCTCTCCCTTGACATGTGGGGATTTGGGAATTATTATTCATGATGAGATTTTGAATGTGGACAGAGCCAAACCATAGCATATACATACCATTCTACATATACACTCATATATGTGGAATATATGTAATCTTTTAAAATTACTAGAATTTCACCTCAAAACAGGCCAAGCTATACAAACATTTAGATTTAGTGAGGAAAAATAAATACATAAATAAATAAATAAACAAACTAGAAACACTTTTAGACCACAACCACTAGACATGAAGCAGTCAATCAGCAAATAAAATAATTAAATGAAAAAGCTATTACAGAAGGCACATACTTCATCTCTATGCCCAAGCCATGGTAAAGACAAATGTTTCAGGCACAAACTTAGAAAAATAAGAGAAGCATTAGAAGACCAATGGACCACTGATGTTTTACATCATCTCTTTTTACTGCTGAAAGAATAAACACAAACAAGCCTGTGTGGGTCTTTGGAGACAATTTGGCCATCCTAACAGGTAGAATATTTTCTTTATGGATGTGAAAGCAACCATGCATGCTTTGTAAAAACTGTAAGAAAATGTGTAAAGCCTGGTATTGAAGAGAAGAGATAAAATGGCAAAATGATGAAATGGAACCAGCCATTACAAAATGTCCATTTCTGGCTCAGATGCATTTTTCTCACCATTTCCTTTCCAAAATTGTCCCCTTTCCCCAATTTTCTCTTGATTTCATGCATCAGAGTTAGAAATCAATAGATATTGCTTTATAAAACATTCCTTTGTTGTGTGAGTACAAAACAAGAGAAATAAGGGGATTGGACCAATTGGGGGTTAAACCAGGGTGATGTTGGATAGTGCATGGTGATTTGGTTCTTTAAAGCATGTTGTATAGGGAAAGTTTACAAGATTAATTACTGGGACATTATAGCAAGCAGATAATTTTGGGGAGGATTTTATTATGTTATGTACATGTGACAATATTCTAAGATGGATCAGCAGTAGCTATTTGTTACTTGGTAAACTATTGAAGTTTAAGAATCAAATATTTTCAGCTGGCAATGTTTATCAAAAGATGTTCACATTGTATAAAAGGAGGCAGAACACTAATGATTAATATCAAACACTATTTTTTTTTTTTTTTTTTTTTTTTTGCAGAAGGAGTCTCGCCCTGTCACCAGGCTGGAGTGCGATGGTGCAATCTCTGCTCACTGCAACTTCCACCTCCCGGGTTCAAATTTCTCCTGCCTCAGCCTCCTAAGTGGCTGGGACTACAGGTGCCTGCCGCCATGCCTGGCTAATTTTTTGTATTTTAGTAGAGATGGGGTTTAGGCTGGTCTCGAACTCCTGAGCTCAGGCAATCTGCCCTCCTGAGCTCAGGCAATCTGCCTGCCTGGGCCTCCCAAAGTGCTAGGATTACAGGCATGAGCCACCGCCCTCAGCCACTATCTTATTTTTTAGCCTATCTGAATTAAAAACATAAAGTCTTCTCTATGTATGTTGATGATAAACTTTGGGTTTCAAGGAAAAGAGTCACTCAGGCAACTTCCAAGAATGGGAGGGGAGAAGGGGTTGTTATAGGATACAGTGGAAATAAATCTGGGAGGAATCTCAATCATGTTCCAAGAGCTTGCAGGGGCCCAGAGAAATTCTCACAATGAGGCCTCACAGGAAAAGCAAGAACACCGACAGCAGGAAAGCTTGGAGGCTAAGAGTTCCCTTGGAAGTTGAACTACTGCCTGAGAATATTAAAACAAAAACAGAAACACGTAAATAGCCAGCCCTGAAACGAGCCTCTCAACTTCTGATAGGTTATATTTACATTTATGTACTTTCCTATCACAGTTTATAATCAAGCTAAGGCTAGTAGCCTTGAATATTTTTAGGGCTGCAATTTGTACATCATCTAAGCTAACAGATGAAAAGTGCAAGTGTAGTTGCCTAAGCACAGGTACATTCGTTCAACAACAAATCTTTACCTGAATGTCCATTGTATGTCCGACGCTGTCCTGTATCCTGGGGTGGCAGCCTGGGGACCTGAGAGGACTTTGAGTGGAGCTAAAGAAACAGAAAATAACTTCAACTAATAAATGTCTTTTAATATCTCTTGCAATGGAAATTTTCAGTGGCTTAATTTTTTTACTTGTCTACTTCGAAGGTGAAGTTACTCACAGGCAGGTTTCTTAGTTTACAGACTTAGCTTTTCTTCCACTCCCAGCGTATTATCATTTATCAACTATTGTCATTGAATGTCCTTACACCAGGCATGGTAGATGGCTTTTCAGCTTCCAGGCATCATGTTGTGTCTTTTTATTCTTCAATGGTATTGCTTTAAATTGTAGGCATCCTTGTAATGGGTTTTCTTCTTTTTCTGACCCATAAAAAATTTCTGATAATATTTGTTGAACTCTGATCCCATTAAATTAAAATTTTAGTTATTAAAAGACAAGGTGTCACTTTTCTCAATCTTAGAAACAGATGAGGTCAGCTGCACTCCCTGCCCTCAGAGGCATATGTTAATCAAAGTAGTACAAAGTTAGATTTTTAAGCCACTTCCAATGGACAACTGGTTTAATTTGAGCAGTCATCAAACTGATTGTCATGTACTTGATCATAAGCATTTCTGAATAAAGTTCAGTGCTGGGTAAGATAATGGCTAAAATAACTAGAGCTTTCTATAAATCTCAGACACTATGCTAGGCACTGAGGGAGTAAAGATGAATTTAACACAATTTTTTTAAAAAGTAAGTCTCCTCACAGAGCTTTAGATATATTTTTGATATCAAATAGTTTGAAGGACTAATAAGTGGCCAAGAGTTTGATTTTGAGAAGTAATACAGTATTAAAAGCTCTTCCTAGTGAGATATAATAATTTGTGGGATACTGATTGTGGAGTAAATATAAGGGCTTGAAGAAGAAAGAGAGCTATATGGTTGGGTCACACAATGAAGGCTGTATGTGATAATTATTCCCTCCTACCAGACCCTGGCATTAAAAAAATCACATGAAAAGCCTAAACCAACAAGCAACAATTGAAATGAATATTTGAAGCTACTATACTTTGTAGAAACCTCACATTTACTAATGCTCAATTGGAAGCTAACAAGAAAAAAAAATGTTAGGCAACTGAATTATCTTTACAGGTTAATGAGACTGCCAGAAAGCAACAGAGAAAGTACTTTCAAGAGGGGAATTATTTAACATAATGACATTTCTTTTCATGCAAACCAAATTAATTTCTGGAAATAAGTTAGAAAATACTTACCCCTCCCCACCTTACAGGTTTTTAAACTAAATCACATTAGATCTAGAAAACCACTAAATAGTCCCCCTGCTTATCTTCAGGAGTCTTTAAAATGAAAATGTGGGTGAATGGAGTAGTAAGACTGATGACACCAACAAAGATAGCTCGAAAGTCTATCCATATCAAGGACCAAGCATAAGGTCTGCACTGTCAGTAATTAGCATTCATACTGGGAAAGAAATTACATATTAATATACCGTGTGTTCTTCTATTAGGTGGCTCATTTTTTAACAGTGACATGCCTGTGGACAGAAATGTAATTCTTCACAGAGATTTAAAAAGTTGGGACTACATGCAATTCACCACATTAATCATGTGTTAGATCAAATAAATGCCAATTGTGGGCTTTTTGTATTCATCAAGAGTTGAGCAGCAGTAACACATTCTGTTCTAAAACTGCAAAAGAATAAAATCTGAACTAAAAAAAAGGGGGGGAAAAACCCAAGAACCTAAGAGAAGGATTTTTTTTCCTATTTATTTCTCAAATTCATCTTCTTTTTCCATAATTGAGGTAAAACTTCAGACTAATCTTAGAGTCATCCATCTGGCTAATATGAGTGGTTTGTTGCTATTAATTACTGTAGGAGAGAGGATAAATCAAAATGTATAACAACCATAGGAAATAATTTTAAGAATTTACTGCTATTTAATCAGGGTTGAAAGACATTTTTATGTGAGTGAAACTCTTTTGCTTCAGTGTTGTATAATGCCTGGCAGCAGGAGAGAGGGAGACACCCTTTGTTTCTGATTATATAACACATTCCAATAGAAGCTTATGGTGCACTAAGAGTGTATAAGGCTAATGACCTTTAAATTTTGCAATGCATTTTCAGAGAATTAGAATGTATAAGGGCATAGAACTTCTTACAGTTTATTCTTTAAAAGATAGCAACATTGGAAACAGATTTTAAAGCACTATTCATGAATCTACATTGTGGTATTGTTTAAAATAACATGATGTGAAGCATGAACTGCATTCATACGTGAAAATGAAATCTGAATGCATTCTGTTAATGGAAGGCAAAAGTCAATTGTCATTTAGGTCACTGTGTGACAGTAGGAAATCATTTTAATGAAGGCAGCCCTGTTCAAAACAGTTTGGATTTCAGCATAAAAAAGAATATGAGTTCCCAAACAGGATTTCACTGGAGGCAAATACTATCAAGAGAGCAACTTAAGTGTACAGTAAAATCTCCCACCAGCAAAAAGTTGAATAAGCTTGAATCAACAAAATAGATGGTTTTAAGTATTTTATTCTCCATATTTTTGATGACTATAAAAGTAGTACCCAGCTGCTTGCACTGTGTGAATTTTGGGGGCAGAATTATGCCCATTGCAACCCTTAACCATAGTTAAACACTACGCTCCATTTAATTAAAATTATGCCCAAAGATAAACAATGAAGAACATTGAATCTTCACTGGAGAAAACAAGGGCTGAAGTGTATTAATTAAGCCATTATCAGCAAGTTTCTCCTCCTCTTCGCCTTCTTTTCCCAAATCAGAATCCTTTCTTCAGTTCTCAATTCTGCTTTTCCTCTTCCGTTCTTCAGAATTAGCTATCAGACTATTAAGAAATAAAATCCTTCCAGTTAAAGGTGCTCTTGTGGAAGATTTAATGGTAATCAGGACTTCAGGTTCCCACATTTCCAGTCTTGCTTAAAAGACAGCACATTTTGGCAAGGAGCTAAGAAAGTACAGTCCTTAGTTCAATCTGCATTTATTCAAGGCCGTGCTGTATGCCCTTGGGCAATCAAAGAGTCTCGGAATGTTTGCCAAGTGTCATGTTGTTGAGCTTGCTGCTGCCATCTTCTCTCACCCAGGAAGGCTGAGGAGGAAGATGCCGACCCCAGGGAAATCAAGTCAAGTTTATTCAGCGTTCAGTCTCAGGCTATTGGTTAAAGAGACAATGGGAGTTCTGGATACAGAGGCTCTTCATTTCTCATCTCTCCCATCTTTCCACTTAGTAGAGAAGGGCAATTGAATCAATGTGGTGAGATTTATTAATGCATGAAAATAAAAAAAGTTCATCATATGCCTGTGTATCAAAATGTTGTAATTCTTTCCTATTACATACATTCTGTAGAAACGTGTGTTTTTTGTTTGAGAATAGTGAAGAAAAAATTATCCAAACTATAGTATAATGTAATATGCAAAATCCTTAGCATTGCTGGGAGCCCTGCCCCCAGTCCATCTGTTGTGTTTTCGAGTTAAAAATATCTAAGTTAGTAGACATCAAGTAAAACAAATATTAGAAAAAGAGACAATTGAAAGATGATAAGACAGAATGATTTAAATGTCAACTTAGGAAGAATTTTCTGACCTTGGCAAATTAATTTCTGTAAGTCTCAGTTTCGTCATCTGTAAAACGGAGGTGGTAAAATTAAGGACTTTTAATTGGATGGAGTGAAATGACGTATCTAAAGAGCTTAGCATATTGCCTGGGCGAAATTAAATGCTGATCATTAATAATGTTAAAGTATTATTAAAAAACCCCCACACGACTAGACCCTTAACATTCCTCGTAGGTATTTTATTGAAGTTATTCACTCTTCTATAAAACAAAACAAACAAACATGCACAGAAAACCTCTATGTTTCTTTCTTTTTTTGTCTTTCTCTGTAGAAAGGTATTTTCTGTTGCCCAGGAAATTGCATTAGGGCCCATAGATGAAAATAACAGGTATTAAGCATTCCTACTTAAAAATAATTTTCCTAATTAAAAAATTTCCTAATTAAAAAATAATTTTCACATTTGGGGACAGACTTATGTTTACAAGGCTTAATAAGGGGTACAGAAGTACCACTAGCCACCACCAAATCACACCTTTCTCAGCCCATTTAAAAAGACTGGGGAGCGGGGAAAGAGCCTCCAGGGTCAGCCTTAAAGCAGTATTTGTACTTTGGGAGAAGGATGGGGTGCTAAGCTCTACCCAAAGTCAAGTGAGAGGAGCCTTCAAGGTAAACACTTGTGAAGTTTGAGGATACCTATGTAAAGGGACTTGGCAGAGTTCTTATAGGCCCCTCGAGGAGGACTGCATTCCCCAGATTTGGTGGTGTAATGATACCCTCATGTATCAAGTTAATAACATGGTAGATATCTGGGATCGAACCACTTGAGCCATACGGAAAAAAGCTCAGCAGCAAGTGAAGGTGGAATGTATCACACATAGAGGATGCTAAGGTAGAGTAGAAGAGGCCGAGTTGGGCCCCTGCCTCCCACACTAGGGAGCTGTGCAGTGAGTCAGCCCTGCATGACGCAATGAAGAATGTACATAGGAGTTCCAGGAGTGAGCCACCATGTGGATGCCTACCGCATGGAGGTCTTGACTCAAGAGAGTAGTGACACCAAGGAAATAACTAAAACTGCAGGGAATTAAGCAAAGGGAGATTTGCAGAAAGATTCATTCTTTCTCGCTGCCCCCTAGCCATGTGAGAGGTTAAACCCAGCAGAAGAGGGAGGAGGAGTTTTGGGTGTTGTCATGTTTCCATCCATCCTCTAAGAGGCTAGAGTTACAGAAGGGAAAGAGCAGACAACATTTCCTTCTCTGCTGCAGATGCCTTATGTCAGGTGTCTGGTCTACATAAGCGGATGATGAGAGTTCTGCTTTTTTTTTTTTTTTTTAGATGGAGCCTCTCTCTGTTGCCCAGGCTGGAGTGCAATGGTGCGATCTCAGCCCACTACAACCTCCACCTCCTGGGTTCGAGTTCTTCTGCCTCAGCCTCCGGGTAGCTGGGACTACAGGTGCGTGCCACCACACCTGGCTAATTTTTGTATTTTTAGTAGAGATGGGGTTTCACCACATTGGCCAGGCTTGTTTCGAACTCCTGACCTCAGGTGATTCACTGATCTTGGCATGCCAAAGTGCTGGGATTACAGGCATAAGCCACTGTGCCCTGCCAAGTTTTCCTTTTTTAACTGGACTGTTTTCTCTATCTTGGTACAAGTCAGTACCCTGAAGAGGTTTGCTTTTACCTGGTAGGGTGAGAAGTGATGTCCCTATCACCTTTGCTTCAGAGTTATGGCAGTTCTCTAGTTCTGTGCCACAATTTAGTTTGCAGGGATTTTCATTGTCTCACCGTCACACAGGAAACCATGTTTGTGTACTATATTGAGGGTCTATAGGCTAGATGCCTTGATGCTTTGGAGAATACTTAATTGCTAGAGGATGGGAGATAACTTTTTTAACATGTAGAAATCTGTAACTCTGGTGAAATTTCTGAAGCTCTAGTGGTCTGAGAATTGTCTGGAAATGTCTTCAAATTGGAAAAAAAAATTGTGAGGCTTTTTACCCTCCATCGATAAGGAAGAAGTGATTGAAGGGCTCTTTGTATTTTGGAATCAATGTATGCAACATATGACTCATGATAACAAAAGCTACCAGTTTTTTTTTTTTTTTTTTTTTTTGGTGGCGTTTAGAGCAAAAGAAGCTACCCCAACAAGTCTAAACTGCTGTAAAAGTAATTCTTTCACTCTTACTAGGTGGTGAATGCAACCAGTAGTGGTCAAAGTGTCTGAAACAAATTGAGATGTTCAATGGAGCCTGTGGTAGATAGGAGAATCAGAGTGGAAATACCTAGGGTTTTGGAGCAAAGCCATGTTCTTTTCATTAAGTAATTATTCTCTCTTTGAAAAACAGATCTTGCTTTGTTAATGAACACTGACAGAGACTAAATTCTGAAGGTTAACCAGGTTACACAAGCTTTGTGATTTTCATAAGTGTAGTTGAGAGGCAGAGCCAGTCTCTCACTAAAAAATGCTGTTAAATGTCAGATACTAGCTCTCAGCCTCCCTCAAACGTAGGGAATCACCACATGAACTACTCTTTACCAATTAGATGTATAGTTCTAGACTATTTCTTCTTCTTCAGAGTGAGGATTTGAACTCAGATTTTTGTGGTTCTAAAACCCTGATGGCCCTTTCACGAAAGCATGTCACTAACACATGTGAGTTAAGAAGCTCCATCACCTACTGGCTTTGTGATCGTGGGTAAGTCTCTTAACTTGTCTGAGCTTTGGTTCCTTGTCTGCAAATTGAGCATAAACAGAGTACACTTCCATAGTGACCTTGTGAGGAATAAATGAGAGGATACCTACAAAATACATTAAGTGAGATAAAGTGTTAAGCAAGGACTAAATACCTGGGAGCTTAGTCATGCAGAGAAGCAGAGATTGTAGGGAGTGCTCTTTGGAAGTGATCTTGGTAGCAGTGAGCCTGAGTTCCCAGGGTATTCCAGCAGTGATGTCAGCCCCAGCCTTTCATGACCACGCCGGCTCTGCCGGTGGCTATTTTTTCCAGTAGATGAGTTCTGTGGTATGATGAAGCACTGCTCCTGTCTGGGAAACTCCAGCATGTTTCTTCAGTGCTCCCAACGATTCTGTGAACTTTCTAACAGTCTTTCAGTAAAATTCCTTTACTGCTTATGCCTGCCAAGTATGAATTTTGTTGCTTGGAACTCTGAAACTTTGCTGTTTCAATGCGTCTGGCTTTATTCCTTGTAGTAAAAAAATGCATGAATTTTCAAAATCAGACAAACCTGGTTGGAATCTCACTGTCATTTACCAGCCCAAGTGACTTGCTTAAATTTCTTGAACTTTTTGAGCATCTAATTTTCTTATCCTAAAATGGACATAATAATACTTACTTTGTAGGGCAATCAAAAAATTAAATAATATGTATACAAATACCTATCAATCACTGAGTCTCACTTCTAGTAAGCATGCAAGACAGATGAATTTCTTCCTCTAAAACCAGTATGCATATCTTTGCTGTTTCATGATAGGGATTAGGCTATATGAACATTATGCAAATAACTATTGCCCCAATATTGGGATGAGCCAAAGAACCTGGGGGAGGGAAATGCTTTTGAGAGGACATGGAAAATAATTGAAAAAGGGAATTTCTCTAGCCCTGCGACTGTCTTAACCGAGTAGAAGGAATGGGGATAACATAGAATGACACGTGTTATATCTCCGGTTGCCTTTTGCCTGCATTCAGTGGTAATTGAGTCTGCATCTGCATTACTTGTAATTTTCTGCATTATTTGTGTTGGGACCATTAGGCAACTGCATCGTTAGTGTTATATTCACAAGTGTTATCATGCAGTTACCGCCAACAGACACTTAATGGAAAAATCCACTTTGAATCATGTGGGTGTTTTCTTTCTTTCCTCCTTATTTCTTTCTTTTGTCTTGCTGAAGACACACACACACACACACACACACACACACACACACAATGTAAACATGCTGCATATGCCAACATCTATTTGTGATTTAAAGAAAAATCTATCTGCGAAGTGTACCCAGGGTAATAATTCAGCAAAGTCACATTAACTCACTTACTTTGGGTATTAGAAATATTTTATTTGCTGTTCTATTGCTATTTTTAAAAGCATGGCTTTAAAGCAGAGGATTTGAAACATCAGTGTGCGTAACAATCATCAAGGAGAGATCACTAAACATGTAGATTCCATGGCCCATTCCAATGAAGTGGGTATTACTATAGCTTTACTTCTACACTGTGGAAACTGAAAAACAGGAGTTAAATGACTTGATCACCCTCACTGAGGGTAAGAATTCAAACCCAGGTATGTCTTGTCTGGACTCCATAATACTTAGAGCAAAAAACTAAAGAGTACTGTGCCCTTTAAGAGGCAACTAAGGGCAAATTTACTTTTATACCCTTAGTCCAGTGACTGGGGTATAAGACTTTGTTGTTGTCTTTTTGATATCAATTAGATATTACCAGTCTTTAATAGGAGATGACAATCCACACTTTCTCAATTCTATTTCTTCTGTCACTATGTCTCTTCCTAACTGAATGAAAATAGATATCAAATAACTGTGCACCAAAGCAAACACTTGAAAGAGGAACCACTTAAAAACACCTGCCCTATTTTTCCGGATCTGTCAGACCTTTCCATGGATTTAGGATATAAGATTGTGAAACAGACCCTTTAGAACTGTTTGAGAGGAATGATTTTGTGAAATTAATCCATGATAAAAATGTGTTTAGCGTGCTGGGATTTTCTTAAACCTTCATCTAGAGAAAATTCATGATTCTTCTCCCTCCTCCCCTCAGTCCCTGAGTTCCCAGGTTTTAAAATTACCATTTGTCAAATGCATTCTATATACAGTGATTTATAATGGTATCTTATTTAATCCCTACAGCGACCTACAAGGTAGGTCTTACTCTTCTCATTTCATAGATGAGCAATAAGCAAGCAGCTTAGAGAGACTAACTTCTCTAATATCACACAGCTGATCATTAGCAGAGCTAATTTATTATTTCACTCCAGTTTCGTCTCACTCTAAAACCTGTGCCCTTATCTGCCAACACTTTTTAACAGCCTGCCTGTCTATTTAACAGAATCATAAGTTTTTATGTTCTCAGGATAAGCCAGTAATAAATTCAATAATAACAACAACAAACTAAACAAACAGATCGTACTTTGTCTGATTCCAATGCTGTGGAATTGCTCTAAGGATTAGAGAATTAAACATCAGTGGAATGAGAAGCTTTATGACATATAACTGTTCTTGTGTCAATGACAAAATGGCAGCAAATCCACATGCTGGTGACAGGAGCCCTAGCACAGTACTCTGTTTGTGCAACCTTTATTAAATGGAGCTGTTGGCTACCACCTGTGGTTTTGTAGTTGTGCCTCCCACTGAGCACACATTTGATCTTCTGATTAATTAGGTGCACCTTGGCTAGAAGCCCACGATCAAGCATACGTATTTCAAAGCTTAAACTGGGTTCCTCCTAAGATGAAAGCAGAATGTTTCAAAGAGTAACATAAATCCTCATGTCATCTTCTTGGAAAATGAATGACATTAACAATATTAATTTATTGATAAAATAAAAACATTATAAGGAAACGATGCACTTCAACTTTTACTTCTAATTTGTATTTTTATGACGAGTTTTTTTTTTATTGGAGTAAAGTGGCAGTGATCTTTTTGAGGATATCTTTAATTAGAACAGATTAATTCCATCCTTTCGGCATTAAGAAGACAAGAAAATTGGACTCCCAAAGATATTGTCTTGAAATGCTTAAAAGTCTGCCCGCATTATTTCAAAGATAAAGACATTGCATTGCTTTTTATTTCTTCTTAAATGGATTCAATATTCGATGGGACAAGTAACATTTCTCTATTTAATTGCTATTCTATCTAAGAGCAGTGTCACCAGACTCCTTTTTTAAGATTCCAACTGTCTGAGTTGCCGGTTTATTCTGCCTTCCTTTGACTTTCATCCAAACATGTGTCTTTCATCTCTGCAGTGAGCAACGAATAACCAGCCCAGCCTGTCTCCCCATCTTACCCCCTTTCTCTGTGCTAAGGTAATCTCAGTATGCCGTGTTTCCTTTCTCTGCAGTGGTCAGAATACTGCCAGCATGTGAGACACCAACAAACTCATTTCCCATCTTAAGTCACATAATTAACAGCAAAGATGAATAGATAGAACCAGGATTCATTTGCACAGCCTTGGTGGCTCTCTTTGTGTTTTATCTAGGATGGGTGATCTATATTTTTATTTTCTTGCTCATTTGTTTACCTTAATAGGGCGCCCTGATAAATGTATAGTAGCAACCAGACATTTTCTCATCAGCTCTGTGGTATAGATCATTCTCTGTTTAAACTGGTCTGTGTGAGGCCATTAGATCCAGTGGGAGTGAGCAGAAAAGACTCATGATGAATATAATTTGACTTGTCCTTTCTGTGTCATCTTTTATCAATTGTCTTTAATAAACCTTCAAGATGTTTTTCCTTTAGAATTTTTGTTACTAGATTAGAAAAAAACCTTACCAATGTAAATGCACTCTTGTTATAACAAATGAAAAAATAAAAGCCTTTGTAAAGAAGAAGCTAATAATTCTCTCTGCTTCCCATCTCCTTAAGTAGAAAGCCAATACTAACATTCAGGAATGTGTCTTTTTATCCTTGTTTTCACAGATACATGTATTTATGTAATATCAAAAATATATGGATGCTTCCTCTTATTATGGGTAGCAGCTCTCTTTTGCCATTCACAAACGGCCGTTTGTAAAAAATAGAGTGCTATTTTGAATATAAGTTGCTCTTTCGTAATTATTAGTGAGATGGAGTACTTTTTCATATTTGTTGGCCATTTGCATGTCCTCCAGACTCTTTGGGTGTATTTTTAATTTTTCTTAGTTTCTTTCTTTTTTTCTATACATATTGGAGATAGTAACGCTGGGTGTCTTCTTTGTGTTGCAGACATTTCCTTCAGTTCATCATCTGTATTTTCACTTTTGGGGCATATTTTTCAACATAAAATTTCTAATTCTTTATGTGTTTAATGTATTTAATTTTCTGTCTGTAACTTCTATTTATTTATTCATTTGATGGAGTTTTGCTCTGTTGCCCAGGCTGGAGTACAATGGCACATTCTTAGCTCACTGCAACCTCTGCCTCCTGGGTTCAAGTGATTCTCCTGCCTCATCTTCCAAAGTATCTGGGACTATAGGCAGGCACCATGACTCGCTAATTTTGTATTTTTAGTTGAGACGGAGTTTCACCATGTTAGCTAGGCTGGTCTTGAACTCCTGAACTCAAGTGATCCTCCTGCCTAGGCCTACCAAAGTGTTGGGATTACTGGCGTGAACCACTGCGCCTGGCCTGTCTGTGACTTCTAGGTTTCCTGTCTCGCTTAAGAAGTTCTTCCTTACCCTGATATTCACATATCACTCTGAAGTTTGTTTTAATTATTTTATTGTTTTATTTTTAGATGTAGATACTTACTGTAGTAAGATTTTGTTTATGTATGTTGTGTGGATTTTGCTATGTACAAGAGTTTCAGCTTTGTTTTCTTCCAGATTGGTAAATAATTGTGCCAGTGCTAGCTGTTACACACTCCCCCGAAACAGAATTGCGAACTACCACGCTTACTTGGATAAAGTTCTGCGCCTCCTATTAGAGTTCATGGCCCTTCTAGATTTCCCTAAGACCTGTAATACAATTAAAGGAGAATAGTGAACAATTGAGAGTCTAAGAATGTGGTGGTGAATTTATTATATTTTTCTTTCTTTTCTTTTTTTTTTTTTTTTTGAGACAGAGTCTTGCTCTGTTGCCCAGGCTGGTGTGCAGTGGTGCAATCTCAGCTCACTGCAACCTCTGCCTCCTGGGTTCAAGCAATTCTCCTGCCTCAGCCTCCCAAGTAGCTGGGATTACAGGCGCATGCCACCATGCTCAGCTAATTTTTTTGTATTTTTAGTAGGGACGGGGTTTCACCATGTTGCCCAGGCTGGTCTCGAACTCCTGAGCTCAGGCAATCTGCTCACCTCAGCCTCCCAAAGTGCTAGTATTACAGTCGTGAGCCACTGCGCCTGGCCTGTTAGTTTCTTTTTAATGAATAATCACTCAAGTGCTATTCCTTCAGGACTAATACAGGATGATACAAATATTATTACCTCATTTTCCTCTGATAAAATTTCTGTATTAATAAACATAATTCATATAAAAATCTAAATTCCTGGCCGGGCACCGTGGCTCACGCCTGTAATACTAGCACTTGGGGAGGCCGAGGCGGGCAGATCATGAGGTCAGGAGATCGAGACCATCCTGGCTAACACGGTGAAACCCCGTCTCTACTAAAAAATACAAAAAAATTAGCCGGGCGTGGTGGTGGGTGCCTGTAGTCCCAACTACTGAGGAGGCTGAGACAGGAGAATGTTGTGAACCCAGGAGGCAGAGCTTGCAGTGAGCCGAGATTGCACCACTGCACTCCAGCCTGGGCCACAGAGCAAGATTCCATCTCAAATAAATAAATAAATAAATAAAATTCTAAATTCCCTGTAGTTTATTTTAAACATAATAAAATATCCTTGCTTCTCATTATATTATGGGTCATATTGCTTTATAATCAAGTTAGCAGTATCCAGGGACATTAAAAAGTTTACTATTTATTTGTTTCTAACATGCTTTTAATTGATTAAATTGACATTGCTTTTCAAACCTATCACACTATAAAAGTCACATATGAAAGCTAGATACTGAAAACGGCAAAAAGCCAGGTAACTCCCTCCTACTCCCAGTGCAAACATTGGCCAGCTCTATATCTTAAAACCCTTAGCTCAATATTTCTCAGACTGTGTACTGTGGAATACTGGATCCATAGGATGTAATTTAGTTTTATATACAAAGGAAGTACTATGCAAAAAGTTTGGCAAGTGTTACATCAAACACATTTTAATAGAGCTTTAGTTACAGGACTTCTCAGAGCCTTTAGTATACTTCTGTGGACTGTAGATGTCCAATAAAGGCATATTGTGTGCAATGTTTCCCAAGCTTATTTGACATTAATTACTTTTTCTTATGGTGGATTTACAGAGCTTATGTTTCATAGAACATATTTGGGGAATGCTGTGCAAGCTTATTCTTGTTAGTCATCATAAGCTTTCATCTTCCCCAAAAAGAAGAAAGTGCAACTATGAAAAAATAAGAACAACACCATTATCTGAATTGGATTAATTTGGCCTTGTAGACATTCTTGCTTTATTACTGGGTTTTTGCATGATGTCTCAACCCAAAGCTTCGTGCTTTCCTGGGTCTTATCATCACAGCCATTCTACTTTAAAAGCTGCTACCAAATAGTCTTTTTAATGGGGGCCTTAGATTGTTATGAACCTTCGTAAACTCTAACAGAAATAAATCCTTATTTTTCTAACATTATACTCTCTTCAGTTCCCCTGGGGCTTCTTTCTAAACACACTATGAGCATTGAGTGGTTGTGGGAGTAATTGCTTATTAAGTTCTATATTCTGCTATTTGAAACCTGTTCTTGCAGTAAGGAAAACGACTCCAGGAATCTGTACATAAAAAGCTAGTTTTGCTTCTTTGTTCCCTTAAATCAATATTATAATCAATTCTGTTATCTCTTGAACTTTCTCTAACTCAATTCTATCTTACTGGCAGGGATTTGGTTAAAAATCAGTGTTTCTGGTGGTGATAGTCACTGATTCAGCAATTCTACGCTTTTAATTTTTTATCTAGGGAGATGGTAACAAGATTGCTCAAAAAATTAACTTGCCTATCCTGTCTCTTCCATGATGGCAAGAGCAAGTTTACAAGCAGAACATGGGCTGACTTGATTTTTCCATCAAAAAATATTAAGTATATTTTAGTGTTTTAATGGAAGTATTGAGGTCTAGTAGACTAGTAAACTTCTTTTGCCTTTTATTCTGTCTCTCTTCCTACTTCCTTCTCCCTACTCATGCCAGTCTTCCTTTTTTTTTCTTGAGCTGTGCCATCCATTGATGTAAGACTTGCACTGCGACTTTTGCAGAGAAGCTAAGAGAGAGGGAGCATCCATAATTAGGGAAGCAGTGGGTTGTGCATATACAATTTATTTAAGACACAATTGCTGGCCCTTCCTTTTATTTTTCCAAAATCACAGACAGTGTTAAAAACATTAGTTCATATCTATTCTCAATAGATTTATATAGAAGGAGAAAGTTTCCACACTATTTTCTCTTTATATGCTCTCAGAAAACCATTTGCTATATTTACTGGTTACTCTCGTTGTCATTAAGAAAGCTATATAATTGTTCCTAATGCCCTTAGTTTTTCTTGTCCATGGATATTGTCTGTTAGACTACTTTCCTCTCTGATTTTAGTTGTCTTTTTTATTTGCTCCCATGAAGAATATTTTAAACAAGAACATCTATATTTATATAGGTTTCTATATATTTGTCTCTCTATTATATTTATGTGTTTCTATATATTTTAAACACAACTTTTTCTATGATTGTTTTTCTTTTTTCAAAAAACTTTTAAGTTTGGGGTACATATGCAGGTTTGTTATATAGGTAAACTCATGTCGCCGGGGTTTGTTGTATGTATTTTATTTTTGTCATTCAGGTACT
This sequence comes from Homo sapiens, assembly GCF_000001405.40. NCBI lineage: Eukaryota > Metazoa > Chordata > Mammalia > Primates > Hominidae > Homo > Homo sapiens. The sequence continues at coordinate 57,509,591 of NC_000004.12, forward strand.
AGGCTTAGTACCCCACAGTTGTTTTTTCTAATCCTCTCCCTCCTCCTGCCAACCAGTCTCTGATAGGCTCCAGTGTCTGTTGTTCCCTCTTTGTGTCCATGAGTTCTCATCATTTAACTCCCACTTACAAGTGAGAACATGCAGCATTCTTCAGAGGTTTTCTTTATTTCTATTCATTATTCTTGTCTTCTATTTTAGTTTTGTCTGACCATCTTATTTCAGAGAGCCAGTCTTTAAGTTCTGAGATTCTTTCCTCAGTTTGGTCTATTCTGCTGTTAATACTTGCAATTACATTGTGAAATTCTTGTAGTGTGTTTTTCAGCTCTATCAGATCAGTTAGCTTCTTTTTTATATTGGTTATTTTGTCTGTCAGCTCCTGCATCCTTTTATTGTGATTCTTAGATTGAGTTTTGGCGTTCTTCTGAATCTCAATGATCTTCATTCCTACCCATGTGCCAAATTCCATTTCTGTCATTTCAGCCAAAATCTGCCTGGTTAAGAACCCTTGTTGGAGAACTAGGGTGATCTTTTGGAGGACATAAGACACTCTGGCCATTTGAGTTTCCACAGTTCTTATACTGGTTCTTTCTCATCTCTGTATGTGGGTGCTCCTTTAACTGCAGTGTAAATTGAGTACAGTCAATAGATTTCTTTTCTGGATGTTTTCACAGGGCTGAGGTTTTGTGCAGGGTCTTTATTTGTAGTTGACTTCCTGTCTTTGATTTCACAGGGGAATATGCTAGTGGGGTATTTTTGGTGTTGAAGCTTTGAGATGTGATCCAGGAGGTGGTGCTTAGTTGTAGTGGTCAGTAGGTAGGCTCTGGCTCTGTCGTGTGGCCCCCTTGTATGTCCTCGCAGTTGCAGCCATGCTCTCTCTCAATGAACTGAAAGTGTGAGCTCCTCTCCCACTTGAGTTCTGGCTATAGATTGTGGCTTGGCACTCTCGGGCTGCCCACTGCAGTTTTGGGGTGATCTCATGGTTTTAGATTTCTCCCCAACTTGGAGGCAGCGGAGGAAGGGACCTTAGCAGTGGTTATGGCCAAGGGTCTTTTGCTTGTTTCCTAGTGGCACTACCCCAGAGAGATGAAGGTCAGCAATTCCTCAGTGAAATCAGCCTGGGATAGGGGATCTGTACTGTGGGCCCAAGTTGGGGGTTCTCTGCCTGGTGATGAGCAGAGGGGATAGGTGGGACCTGTGGAGGATGGACTGGCCTCCTCTCCTTGGGTAGACTGCAGCTTGTTGCAGGTATGGATAAGGTACTTAAGATCTTGGCTGCTTTGTTGGTCCAAGGGTAACAGGGGTAGTACCACTGCAGAGATGGTGGCAGAGAGGCTTTTGGTTGCCCCTGGGAGCTTCAACTCTGAGAAACATGGAGCCACTGTTACTGGGAGTGTTCTGCTGGTGGTGGTGGCTTCACTGCTGGTGTGAGCTTGGGGATCCATTTGTTGGGGAGCAGGGGGTTGAGGGCTCACTGGGAGGAGAGACTGGTATACTCTCCATATGGTGACTGTGGCATGTTGTAAGCTTGGGCGTATCCCTCAGGATCTTTGTTTCTTCCCCAGGTCAAGGGCAGTAGGGATAGAACTGCTGCTGAGGGGCTATGGGATGCCTCTGGGAGTCTCTCCTCAGGGAAACTCTGAGCCACTGCCAGTGGTTGTTCTCTGCCTTGGGTGGAATGACTGTTCTGTGGTTATGAGCCAAGGGCCCTGCCTGGTGAAGAGGGGCGGTGGGGGTTCCCAGGGAAGAGGGGCTGAAATTCTCTCCATATGGTGGCTATGGTGTGCCAGATGTGCTAGCCTAATGACTAGGCCCTTTGCTCCCTCCCCAGCCCAAGCGCTCTTAGAGCAGGACCACTGTAACTGTCATGGTGGAGGAGTTATGGGCTGACTCTGAGATTTCCTCCTCAGAGAAATGCTGGGCTGCCTCTGATTGAGATAATCAGGTGGGGGCAGTATGGTTGTGCTGGAGTCCGAGGTTGGGCTGCCCTGCCTAGTGAGAAGTGAGGACCAAGACCTGCATAGGGAATAGTCTAGCCACTTTTCCATGAGGCGATTGCTCTGTGCTGGGGGTTTAGACCAGAGCCTGGAGACAGCAAGGGTGAGGGCTGTGAGACAGCAAAGATTGGAACCCTCCCTTCCCACTGGGAGCTCTGTCCCAGGGAGTTGTAGAGCTGCTATTGGCTTGATAGCTCTGGTTTGGGGTGGCTGGAGACCCAGGCCTGGAAGAACCACCCAATGAGGACATACAGGATGAGAGACCCATGTAACGAACAGCCTGCCCACTTTCCTGTAGGTCTGCTTTAGTATGCTGGGGGTCTATTCCAGTCCCTTGTCACCTTGAATTTTCCAGTACCTGAAGGCATCAGCAGTAAAGATTGCCAAACTGCAAAAATGACAACCTGCCCCCCCCGACCGGCCACTGCCATGTGGGAGCTCTGTTCCAGCGAGGTAGGGATCTGTTGCTGGTCAGAACATACTTGCAGGAGGTGGCTGGAGACCCTAGTCTGGAGAGCCCACCCAATGAGGAGAAACGGGAATGGGGGCCTGTGTAAAAAAGCAGTCTAGCTGCTTTTTGGTAGAGCAGCTGTGTTGTGCTTTGCTTGGGGTGTGCTCCAGCCCCCATTTGCATTGGACTCTCCAAAGCCCAAAGGCAAGAACAGCTAAGGCTGCTAAACAGCATAGATGATGGCCCATCACTCCCTTTGGGAGCTCCATTCCATGGAATTTGGAAATGCTCCTGGCTGAAAAACACTGGCAGGGGTAGCAGGAAATCCCATTCAAGGGGTCCTGTCTAGTGAGGAGGAATAGGATTGGGACCTGCATGAAAAACCATTCTGGCTGCTTTTTCACGGGGCAACTGTGCTGTGCTGGAGGTCCACTCCAGCTCCTAGTCACTGTGGACTCTCCAAAGCCTGAAGGCAAGAACAGCTAAGGTTTCAAAACAGCAAAGATGGCAGCCCACCCCACCTCTGGGCACTCTGCTCCAGGGAGGTTCGAAACTGCTATTGGCAGGAAAACATTGGGGGAGGTGACTGGAGACCCCAGTCAGGAGATTCCACCCAGTGAAGAGAAACAGGATCTGGGATTCACGTGAATAAGCAATCTGACTGCTTCTCAGTAGAGCTGCTGGACTGTGCATGGGGATGGCTCCCATCCCTAGTCATCTAGGACTCCTGCTTCTATGGACGAGGGAGTCTCCCCTGGCTCTGTGTCACTCCCTGGCAAGTGGTCATCTTGCCTGGCTTTTTTCCATTCTCTGTGGGTCAAGTTGTTTCCTTGATGAGTCCCAATGAGTGCACCTGGATGTTTCAGTTGAAGGTGCTGTATTACTTGCCCCTTCCATTTCTCTCTGTGACAGCCATGCAGGTTAGCTTCTTCTAGTCGGCTATCTTGGGCAACCCCCATGATTCTTTTTTCCCCTGACTTTAAGCATAGCAGAATACAGATATGATAATATCCATGAATGAAAGGATTTCTTTATATTATCTTATTAATTCATGGTGATAGATCAGGAGTTGAGAAATTTGGGTTTTCATTTCTGGCTCTGCTTAGTACTTACTTGCTTTTTTTCTTTTTAAAAAGTAATTGGCAATAATAAGTTTTGGTCTGTACATTTCATACATAAATGTGGGATGTTGAATATAAAAGAACAAACAGAATAGTTGTAATAAAATTCTAATATAAACCTTACATGCATAAATTGATTTATGGAATTATATTATGTATTCATCTCTTATTAGCTCAAATGAGTTCAGCATCTGGAATGTGCCAAGCATTGTGCTACATGCTGTGGATACAGTGATAAATATATAATTGTTCTGTCTCAGAATTTCCTGAAAAATGAACTTATAATTGTTATTATTTTCCTTGATCTGATTTTGTGAGTTTTCCTAAATTGTAATAGTTTCTTAATTGTCCAAGTTTGTTTGTTTATTTTTTTATGATGAAGTAGAGTAGAGGTTCTATAATTTGAATAATGAACTCAAGATCCAGATAATGTCTGGATTTTTATGGTTTTTCCATAATTGTTCATGCCAATTTTATTATTTATTGAGCACTATTCCTATTTCTCTTTCGTATCTTAGCTTGCCTCTTGTGTCTTAGACTCACTGTTTTATTTTCTTTGACAGACTTTGATATCTTTGCCTCAAACAGTCTCGTTATTGCCTTTATTTTCTCCCTATCATAATTTTATATTTCGTCTGTCTTTAGCTTTTGTTTTCAGTGGAGAATTGTATTTGTACTCAATACCAAATGTTTCCTTCAGGAAACAATTATATATTGTTTCTCTTTTTTGCCAAGGTATGTGATAAAGGTACTCTGGGGCATATGGGGGTTACTGTCCTACGCCCCTGTTGACATCTGTGGCTTCTGCATAACCTTGGGCCTGAGCTGCTGTTTCCGCCTTCATTCCTTATGCTTTAGTTCTAGGGAGCACTATCAGCAAGATGGCAAAGTAACAGATATCAGTATTCATCCCTCCACAATAAATGAGAGAGGTTTCTACAAATGCAAATAGCCTTGGGAAGTTACAAGAATCCTGATAAGAACTTATAGCAACATAGTGGAGCAAGAAACAAAGAATAATGGCTTAGCAAGGATTGCTGGTGAGATTGACATACCTGAAATTTCTGGAGATGGCTAAGAACAAAGAAGAGTGGGGGCTATCAGTATTAGTCAGGTGGTGGGGACCTGTTCTGCAGAGGACCGTGGCAGCCTGGTGGCCTGTTCTGCAGAGGACCCTGGCAGCGTTTGTCATGGAGGACCTCAACAACCCCTGTGTCCCTGCAGCTATTTTTTCTTTCTTTCTTTCTCTTTCTTTCTTTCTTTCTTTCTTTCTTTCTTTCTTTCTTTCTTTCTTTCTTTCTTTCTTTCTTCTTTCTTTCTTTCTTTCTTCTTTCTTTCTTTCTTTCTTTCTTTCTTTCCTTCTTCTTTCTTTCTTTCTTTTTTCTTTCTTTCTTTCTTTCTTTCTTTTTCTTTCTTTCTCTTTCTTTCTTCTTTCTCTCTTTCTTTCTTTCTTTCTTTCTTTCTTTCTTTCTTTCTTTCTTCTTTCTCTCTCTCTCTCTCTCTCTCTGTCTTTCTCTTTCTTTCTTTTCTTTCCTTTCTTTTTCTTTCTTTTTGATAGTCTCACTTTGTCATCTAGGCTGGGGTGCAGTGACTCAATCTTGGCTCACTGCAACCTCCACCTCCTGGGTTCAAGCAATTCTCCTGCCATAGTCTCCCAAGTAGCTGGGATTACTGGTGCCCACTACTACCCCTGGGTAATTTTTTTTTGTAGCTTTTAGTAGAGATGGGGTTTCACCATGTTGGCCAGGCTGGTCTCAAACTCCTGGTCTCAAGTGATTCACCTGCTTCAGCCTCCCTAAATGCTGGGATTAGAGGCATGAGCCACTGCTCCCAGCTCCCTGTATTGCTGCAGCTCTTATAGCAGAGGTCATCCTTGACTTCACTGATATGGATCCCAGTGGCCTGCTTCACAGAGGACTTCAGCAGCTTTTGCCACTGTTGTGCCACTCTAGAACGTGGATACCATCCCTCTCAATGCTGTGCATGCTTCAGACCCTGGAGTCTCAGTTCTGTGTGTGGCAGCACTCCAAACAGCCTTGGGGCTGCACTGCCATCATCTGCACGTTAGACAGTGAAACTATTGCATCAGTAGGCACATCAGTATCCCAAACCCTAGCACTTTGGCTCCTCCACTGGCACCTGCACCTTGCACAACATTTCCAGTGTTGCACTGGCAGGGCTTGGGCCTCTGGCACTAGTGCCACCACCTTCATGGATCCTGAAGCAATTGTCTTCTCTTATGTGCTCACACTTCATATTCCAGGTCCATGGCCATCCATGGGTGCTGTGTATCAGATACTGGTGCCACTGCCATCATGTGCATGCCCATGACACAGATGTGGTGCCCAAAGGGATACCCATGGTTATGACATCTCCCATGGGAGAAGAAGAAATCAGGAGAATCCCAGCAGCCTTCACACCTGAAGACCAAAACAGTTGTCACTCCCACTACAGCTTTGGACACTAAGGACTCCTGCAATCTTCACCAATAATGACCTTCTTGATGGAACAGCATGGAGACTATACCAACGCACCCTTACTAGAACTGGAACCACTGCACCCTACCTAGCCAGTGATTTTATACTCACCTGAAGGTGAAGGCTTTTCCCTACCTAAGCTAGTATGTAAAGCCCGAAAGAGGTGAATGCTCCATCAAATGCAGACATCAACACAAGACAATAAGAAACAGGAAAAAAATCAAAGAAACATGATGCTATCAAAGAAACACAATAATTTTCTAATAACCAACTCCAAAGAAAATGAAGATGTAGGAATTACCTGAAAAAGAATTCAAAATAGTTGTTTTAAGAGTGCTTAGTGAACTAAAAGAGAACACAGATAGACATCTTAATGAAATCAGAAGAACAATAGGTGAATAAAATGGGAAATTCAGTAAAGAGATAGAATTAATAAAAAATGAAAATTCTGGAGCTGAAGATACAATAAATGAAATGCAAAATGCAATAGAAAAACATGGATAGCACACTTGATCAAGTAGAAGAAAGACTCTGTGAAAATGACAGGTCTTTTGAAAATATCCAGTCATATGAGAAAAGAGGAAAAAAGAATGTAAAGAAGTAAAGGCAGTCTAAAGGATTTAGGGGACACCAATATTCACATTATATGCACATTATACAAGACACCGAAAAATAGAGGCAAAGGCAGAGAGATAGAGGCAGAAAGCTTATTCAAAGCAATAATGGTTAAAAATTTCTTAAATTGGGGGAGACATATGGATATTTGGGTACACAAATCTCAATCTCCAATTAGGCACAAGGAAGACTTTACCAAGATATATTACAATAAAGCTGTCAAAATAAAAGACAAAGAGAAAATCTTGAAAGGAACAAGAAAAGAGAAGTTTCTTATATATAAAGGAACCCTCATAAGGCTATCAGGGGATTTCTTAGCAGTAAATTTTTAGACCAGCAGAGGGTGGGATGATATATTCAGAGTGCTAAAAAAAACCCCAAAAGTGTCAATGAATAACAGTTTATCCAGAAATGCTATCCTTCAGAAATGAAGTACTTTCCCAGACAAACAAAAGCTGAAGGAGTTTATCTCCACTAGACTTGCTTTATAAGAAATGCTAAAGGGAGTTCAAGTTGAATACAAGATTTCTACTTAGTAACATGAAATATATGAAAGTAGAAAACTCACCAGTAAAAGAAAGTACACTGTAAAATTCAGAATACTTTAATATTGTAATGATGGTGTATAGATCACATAATTCTAGCATAAAGTTTAAAAGACAAAAATATTAAAAACTAACTATAGCTAAAATAATTTGTTAATGGAAACACAATATAATAATTTGTAAATTATGACATAAAAAACATAAAATATGTTTGGAGGGGACTAAAAGTGCAAAGTTTTTTTGTGTGTGATTGAAGTTAAGTTGCATTAGCTTGAGATGGACTTTTATAAGCATAATAAGTTTTATGTATGCCTCATAAAGCACAAAGCAAAAACATATAGTAGCTATAGAATAACCACAAAGCAAAAACATATAGTAGCTATAGAATAGGTAAAGAGAAAAGATACCTCTACAGAAATCATCAAATTATAAAGAAAGACAGAAAGAGAGAAAGACGGAAACAAAAGGTGATAAAATGCCAGAAAAAAATTCACAAAATGACAACCATAAATTTTTACCTATCATTAATTATGTTGAATGTAAGTATACTAAATTTTCCAATCAAAAGATGTAGAATGGCTGAATGGATAAATAAACAAGAGCTAATATGCTGTCTATGGTGTTTGCAAGAGATTGTTTTTCAGCTTTAAAGTCATATATTGACCGAAAGTGAAGAAATGGAAAAAATATTCCATAAAAATGGAAGCCAAAGGAGAGCAGCAGTAGCTACACTTTTATTAGAAAAAATAGACTTTAAGCCAAAAGCTGTAAAAATATGCATTAAGCTAAAGAGCTTCTGCACAGCATAGAAAACAATTAACAAAGTGAAGAGGCAACCAACAGAATGGGATAAAATATTTGCAGTTAGTAACTAAAATAATATACAAAGAACTGAAACATCTCAGTAGCAAAAATAGAAACAAAAACAAAAACAATCTGATTTAAAAATGGGCAAAATATCTGAACAAATATTTCTTAAAGTAAGACATACAAATGGCCAAGAGGTATATGAAAAAATGTTTACCATCACTAACCACCAAGGAAATGCAAATCAAAACCTCAATGAGACATCATCCCACCCCAGTCAGAATGTCTATTGTTAAACAAGACAAAAAATAACAAACTCTGATGAGGATGTGAAGAAAGGAAAATGTTTGCCTATTGGTGGAAATATAAAGTAGTACAGCCATTAGAAAAAACAGTATTGAGGTTCCTCAAACAGCTAAAAATAGAACTAGCATATCATCTAGCAATCTCACTTCTAGGTATGTGTATTGTATGTATTATAGTCAATTCTAGGTATATGTATTACAGTCAATTCTCACATTGCTATGAAGAAATACCAGATAGTGGCTCATGCCTGTAATCCCAGCACTTAGGGAGGCCGAGGAGGGCAGATCACGAGGTAAGTAGTTCGAGACCAGCATGGCCAGTATGGTGAAACCCCGTCTCTACTAAAAATACAAAAATTAGCCAGGCGTGGTGGTGTGCCTGTAGTCCCAGCTATTCAGGAAGCTGAGGCAGGAGAATCACTTGAACCCAGGTGGCAGAGTTTGCAGCACTCCAGCCTGGACGACAGAGCATGACTCTGCCTCAAAACAAAACAAAACAAAACAACAACAACAAAAAACCCAAAAAAACCCAAAGACTGGGTAATTTATAAATTCACAGCCGAATTCTACCAGAAGTACAAGAAGGAGCTGGTATCATTCCTTCTGAAACTATTCCAATCAATAGAAAAAGAGGGAATCCTCCCTAACTCATTTTATGAGGCCTGCATCATCCTGATACCAAAGCCTGGCAGCGACACAACAAAAAAAGAGAATTTTAGACCAATATCCCTGATGAACATCGATGCAAAAATCCTCAATAAAATATTGGCAAACTGAATCCAGCAGCACATCAAAAAGCTTATCCACCATGATCAAGTGGGTTTCATCCCTGGGATGCAAGGCTGGTTCAACATATGCAAATCAATAAACGTAATTCAGCATATAAACAGAACCAATGACAAAAACCACATGATTATCTCAATAGATGCAGAAAAGGCCTTTGACAAAATACAACAACGCTTCATGCTAAAAACTCTCAATAAATTAGGTATTGATGGGACATATCTCAAAATAATAAGAGCGATCTATGACAAACCCACAGCCAATATGATACTGAATGGGAAAAACTGGAAGCATTCCCTTTGAAAACTGGCACAAGACAGGGATGCCCTCTCTCACCACTCCTATTCAACATAGTATTGGAAGTTCTGGCCAGGGCAATCAGGTAAGAGAGAGAAATAAAGGGTATTCAATTAGGAAAAGAGGAAGTCAAATTGTTCCTGTTTGCAGATGACATGATTTATATTTAGAAAACCCACTAGTCTCAGCCCAGAATCTCCTTAAGCTGATAAGCAGCTTCAGCAAAGTCTCAGGATACAAAATCAATGTGCAAAAATCACAAGCATTCTTATACACCAATAACAGACAAACAGAGAGCCAAATCATGAGTGAACTCCCATTCACAATTGTTTTAAAGAGAATAAAATACCTAGGAATCCAACTTACAAGGGATGTGAAGGACCTCTTCAAGGAGAACTATAAACCACTGCTCAATGAAATAAAAGAGGATACAAACAAATGGAATAATATTAAATGTTCATGGATAGGAAGAATCAATATCGTGAAAATGGCCATACTGCCCAAGGTAATTTATAGATTCAATGCCATCCCCACCAAGTTACCAATGACTTTCTTCACAGAATTGGAAAAACTACCTTAAAGTTCATATGGAAACAAAAAAGAGCCTGCATTGCCAAGTCAATCCTAAGCCAAAAGAACAAAGCTGGAGGCATCACACTACCTGACTTCAAACTACACTACAAGGATACAGTAAGCAAAACAGCATGGTACTGGTACCAAAACAGAGATATAGACCACTGGAACAGAACAGAGCCCTCAGAAATAATACTACACATCTACAACCATCTGATCTTTGACAAACCTGGCAAAAAAAGAAATGGGGGAAAGGATCCCCTATTTAATAAATGCTGCTGGGAAAACTGGCTAGACATATGTAGAAAACTGAACCTGGATCTCTTCCTTACACCTTATATAAAAATTAATTCAAGATGGATTAAAGACTTAAATGTTAGACCTAAAACCATAAAACCCTAGAAGAAAACCTAGGCAATACCATTCAGGACATAGGCATGGGCAAGGACTTCATGTCTAAAACACCAAAAGCAATGGCAACAAAAGCCAAAATTGACAAATGGGATCTAATTAAACTAAAGAGTTTCTGCACAGCAAAAGAAACCACCATCAGAGTGAACAGGCAGCCTACAGAATGGGAGAAAATTTTTGCAACCTACTAATCTGACAAAGGGCTAATATCCAGAATCTACAATGAACTCAAACAAATTTACAAGAGAAAAACAACCCCATCAAAAAGTGGGCAAAGGATATGAACAGACACTTCTCAAAAGAGGACATTTATGCAGCCAACAGACATATGAAAAAATGCTCATCATTACTGGCCATCAGAGAAATGCATATCAAAACCACAGTGAGATACCATCTCACACCAGTTAGAATGGCAATCATTAAAAAGTCAGGAAACAACAGGTGCTGGAGAGGATGTGGAGAAATAGGAACACTTTTACACTGTTGGTGGGACTGCAAACTAGTTCAACCATGTGGAAGACAGTGTGGCAATTCCTCAAGGATCTAGAACTAGAAATACCATTTGACCCAGCCATTCCATTACTGAGTATATACCCAAAGGATTGTAAATCATGCTGCTATAAAGACACACGCACATGTATGTTCATTGTGGCACTATTCACAATAGCAAAGACTTGGAACCAACCCAAATGTCCAACAATGATAGACTGGATTAAGAAAATGTGGCACATATACATCATGGAATACTATGCAGCCATAAAAAAGGATGAGTTCATGTCCTTTGTAGGGACATGGATGAAGCTGGAAACCATCATTCTCAGGAAACTATCACAAGGAGAAAAAACCAAACACCACACGTTCTCACTCATAGGTGGGAATTGAACAATGAGAACACTTGGACACAGGGTGGGGAACATCACAAACCGGGGCCTGTCGTGGGGTGGGGGGAGGGGGGAGGGATAGCATTAGGAGATATACCTAATGCTAAATGACGAGTTAATGGATGCAGCACACCAACATGGCACATGTTTACATATGTAACAAACCAGCACGTTGTGCACATGTACCCTAGAACTTAAAGTATAATTAAAAAAAAAAAAGAAAGAAGGTTTAATTGGCTCATGTGTCTGCAGGCTGTACAGGAAACATAGGGGGATCTGCTTTGGGGGAGGCCTCAGGGAGCTTTCAATTGTGGTGGAAGGCAAGGGAGAGAAGACACATCACATGGCTACAGCAGGAGAAAGAGAGAGAGTGGGGAGGTGCCAGACACTTTTAAATAACCAGATTTCACAAGAACTCGCTCACTATCATGAGGATAGCACCAAGTGAGTGGTGCTAAACTATTAATGAGAAATCCATTCCCATGTTCCAATCACCTCCAACCAGGCCTTACTTTCAACATTGGGGATTACAATTCAACATGGGATTTGGCTGCAGACATGTATCCAAACTTTATCAGTATTTATACAAGAGAAAAGAAATCATTATACCAAAGAAAAGAAATCAGTATACCAAGGAGGTATCTGTAGTCGCATGTTTATTGCGGCACTGTTTACAATAGCCAAGATAGAAATCAACCTGTTTAATCATCAATGAATAAACAGCTGAAGAAAATGTAGCATATATACAGAATGGAATCCTATTCAGCCTTAAAATACAACAAAATTCCATCATTTGCAGCAGGATGGATGGTACTGGAAGTCATTATATTAAGTGAAATAAGCAAGGCATGGAAAGACAAATATTGCATGTTCTCACTCATAGATGGGAGCTAAAAATGTGTATATCATAAAGGTAGAGAGTAGAATGGTGGTTACCAGAGACTGGGAAGGGAAGGGAAGATAAAGAGAAGTTTTTTAAGGGGTGCAAAAATATAGTTAGATAGAAGGAATAAGTTCTAGTGTTTCATAGTACAGCTGGAAAATTATAGTAAAAAATAATTTATCGTATATTTCAAAATACTAGAAAAATTGTAATGTTCTCATCACACAGAAATGATACTTGTTTGAGGTGATAGATATCCCAATTACCCAGATTTGATCATTATATTGTATACAGGTATCAAAACATCACATGTACCCCCAAAATATGTGTAACTATTACATGTCAATTTTTTAAAAACTGTAAAAAGAGAGAAAGAAGGTTATTATGTCATGATAATGGTGTCAATTCATCAAGAGGTTATAACAATTGGAAAATGCATGCACTCAATATTTAAGTGCTTAAATATATTAAGCAAATAATAGATCTGAAGGGACAGATAGTAATACTATAGTAATAGGGAATTTCAATACCCCACTTTCACCCATGAGTAGACCTTTCAGATAGAAAATCAACTAAAAAATTTGGATTTTAACTGCACACTAGACCTAATTATCATATACAGAACATTCCTCCCAATGGCAGTAGGATACACATTCTTCTCAAGTGCACACAGAGCATTCTCCAGGATAGACCATGTTTTGTTACAAAACAAATCTTAACAAATTTAAAAAGATTGAAATTATGTCAAATATCTTTTCCAAGCATAATAGTAATAAACTAGAACTCAATCACAAGAACAAAAGTTGAAAATTCACGTTTACGTGGAAATTGAATAATATACTCTTCAACAACCAATAGGTCTATATCTGTTTTGTTTTGCTAAAACAAAAAACCACCTATTGGGTAATCTGTGAAGAAAAGATTATTTCTCACAGTTCTGGAGGGTGGAAAATCCAATATCAAGGTACTGACATCTGGCAGGGGTCTTCTTGCTATGTCATCGTATGGCAGAAAGTGAGACAATGAGAGAAGGTAAAAGAGAGCAAGAAGGGGTCAAATTTGATTTTATAATAAAACCAATATTGTGAAAATGATATGGTTTGGCTGTGTCCCCACCTAAATCTCATCTTGAATTCTAACCCGACAGTTTCCACTTGTCACGGGAGGAACCTAGTGGGAGGTGATTGAATTATGAGTGTGGGTTTTTCCTGCACTGTTCTCATGATAGTGAATAAGTCTCATGAGATCTGATGGTTTTAAAAATGGGATTTTTCCTGTACAAACTCTCCTTTTGCCTGCTGCCATCCATGCAAGAAGTGACTTGCTTCTCCTTGCCTTCCACCATGATTGTGAGGCCTACCCAGCCACATGATACTGTGAGTCCGATTAACCTTCTTTCTTTGGTAAATTGCCCAGTCTTGGGTATGTTTTTATTAGCAGCATGAAAATGGACTAATACAGTAAACTGGTACCAGTAGAGTGGGGTACTGCTGTAGATACCCAAAAATGTGGAAGTGACTTTGGAACAGGGTAACAGGCAGAAATTGGAACAGTTTGGTGGGCTCAGAAGAAGAAAGGAAAATGTTGAAGTTTTTAACTTCCTAGAGACTTGTTGAATGGCTTTGCCCAAAATGCTGATAGTGATATGACAATAAAGTCCAGGTTGAGGTTGTCTCAGATGGACATGAGGAATTTGTTGGGAACTGGTGCAAAGGCAACTCTTACTATGCTTTAGCAAAGAGACTGGCAGCATTTTGCCTCTGCCTTAGAGATTTGTGGAACTTTGAACTTGAGAGGGATGATTTAGAGTATCTGGCAGAAGAAATTTCTAAGTGGCAAAGCATTCAAGAGTTGACTTGGGTGCTGTTAAAGGCATTCAGTTTTATAAGGGAAGTAGAGCATAAAAGTTCAAAAAATTTGCAGCCTGACAATGCAATAGAAAAGAAAATCCCATTTACTGAGGAGAAATTCAAGTTGGCTGCAGAAATTTGCCTAAGTAACTAAGGGCTGAATGTTAATCCTCAAGACAATGGGGATAATGGCTTTAGGGTATGCCAGAGGTCTTCCCAGCAGCCCCTCCACCACAGGCCCCAAAGCCTAGGAGGAAAATTGGTTTTGTGGGTCAGGCCCAGGGTCCCCATGTTGTGTGCAGCCTAGGGACTTGGTGATCTGCATCACAGCCACTGCCATTGAGGCTGAAAGGGGCCAATATAGAGCTTGGCTATGGCTTCAGAGGGTGCAAGCCTCAAGCCTTGGCAGCTTACACATGGTGTTGAGCCTGTGAGTGCACAGAAGTCAAGAATTGAGGTTTGGGAAACTCCCCTGAGATTTCAGAGGATGTATGGAAATGCTGGATGTCCAGGCAGAGGTTTGCTGCAGGAGAGGGGCTCTTTTATGGAGAGACTCTGCTAGGGCAGTTAGGAAGGGAAATGTGGGGTCAGAGATCCCACACAGAGTCCCTACTGCAGCACTGCCTAGTGGAGCTGTGAGGAGAAGGCCACCATACTACAGACCCCAGAATGGTAGATCCACTGATAGCTTGCAGTGGGCACCTGAAAAAGGCACAGACACTCAATACCAGTCCATGAAAGCAGCTGGGAGGGAAGCTATACCTTGCAAAGCCACAGGAGTGGAGCTGCCTAAGACCATGGGAACCCACCTCTTGCATCAGCATGACCTGGATGTGAGACATGGAGTCAAAGGAGATCATTTTGGAGCTTTAAGATTTGACTACCCCACTGGATTTCAGACTTTCATGGGGCCTGTAGCCCCTTTGTTTTGGCCAATTTCTCCCATTTGAAGCATCTGTATTTACCCAATGTCTGTATCCCCATTGTATCTAGGAAGTAACTAACTTGCTTTTGATTTTACACACTCATAGATAGAAAGGACTTGCTGTATTTCAGATGAGACTTTGGACTGTGGACTTCTGAGTTAATGCTGAAATGAGTTAAGACTTTGGAGGACTGTTGGGAAGGCATGATTGGTTTTGAAATGTGAGGACATGAGATTTGAGTGGGTCCAGGGATGAAATGATATGGTTTGGCTGTGTTCCCACACAAATTTTATCTTGAATTGTAACTCCCACAATTTCCACATGTCATGGGAAGAACTCAGTGGGAGGTGATTGAATTATGGGTGTGGGTCTGTCCCCCACTGTTCTTGTGATAGTGAATAAGTCTCACAAGATCTGATGGTTTTAAAAACGGGAGTTTCCCTGCACAAGCTCTCTTTTTGCCTGCTGCCATCCAGGTAAGACATGACTTTCTCCGTTTTGACTTCTGCCATGATTGTGAGGCCTCGCGAGCCACATGGAACTGTGAGTCCAATTAAACCTCTTTCTTTTGTAAATTGCCCAGTCTTGGGTACGTCTTTATCAGCAGTGTGAAAATGGGCTAATACAGATAACAAATCCACTCCCATCATAACAACATAATTCATTTATGAGGGCAGAAACTTCATGACCTAATCACCTCTTAAAGGTTTTAGTACTCAACACTATTGTATTGTAGATTAAGTTCTCAATGCATGAAATTTGGTGGACAGATTCAAACCATAGCAGGGTCAAGAAGAAATAAAAAGGAAACTTAAAAATATCTTGAGACAAATGCAAATTGAAATGTGACATACCAAAAACTCATGGGGTACAGTGAAATCAGTTCTGTAAGGAAAGTTAACAACAATAAATGCCTACATGAAGATAAAAGAAAGCTCTCAAATAAACAACCTAATTTAACAAGAAAAAGGAGAACAAACTAAACCCAAAGTGAGTAGAAGGAGGGAAATAACAAAGATTGGAAGAGAAATAAAAGAGAAACTTGAAAACAATAGAAAAGATAAACAAAACTAAGAGTTTTTTTTTGTTTGAAGATAAACAAAATTGTCAAAGCTTTAGTTTGGCTAACTAGAAAAAAAAGAAAAAAGACTGAAAAACGTAAAAAATGAACAAGAAGACATTGTAACTGATATCCCAGTAAAACAAGGGGTCACAAAACTATTATATACAATTATATGCTAATAAATTGGATAACCTAGAAAAAATTGATAAATTCCTAGAAACATATAACCAATCATGACTGAATCATCAGGACATAGAAAATCTGAACAGACCAGTAACATGTAAGGAGATTGAATCAGTAATCAAAAATCTCCCATCAAAGAAAAACCTAGGACCTGATGGTTTTGCTGTTGAATTTTATCAAACATTTAAGGAAGAATTAAAACCAATCCTCAAATTCCTCCACAAATTTGAATAGAGAGGAAAACTTTCAAATTTATTTTATGAAAACCAACTCTTAGCTTTGTTTATCTTTTCTATTGTTTTCAAGTCTCTCTTTTATTTCTGTTCCAATCTTTGTTATTTCCTGCTTTCTACTCACTTTGGGCTTAGTTTGTTCTTTTTCTTTTTCTTGATACCAAAGCCAGAGAAGGTCACTAAAAGAAATGAAAATTACAGGCCAACATCTCTGATGAACATAAGATACAAAATCCTCAACAAAAAATAACATTTCAACAGCACACTGAAAAGATTATTATGCCATGATCAAGTAAGATTTATTTCCAGGATCCAAGGATGGTTCAACAAATGCAAATCAGTAAGCATTATATATCACATTAGCAGAGTAAAAGACAAAAATGACATGATCATATCAATAGATGCAGAAAAAACTTTTGACAAAATTTGACATGCTTTCATGATAAAAACTCTCAACAAATTAGGTAGAGAAGGCATGTACTGCAACACAATAAAGGTCGTATATAATGAGCCCGAGCTAATATCATACTCAAATGAAAAGCTGAAGGCTTTTCCTCTATGATCAGGTACATACATGACAAGGATGTCTAAAATTGCCTCTCTGTTCAACATAATATTGGTATTCTTAGCCATAAAAATTAGGCAAAAAAGAAAGAATCAAATAAAAGACATTCAAATATGAAAGGAAAGGAAGAAGTAGAATTGTCTCTGTTTGAAGACAACATGAGCTTATACATAGAAAACCCTAATGACTGTAATAAAATTTGTTAGAACTAATAAAATATTTCAGTCAAGTTGCAGAATACAAAATCAATTGTATTTTATACAATAGTAAGAAAATATCTGAAAAATAAATTAAAAAAAAAACTCACAGTAGCACCAAAAAGTATAAAATACTTAGGAATAATTTTAACCAATGAGGTACAAGATCTGCACACTGTAAATGATAAGACATTGATTGATGAAGGAAAATGAAGAAGACACAAGTAAATGAAAAGCCACCCCGTGTTCATGGATTAGAAGAATTAATATTGTTGAAATGTCCTTACTACCCAAAATCATATACACATTCATGGAAATCCCCATTAATTTTCTAATGATATTTTCTACATAAATAGAAAAAAATCCTGACATTTGTATAGAATCACAAAAGCCCCCAAATTGTTAAAGCAATCTTGAATAGGAAGAACACAGCTGGAGGCATCACACTTCCTGATTTCAGGTTATATTACAAAGCTGTAGCAATCAAGACAGTATGGTACTAGCATAAAATCAGACACATAGACCAATGTAATAGAATAGAAATGCCAGAAATAAACCCATAGGTATATTGTCAAGTAATCTTTGACAAAGGCATGAAGAATACACAATGGGAAAGGGGTAGTCTCTTCAATAAATGGTATTGGTCAAACTGAAAATCCACATGCAAAAAACAATTAAATTGGATTCTTATCTTTTACCATAAAGAAAATCAATTTAAAATGGATTAAAGACTTAATATAGAACTTGAAATGATAAAACACTTAGAATAAAACAGGGAAAAAGCTCCAAGACTTTGGTTTTGGCAATTTTTTTTTTAGATATGACACCAAAAACATAGGTAACAAAAACAAAAATAAACAAGTAGAACTACTTCAAACTAAAAAGTTTCTATACAACAAAGGAAACAATCAACAAAATGAAAAGGCAACCCACAAAATGGGAGAAAATATTTGCACGCCATATATCCAACAAGAGGTTAATATACAAAATATATAAGAAACTCATACAATTCAGTAGCAAAAAAAAAAATCAATTTAGAAAATGGGCAAAGCACCTGAATAGACATTTTTCCAAAGAAGATACACAAATGGCTGGCCAGGCACAGTGGCTCACGCCTGTAATCCTAGCACTATGGGAGCCCGAGGCAGGTGGGTAACCTGAGGTTGGGAGTTCGAGACTAGCCTGACCAACATGGAGAAACCCCGTCTCTACTAAAAATACAAAAAAATTAGCTGGGCATGGTAGTGCATGCCTGTAATCCCAGCTACTCAGGAGGCTGAGACAGGAGAATCGCTTGAACCCGGGGGGTGGAGGTTGCAGTGAGCTGAGATCGTGCCATTGCACTCCAGCCTGGGCAACAAGAGAGAAATTCTAAGAAAAAAAAAAAAAAGACATACAAATGGCCAGGAGGTACATGAAAAGATGCCCAACATCACTAATAATCAGGGAAATGAAAATAAAAAACCACAGTGAAATATCACCTCACAGCTGATTGGATGGCTATTATCAAAAATTTGAAAGACAAGTGTTGGTGAGGTTGTTGGGCAAAGGGAACCCTCCCTTACACACTGCTGGTTGCAATGTAAACTGGTACAGCCATTACGGAAAACAGAAAGGAGGTCCCTCAAAAAATTGAAAGTAGGCTGGGCATGGTGGCTCATGCATGTAATCCCAGCACTATGGGAGGCTGAAGTGGGAGGATAGCTTGAGGTCAGGAGTTTGAGATCAGCCTGGGCAACAAAGTGAGATTTCATCTCTAAAAAGATTTTTAAAAAGTTAGCTTCGTATTATGGCACATCCCTGTTGTTCCAAGTTACTTGAGAGGCTGAGGTAGGAGAATCACTTGAGCCCAGGTGTTTGAGGTTGCAGTGAGCCATGGCCACGCCACTGCACTCCAGTTTGGGAGAAAGAGTAAGACCCTGTCCCAGAAGAAAAGGAAATCCTGTCATTTGCAACAACATGGTTGAAGCTTATGCTGTGTGAAAGACATCAGACACAGAAAGATAAATACCGCACAATGTCACTTATATATGCAATCTTAAAAAGTCAAATTAATAGAAACAGAGAGTAGAAGGGTGGTTATCATGATTAGGCAGATTGGGGAAAATGGAGAGATGTTGGTCATAGAATACAGACTTGAATTTATAGCATGAATAAATTCCAGAGATCTAATTTGCAGCACAATAACTATAGTTAATAATAATGTATTGTATCCTTAATAATTACTAAGAGAGTAGATATTAGATATTCTTACCAGACAAAAAACAGCTATGTGAGGTGATGGATATGTTAATTATTTCAATTGTGGTAATCATTTCACAATGCATGGTATATCAAAACATTTAATGTATAATGCTTGAATCTATACAATTTTTATTTGCTAATTCTGCCTCAATGAAGCTAACACAAGTTATATGTTACAACATTAGTTAAATGTTTATGGAGCTGAATGAGAGTCCACATGGGCTGCCCTTGTTTTTCTGTGTGTAGCTTAAAACCTCCATTCACCAATATAACATTGTGATAGGTATTTCCTAAACGTCATGAAGCACATATAAATTAAATACGTCCATCATGGACTTATTTTATTTGAAGATTTTCCTTGGAGACCCTTAGAAGAATGTCCGTGAATGATTTAAAAATTCTCTCTGTTTCCAAGAGATTGTTGGCTTTGATGGTATCTTGCATTGGAATTGGGACAATGACACTTAGCTTGCCAGAAGTATTTGTGAAGAAATTGCCACATTCATTGATAAAGTAAAAACCTAAACTTTTAAGACTAACAATGGAGGAAAAAAAATCTCCATGGGAATATCAACTGGATAACTCTTATATCATTCAGCGGTCTTAGGTTGCAAATGACAGAAATCCAAATGGAAGTAAAAGGCAAAAGATGACCTGTTAAAAAGATCCTGATATAATCCTCAGAATCAATTGAATTGAAAAACAACCCAGGTTTGGAAGGCAGAAACTTTGGAAACTCTTTCTGGGATTTTATTAGTTAGGATATCAGTTCAGCTATTTTAATAGCATGGCTTAAACAAGACAGGAGGTTTAGTCCTGTCATCCCTTTTGTAAAAGCATGAGTGAGCAGACAGTCTAGGGAAAGAACGTCACTTGATACATGTTATCTGAAGTCCACAGTTCCTTCTCTCTGTTTGTTCTACCAGACCCAAATGTGTTGTGCCTTCTGCATGTTCTATTCAGGATTACCTTCTGTTGAATCTAAGCTCCAGTCCCCTATAAAAGGGAAAAACATGCAAGAGAACAAACTGTTTCATTGTAACTAAGAGTGTGATACAGAAGTTGCTCACATTACTTCTGTTCACATAGCTTTGTCCAAACTTAGTCATGTTGCTTCAAGGAGCCTGAGAGTACAGTTTTTAACTGGTAAGCTATACACCACACTAAAACTTGGGGTTTCTATTACTAAAAGGAAGAATGGAAGAAATGATACTGGGGACTAACAGCAGTCTCCACCAAAGAAATAATAACCCTTAAATATGGTAAAGAGTCTATCTTTGCTGTCTTTGCTACGTTTCTCTTTTTCTCTCTACCAATGGGCTTCATTTTATCTTATTGCAGGATACACAGCAAGAAGTATGGTAATCAATGGCCCTGTGTTTATACTTCCCTAGTTTCAAACTTGCCTTCTCCAACAGGTAGACTCAATGGTTTCTTTGTATTTAGCTCATTTCCCAGGGAGGCTATGACTAGACAGGGAGGTGGGTTTTTATTTAACACACTTATTAAGCACGTATATGCCAGGAAACCTTCTAGACCGGGGTCAAATATGGCCAGCCCACAAAGTTTTATTGGAACCCAGTCACATTCATTTGTTTCCATATTGTCCATTGAGTAGTTGAAATAGAAACAGCATGTTCTCAAAGCCTAAAATGTTATTATTTGGACTTTTACAAAAAGTTTGCTTACTTCTCTTCTAGAGGCTAGGGATACAGTGGTGATCAAGACATAGATGGTTTCTATCCTTATGAAGCAGAATCTGCCTTCCAAGATTCAGTTTTCTTGGTGATTCCTAGCTCTTACTAGGGTGTTGGATAGAGGAAATGATCTATTCATATATCTGCATCGGCTTTCAGGTCTGTTTGGTATAGCCCTAAACAACATAAGTCCAAACAGAATCACACCATTGCAACCCTAGTTTAGTGTCCTTATGAATTACTGAAGAGATTTTAGAATTGTCAAAATGACCTTCATACCTTTGGTTATGTCTTGTACTTGGCTCTTGGTCCTTCATGGGCCATGGTTAATTCAAACTATCAGTTACGTTACCTGTTCATATTGCTGTTTTCTTTCTTCTGACCATTTTTCATATGACTTGCTCCATTTCTCCATTTTTGCTCTCATACTATTTGTATTATTTTGAAAATTAGTGAATTACCTGCAATTGAAATCATATATTTTTTCTCTCATTTGAATATCTCCATTCTTTTCATTTTGTTCCTCAATTTTCTTAAAATTTTGTGGATACGAATTCAGAATGTAGACATTCTTTCAGTTAGATTGAGGTTACTCATTATAGGCCTCACTCAATCTGCAAAGTAATGCAGCACATTAGATTAACAATCATGTACTCTCTGCTGTAGGATGGCATCCCACCAATGTCTGATTATAAGTATCAAGATTAGAGCCTTCCTCTAACACAGCCATTGGGAGTTCAGAATTTGTCTGTCTAGAAATATGCTGCCATCAGTATGTGGATAATTAATATAATGGGAAGTAATGAAATGGGGGTAAAGGTACCAGGGCCTCATGGTAGGAGAAATTTATGACAGGGTGAACTTTATAATAAGAACAAAGTATACGTTAGTACATTTATCAAAGGGTGGGAATTCAAAATGTATTGAATATGGTGTGTGCTCATTGACCTCATGACTTCAAACCAAATCAGGACTGAGAGGCTTATTGTGGCCTCATTTAGTTTATTAGCTGAGGGCTTATTCTTCTTGATTTTGCACTTGTCTTGGGTGTGTTCAGCTGTCTCTTTCTTCTCCTTCCTTCTACCCACCCTGACTTCCTTTCTTTCTTCCTTCTTTTTCTGTTTTCTTCCTTCCTTTTTTCCTTTTTTAAATTTTTTTAAATTTTTTTATTTTTTATTATACTTTCAAATTTTAGGGTACATGTGCACAACGTGCAGGTTAGTTACATATGTATACATGTGCCATGTTGGTGTGCTGCACCCAGCGACTCGTCATTTAACATTAGGCATATCTCCAAATTCTATCCCTCTCCCCTCCCCCAACCCCACAACAGGCCCCGGAGTGTGATGTTCCCCTTCCTGTGTCCATGTGTTCTCATTGTTCAATTCCCACCTATGAGTGAGAACATGCGGTGTTTGGTTTTCTGTCCTTGTGATAGTTTGCTGAGAATGATGGTTTCCAGCTTCATCCATGTCCCTACAAAGGACATGAACTCATCCTTTTTTATGGCTGCATAGTATTCCATGGTGTATATGTGCCACATTTTCTTAATCCAGTCTATCATTGTTGGACATTTGGGTTGGTTCCAAGTCTTTGCTATTGTGAATAGTGCTGCAATAAACATAAGTGTGCATGTGTCTTTATAGCAGCATGATTTATAATCCTTTGGGTATATACCCAGTAATGGGATGGCTGGGTCAAATGGTATTTCCAGTTCTAGATCCCTGAGGAATCGCCACACTGACTTCCACAATGGTTGAACTACTTTACAGTCCCACCAACAGTGTAAAAGTGTTCCTATTTCTCCACATCCTCTCTAGCACCTGTTGTTTCCTGACTTTTTAATGATTGCCATTCTAACTGGTGTGAGATGGTATCTCATTGTGGTTTTGATTTGCATTTCTCTGATGGCCAGTAATGATGAGCATTTTTTCATGTGTCTGTTGGCTGCATAAATGTCCTCTTTTGAGAAGTGCCTGTTCATATCCTTTGCCCACTTTTTGATGGGGTTGTTTTTCTCTTGTAAATTTGTTTGAGTTCATTGTAGATTCTGGATATTAGCCCTTTGTCAGATGAGTAGATTGCAAAAATTTTCTCCCATTCTTTAGGTTGCCTGTTTACTCTGATGGTGATTTCTTTTGCTGTGCAGAAGCTCTTTAGTTTAATTAGATCCCATTTGTCAATTTTGGCTTTTGTTGCCATTGCTTTTGGTGTTTTAGACATGAAGTCCTTGCCCATGCCTATATCCTGAATGTTATTGCCTATGTTTTCTTCTAGGTTTTTTATGGTTTTAGGTCTAACATGTAAGTCTTTAATCCATCTTGAATTAATTTTTGTATAAGTTGTAATGAAGGGATCCAGTTTCAGCTTTCTACATATGGCTAGCCAGTTTTCCCAGCACCATTTATTAAATAGGGAATCCTTTCCCCATTTCTTGTTTTTGTCAGGTTTGTCAAAGATCAGATGGTTGTAGATGTGTGGTATTATTTCTGAGGACTCTGTTCTGTTCCATTGGTCTATATCTCTGTTTTGGTACCTGTGCCATGCTGTTTTGGTTACTGTAGCCTTGTAGTATAGTTTGAAGTCAGGTAGCGTGATGCCTCCAACTTTGTTCTTTTGGCTGAGGATTGACTTGGCAATGTGGGCTCTTTTTTGGTTCCATATGAACTTTAAAGTAGTTTTTTCCAATTCTGTGAAGAAAGTCATTGGTAGCTTGATGGGGATGGCATTGAATCTATAAATTACCTTGGGCAGTATGACCATTTTCACGATATTGATTCTTCCTACCCATGAGCATGGAATGTTCTTCCATTTGTTTGTATCCTCTTTTATTTCCTTGAGCAGTGGTTTGTAGTTCTCCTTGAAGAGGTCCTTCACATCCCTTGTAAGTTGGATTCCTAGGTATTTTATTCTCTTTGAAGCAATTGTGAAAGGGAGTTCACTCATGATTTGGGTCTCTGTTTGTCTGTTATTGGTGTATAAGAATGCTTGTGATTTTTGCACATTGATTTTGTATCCTGAGACTTTGCTGAAGTTGCTTATCAGCTTAAGCAGATTATGGGCTGAGACAATGGGGTTTTCTAGATATACAATCATGTCATCTGCAAACAGGGACAGTTTGACTTCCTCTTTTCCAAATTGAATGCCCTTTATTTCCTTCTCCTGCCTGATTACCCCGCCAAGAACTTCCAACACTATGTTGAATAGGAGTGGTGAGAGAGGGCATCCCTGTCTTGTGCCAGTTTTCAAAGGGAATGCTTCCAGTTTTTGTCCATTCAGTATGATATTGGCTGTGGGTCTGTCATAGATAGCTCTTATGATTTGGAGATACGTTCCATCAATACGTAATTTATTGAGAGTTTTTAGCATGAAGGGTTGTTGAATTTTGTCAAATGCCTTTTCTGCATCTATTGAGATAATCATGTGGTTTTTGTCATTGGTTCTGTTAATATGCTGGATTATGTTTATTGATTTGCATATGTTGAACCAGCCTTGCATCCCAGGGATGAAGCCCGCCTGGTCATGCTGGATAAGCTTTTTGATGTGCTGCTGGATTCAGTTTGCCAGTATTTTATTGAGGATTTTTGCATCGATGTTCATCAGGGATATTGGTCTACAATTTTCTTTTTTTGTTGTGTCGCTGCCAGGCTTTGTTATCAGGATGATGCAGGCCTCATAAAATGAGTTAGGGAGGATTCCCTCTTTTGCTGTTGATTGGAATAGTTTCAGAAGGAATGGTACCAGCTCCTCCTTTTACCTCCGGTAGAATTCGGCTGTGAATCCGTCTGATCCTGGACTTTTTTTGGTTGGTAAGCTATTAATTATTGCCTCAATTTCAGAGCTTGTTATTGGTCTATTCAGAGATTCAACTTATTCCTGGTTTAGTCTTCGGAGGGTGTAGGTGTTGAGGAATTTATCCATTTCTTCTAGATTTTCTAGTTTATTTGCATAGAGGTGTTTATAGTATTCTCTGACGGTAGTTTGTATTTCTGTGGGATAGGTGGTGATATCCGCCTTATCATTTTTTTTTGCGTCTATTTGATTCTTCTCTCTTTTCTTCTTCATTAGTCTTGCTAACGGTCTATCAATTTTGTTGATCTTTTCAAAAAACCAGCTCCTGGATTCATTGATTTTTTGAAGGGTTTTTTGTGTCTCTATTTCCTTCAGTTCTGCTCTGATTTTAGTTATTTCTTGCTTTCTGCTAGCTTTTGAATGTGTTTGCTCTCGCTTTTCTAGTTCTTTTAATTGTGATGTTATGGTGTCAATTTTGGATCTTTCCTGCTTTCTCTTGTGGGCATTTAGAGCTATAAATTTCCCTCTACATACTGCTTTGAATGTGTCCCAGAGATTCTGGTATGTTTTGTCTTTGTTGTCATTGGTTTCAAAGAACATCTTTATTTCTGCCTTCATTTCGTTATGTACCCAGTAGTCATTCAGGAGCAGGTTGTTCAGTTTCCATGCACTTGAGCGGTTTTGAGTGAGATTCTTAATGCTGTGTTCTAGTTTGATTGCACTGTGGTCTGAGAGAAGTTTGTTATCATTTCTGTTCTTTTACATTTGCTGAGGAGTGCTTTACTTCCAACTATGTGGTCAATTTTGGAATAAGTGTGGTGTGGTGCCAAGAAGAATGTATATTCTGTTGATTTGGGGTGGAGAGTTCCGTAGATGTCTATTGGGTCCACTTGGTGCAGAGCTGAGTTCAATTTCTGGATATCCTTGTTAACTTTCTGTGTCGTTGATCTGTCTAATGTTGACAGTGGGGTGTTAAAGTCTCCCATTATTAATGTGTGGGAGTCTAAGTCTCTTTGTAGGTCTCTAAGGACTTGCTTTATGAATCTGCGTGTTCCTGTATTGGGTGCATATATGTTTAGGATAGTTAGCTCTTCTTGTTTAATTGATCCCTTTACCATTATGTAATGGCCTTCTTTGTCTCTTTTGATCTTTGTTGGTTTAAAGTCTGTTTTATCAGAGACTAGGATTACAACCCCTGCCTTTTTTTGTTTTCCATTTGCTTGGTAGATCTTCCTCCATCCCTTTATTTTGAGCCTATGTGTGTCTCTGTATATGAGATGGGTTTCCTGAATACAGCACACTGATGGGTCTAGACTCTTTATCCAATTTGCCAGTCTGTGTCTTTTAATTGGAGCATTTAACCCATTTACATTTAAGGTTAATATTGTTATGTGTGAATTTGATCCTGTCATTATGATATTAGCTGGTTATTTTGCTCATTAGTTGACACAGTTTCTTCCTAGCCTTGATGGTCTTTACAATTTGGCATGATTTTGCAGTGGCTGGTACCAGTTGTTCCTTTCCATGTTTAGTGCTTCCTTCAGGAGCTCTTTAAGGGCAGGCCTGGTGGTGACAAAATCTCTCAGCATTTGCTTGTCTGTAAAGTATTTTATTTCTCCTTCACTTATGAAGCTTAGTTTGGCTGGATATGAAATTCTGGGTTGAAAATTCTTTCCTTAAGAATGTTGAATATTGACCCCCACTCTCTTCTGGCTTGTAGAGTTTCTGCCGAGCGATCAGCTGTTAGTCTGATGGGCTTCCCTTTGTGGGTAACCCGACCTTTCTCTCTGGCTGCCCTTAACATTTTTTCCTTCATTTCAACTTTGGTGAATCTGACAATTATGTGTCTTGGAGTTGCTCTTCTCGGGGAGTATCTTTGTGACATTCTCTGTATTTCCTGAATCTGAATGTTGACCTGCCTTGCTAGGTTGGGGAAGTTCTCCTGGACGATATCCTGCACAGTGTTTTCCAAGTTGGTTCCATTCTCCCCAACACTTTCAGGTACACCAATCAGAGGTAGATTTGGTCTTTTCACATAGTCCCATATTTCTTGGAGGCTTTTTTCTTTTCTTTTTATTCTTTTTTCTCTAAACTTCTCTTCTTGCTTCATTTCATTCATTTGATCTTTCATCACTGATACCCTTTCTTCCAGTTGATCGAATCGGCTACTGAGGCTTGTACATGCATCACGTAGTTCTTGTGCCTTGGTTTTCAGCTCCATCAGGTCCTTTAAGGACTTCTCTGCATTGGTTATTCTAGTTAGCCATTCGTCTCATTTTTTTTCAAGGTTTTTAACTTTGCCATGGTTCCTACTTCCTCCTTTAGCTCAGAGTAGTTTGATCGTCTGAAGCCTTCTTCTCTCAACTCATCAAAGTCATTCTCTGTCCAGCTTTGTTCCATTGCTGGTGAGGAGCTGTGTTCCTTTGGAGGAAGAGAGGTGCTCTGATTTTTAGAGTTTTGTTTTTCTGCTCTGTTTTTTCCCTATCTTTATGGTTTTATCTACCTTTGGTCTTTGATGATGGTGATGTACAGATGGGGTTTTGGTTTGGATGTCCTTTCTGTTTGTTAGTTTTCCTTCTAACAGTCAGGACCATCATCTGCAGGTCTGTTGGAGTTTGCTGGAGGTCCTCTCTAGACCCTGTTTGCTTGGGTATCAGCAGCAGAGGCTGCAGAACAGCAGATATTGGTGAACAGCAAAAGTTGCTGCCTGATCGTTCCTTTGGAAGTTTTGTCTCAGAGGAGTACCCGGCCGTGTGAGGTGTCAGTCTGTCACTACTGGGTGCCTCCCAGTTAGGCTCTCGGGGGTCAGGCACCCACTTGAGGAGGCAGTCTGTCTGTTCTCAGATCTCCAGCTGCGTGCTAGGAGAACCATTAGTCTCTTCAAAGCTGTCAGACAGGGACATTTAAGTCTGCAGAGGATTCTGCTGCCTTTTGTTTGGCAACGCCCTGCCCCCAGAGGTGGAGTCTACAGAGGCAGGCAGGCCTTCTTGAGCTGCAGTGGGTTCTACCCAGTTCGAGCTTCCCGGCTGCTTTGTTTACCTACTCAAGCCTTGGGAATGGTGGGCACCCCTCCCCCAGCCTCGGTGCCACCTTGCAGTTTGATCTCAGACTGCTGTGCTAGCAATGAGTGAGGCTCCTTGGGCATAGGACCCTCCAAGCCAGGTGCGGGATATAATCTCCTGGTGTGCCGTTTGCTAAGACTGTTGGAAAAGCACAATATTAGGGTGGGAGTGACCCGATTTTCCAGGTGCCATCAGGCACCCCTTTCTTTGACTAGGAAAGGGAATTCCCTGACCCCCTGCACTACCCAGGTGAGGCAATGCCTTTCCCTGCTTCAGCTCATGCTTGGTGCACTGCACCCACTGTCCTGCACCCACTTTCTGACACTCCCCAGTGAGATGAACCTGGTACCTCAGTTGGAAATGCAGAAATCAGCGTATTCTGTGTAGCTCATGCTGGGAGTTGTAGACTGGAGCTGTTCCTATTCGGCCATCTTGGCTCCATGCTTCCTTCCTTTCTTCTTCCCCCAGCTTTTCCTTCCTTCCTTCCTTCCTTCCTTCTTTCCTTCCCTCCTCCTCCTGATCCTCCTCCTTCTTCTTCTTTTTCTCCTTCTCCCCTTCCTTCCTTCCATCACATTTTTATGAGTATGAATTCCTTCAGCTCAGTTTTTTTCTATAAATGGCAATGAACTTTTTAAATGACTAGATAAATAATTGATAGTATTAAAGAACTGTGAAATGATAACAAGACAGTATAATAATTGTCTAGTTAGCATCATTAGACTGATGATTTGACACTGCTACCAACTAAAACATTATCTTCTTTTAAGGCAGCCCTGAGTAGCTTTATGCTTTATGTGTATAGTATAAACTTGAATGTCTTTAAAGTTTCTATAATTTAACATTTTTATTAGGCTTTCCTAAGATTCTGATTTATTGGCAATTACAATTGAGGGATGTTCCTCATACTTCCCAGGACTTCCCAAGTTGTTTCATACAGTGTGGGCAGATTTCTAGACATTGTTGTTACCCTGATTACTTATACCTAAGCAGGTGTGATGTTTAATAACTGCAATAGTAATAGGAATAAGTAGATAACACCGCCGTAGTGCTAAGTCATAAGTGCTTTACACAGACTAACTCTTTACTAGTCAGCACTCTATCATTAGCTCCATTTTAGAGGTGAGGTTATTGAGACCCACCACTGGTAAGTGACAGAACTGCGGGATTTCATCCTAGGTTCTTGTATTCACCTATAAATACTGTGCTCTAGTGTCTTTCATTTGCCACATAACAGAACAGTTGTGTGGTGCTGAAAAACAGGACGGTCCTAGGAATTAGCTTACTTAAGTTCTAAAACCAACTTTCCACTAATGGGAAATTTACCTTGGTTTACTTAAGTGATTTGGGGGATTAGATTGTATTGGTATTTCTCAAGGTATGTCCCTAGACATGTTCTATAAAAAATAAGTGAAATAAGCTTTTAAAATGCTGCAAGGTATATTCCCCTCTTGGGAAGAGTTCCAAAAAGCCCTGCAATAAAGATACCTATCTCACTTTGTTTGACTCAGCTCTTGCTAAATTTTTGACCAAGGGATGCCCTTTCAGGGAAGAATGAAAGGCATATCACACTTAACCAGGCTAGGTAACTAGAGGTTTATGAAACTACTTTCAGAACTCTGAACCACATAACCTTTGATGCCTCTTTCAGCCTCAAAATCCCTATGATTATAAATACTAATTGTTTATCTATATATGTTTGCCAGTCTGTTTGTATTTACCTATAACATTGACAACAAGATTACTGAGAGTTTGATGAACCCACATATAATGTTCTGGGTAGAAAGTAGTTTATACTCTTCAGAAACAAACACAGCCCAGTAGTATCAAATTTACACTTTGAGCCCCTTCCAACTGGTTTTCTGGCATGTATTACTTATGTTCCCCATCAAGCTAAAGTGGAACTTACCTTAACCATAGTTTATTAAAAGGTTTAATGACAATAATTTTCGGTTGAAGTTAACTGAATTATAGTTTTACTTGCAAAAGGGTGTACGTTGTAATATCACTGCAGTCTTGGTGTACATAATAGAAAGAAGTATTCACAATGTTTGTTTCACCATTTACAGAATTTTCTGCAAAGATCTGCCTCTAGCAGAAGAATAATTTCTTTACTTTTTTTTCTAGCTGTTTCAAGAGCTAGTTTAAAGCTCTCAGTTTAAACTCTCTGAATGCGAGCTGTGTGAACTTACTATTCTGTGTCCATTTGTGAAAATACATACAGGGAGGGCTTTCCTGACTTCATTTCTGTAGCCACAGTTCAAAGCTGTAAATGGCACACAGAATTGCTTTTAGAGCAAGTACACTGAAGCCCTTTATAAAAGAGGAATCAAGGGATTTGAGAACCTGTTTCAATTTCCTCCCACAATCAAGAAGTAAGAAATTAGAGTTGACAGAGTAGTTCTTCATGAGCATTTAAGGTGGTGAAATTGAACTTAAGCAACTTATTATCCTCAAGTTTTACCCAGATTCAAGAAGTGAGAAATTAGACTTGCTAAGTGAAAAGATCTCATCCTGCAAAATTGAACAAATGGGCAATTTGACAAAGTGCCACTGTAATATGATGGGTTAGCTAAGACCTTCAGAAATGAGACACTCTTGTAGCATGAATGAGCTCTACTGGAAAAAAAAAAGAATGGAGAAATATTTTGTGCAGAAACACTGAACTGGGTACTTCTCTCCCAAAGGAATTTTTAGTGGTTCTAGTCAGCTTTGAAAAGAGACTTAATGGGCTATATTGGCCTCTTTTATGGAATTTTCAGCTGGCACACTCTTCTAGCTTTCAGTCAGAAATTTAAGTGCTAGTGACTTAAATTGAAATTCTTGACAGACACCTTACCAAGTATCTTCTCCCTCTTTGTGCAAGACAAAGTATAGATCTTTAGCTGACCCAGGGGTCCCTTCTTTTTCAGGACGTGCTTTTCATTCATTGTATGTCTGCCTTGGGGTGATTGTGCACCTGGCCTTATGGAGGATTGATATATAAAATTGGTCTGAGAAAGATGAGTCACTTATTGTGTAATCTCAAAGTGGAAAGGCACAGAAACATCCCATGAAAACTCACTCTCAAGGGGATTTTTTGGCATGCTGGTCCAAATAATTGGAACCTTATATTCTAGCTCTACCACCTTCTAGTTGCAAGATCTCAAGCCAATTACTTAACTTCTCTTAACTTCAGTTGTCTCATCTATAAAATGGGGTTTATCAAACTATCTCCTTGGCAGAGTTGTCAGGATCAAAAGAGTCAAAATGTATGAAGCACTGGGCATACTCTTGTCCATTTTAGGAATGAAGTATCAGTGGATGCAGAGATTCAAATGGTTTTCATCAAGTTTGTTAATCCAGGAAAGAATATCCATCTGGTTCATCACCAAGGCCTTTGTTGGTCTTTGAAAAAACAACAACAGCAACAACAAATTGCTTCGTCAAAGCTAAAGCCAATATAATTGTTGAAATTGCAGCAGCAGCAATTCTCTGTATGGTTATAATGTTACATTGCACCTAGGTCCTTAAATATATTCTTTAGTTCTGGCTTATTATGGCTTAAGAACATCAGGAAGAGAAAGAAGAATCAGCATGAGGTTGATGGTTGAATGACAACCATAATTTTCCATATAACGGAATCTTTGCTAATGTAAAAGCTACCTTCTGGTTATGCAAAAGTTTATTGAAATACAGGCACAAAGTGGTGTTTTCTATCCAACAAAGAACAAGTGCAGTTCCATAATTTAGCATGTTGAGTTATTCTTTCCAAAATCAACCACCTAAGGACCAAGGGCTAAGATTTAAAATATAATTTCTATGCATTCTTTTTTAAGTGAAAAAAACCAGCTTGTATAGCTAAACTGTGTAGCTGTAGCATAATTTGCTAATGTTTCTATTTGTTGAAGAAATGACAAATATTTGCAGGAATGGCAAGTAGCAAAACATAGTCCTCATCTGTATGCAACATAGTCATAACATAAAATTATGAACACAGAGATATGATTTCTGAAAAGATTGAATTAACATTGTGAAAATTAGAGCCCCCTCATTTACATAAATCTGGGGAATGCCATTGCATGACAAAGCTGGCAATTTATTTGGCAGTAGCAAAGAAAAAATTCTTTGCACAGCATTCCACAGCACTTGGAAGTCAGGAGTGAGAGTCTGCTCTTTGTAGGAGGGCTTGGGAATCAGTATATTAAAATATCACTCCCAACTCAAAGCTCACCTGAAATAAAAAAAAATAAGCCACCTTAGAAATGGTGCTTGAAAAAATGATGAGAAAATTCTGACATGTAGCTATTTGTGGTGACCATTCCTGTGGGAGAAAGAAGTGTAATTATCTGATCAGCATAAACCCTTGTAGCCTTTTTAGCTAACTGTATTTACTCCTGGGTGACCTCTGATTTCTTGAGATTTCGAGGGGAACCCAACTTGGAGGGAATAAAAACTTTTACTTGGAAACTAGGAAATTGCTGATGTGTTCCTGAGGTCATGTGATCGTTTCATATCCAGAAAGTCTTAGCTGGAAAAAAAAAAATACTGACATTCACAGATCCAGCAAGCTGGTCTCTATTCTCAGATGGCTGATATATTACTCTTAAGACTAAAGCTTTTCCTGTGTTATAGCTGTTTTGTTTCTTAACTAATGCATATTAACTGCAAAGGGTGCAGGAGTAGAGGAGCAGCCTTGGGTATGGGATGCAGAAGATAAAATGGCAGTCATAGTATTACATTGTGAGGATGGAGGAAAGTGGAAGTAGGCAAACCATGATGAGTAAGGCTACACATGGGTGTCCTCTGTTTAAGAGACAAGCTCTGTGGGGCTGGGATGCATTGTACGTAAGAGATACAATGTTTCGATGTATGGCAAGAAGATTATGGCTTAGGCATATTAGTTAGCAGTTCTCTAGAGAAACAAAACCAATAGAATGTGTCCATTATATTGTTATAAAATGAGATATATAAAAGGAGATTTATTATGGAAATTGACTCATGTGATTATGGAGGCCATGAAGTCCCATTGTATGCCATCTGCAAGCTGGAGAACTAGAAAGGTGGTGGCATGAGTTTCAGTCCAGGTTGGAAAGCCTGAGAATCAGGGAGCCCATTGGTATAAGTCTTGGAGTCCAAAGGTCAGAGAATCAAAAACTCCAGTGTTTGAGAGCAGGAGAGGATGGGCGTCTCAGCTTAAGAAGAGAGTCTTTCTTACTCCTTTTTATTCTATTTGGGAGGGCCCTAATGGATTGAATGATACCACCATTGGTGTGGATGATCTTCTTTACTAGATCTATGGATTTAAATGCTAATCTTTTCTAGAAACATCCTCACAGACACACCTAGAAATAATATTTTACCAGTCCTCTGGGCATCCCTTAGCCTAGTCAGGTTGATACATTGAACTAACCACCACAGATGGGGATATCTGAAAAGTCAGAAGAGGTTGATCCAGGTGGGAAATAAAGGGCTATTAGAATGGAAATACTGAGGTTGAAAGTGAGTCTGTTTTCTGCCTGCTGAGATGATGGTTCCTGGTTTCATCTCAGGAAATTGATATTGGCATTGTAGGGGTCTATGCTGAACCTTCTCACATCATGGGAATTACGTTTTACCCATTAATTCTTCTTACTACTCAGATACCTGGGCAAATCTGTGCAACATTCCTAAAAATAAAAGCTAAAAATCAAAGTTAACAACGTGTGTAAAAATTTCTCTTCCCCTCACCAAAACACCCCCACCTCATTATGTTAACAATTAAACAAGCATCAAAACACAAAAACATAAAACTTACAAGGATTCTGAAAATTACATGGAATGGAAGTGAAAATGGCTGATTTGTTCACCATCTACCAGGTAAAATGGATTCTTGTGTTCTGAAGCCTTGAATTCATAGCCTCATATTTTATGGAGCATGCAATTTATAACTAAGACAATAAGTACTGCAAAAAGCATTGAGTGCTATAGGAGAAAAGAAGATGAGGCAGTTAATTTTTAGCTGGAGAAAGGGCCGACAGGGAAAACTCTACACGGAAGAAAACATCAAAGAAGGACAATTAAGAATGAGTATGATTGTGTTTGCCAGAGAGAAAAGAAGTGATAGATGTTTTAGGAGAAGGACAGAGTAAGTAGAAATGACGTGCTGTGAATGTTCATGAAGTGTTCAGGGAAAATTAAGTAGATCAGTGTGGCTAGAATACAGTACATGAGGCTGGGCGTGGTGGCTCATGCCTGTAATCCCAGCACTTTGGGAGGCCGAGGCAGGTAGATTACCTAAGGTCAGGAGTTCAAGACCAGCCTGGGCAACATGGTGAAACCCCATCTCTGCTAAAGATACAAAAATTAGCTGGGCATGGTGGCACACACCTGTAATCCCAGCTACTCAGGAGGCTGAGGCAGGAGAATTGCTTGAGCTCGGGAGGCGGAGGTTGCAGTGAGCAGAGATTGTGCCACTGCACTCCAGCCTGGCCGACAGAGCAAGACTCTGTCAAAAAAAAAAAAAAATAGAGTACATGAGTAGGGGAAGTGGCTAGTAATGGAGTTGGAAGGTAAATTGGAGTTATATTGTAAAAGATGCTTGTAAGTACGTCATACTGTTGGTTTTGGTCAGTGGGTTCAGAAGTTATTGTTATAGCTTAGATAATGGGAAGTCAAGGTGAAGTAGGAGGAGGGGATGGATTTGAACAATACTTCAGTAGGATAGTTAGTGGGACCTGGTGATTGACTAAATGTGGAAAGTGAGTTAAAGAGATTAATCTAAAACGAACTTTAGGTTTCTATCTTGTAACATCTGGTGGGTGAACATGCCATTAACAAAAACAGAGAACACAGGTGAGAGAAAACAAGGATTTGGGGAAAATGTATTCAGTTTTGGACATTATGAACTTTTGACGCTTATGAGATGGTTAGGTAAAAATGTTCAGTAGGAATTGGAAAGTGGATTTGGAAACCAGGGGAAATCAGAGGTGGAGATAAATTTGAAAGTCACTCACATGAGGGAGAGTTGTGATAGTGCGAGGTGTTAAAACCACCCAGAGAGAAGGTTTAGCGAGGAAAGAGAAGTGCGTCAGAGAGGTACAATGAGGAATGCCTGATATTTGCCAGATAGGCTAAGGAGGAGGAGCCAGAAAAGGAGTTTTAAAAGGGGTCATACCTGCTCGTTGTGCACATGTACCCTAAAACTTAAAGTATAATTAAAAAAAAAAGAGATCATAGAGACGACAAGAGAACCAGAGTCAAGCAGTGTTTTGGAGAGTGATACGGAAAAGTTTCAAGAAGAGGGAGTGTTCAATAAGCCAGATATTGCCAAAAAATTCATATTGGATAAAAGCATCTTTTTTTCCCCAACTCTGCCTAGCTACCCACTGGGCCATGGCTATCTCATAACGCTCTGTCTGCAAAACAGAAAAAAGGATTTGAGGGAGCTCAAGTTACTTTTGTGTTAGAAAAATGAGCCCCTCCCTCCAGTTGAAGGCAGCACTTAGAGCTTGGCAAGCAGTGCTTCTCTTGCCTCCTTGCCTAAACAACCTTGTGTGGATCTACATTCTGCAAAACCATAAGTAAATTTGGTTAACAAGGGACAAGGGAAATCAATGAATGATTGTAGGCAGCATGAGGGTTCAGAAGAGGGAGATGGAGGAATTGAGGAGATTCTGAGTACTTATTTATTACAAAATAATTGCCCTTGGATCCAAGGAGAGTAGGAGAGTAGGGAAGAGAAGAGGCTGGCCAACTTGAAGAAATGAGGTGGGAAGTCATTTGAGATCCTGACGAAATCAAACAGCACGGTTTCTAAAGGTTCATAGGGGTGAAAGAATTGATTACAATATCAATGGAAATGGATTCTGGAGCAGAAGTGAGGATTTGAAGAGGAGGAGGTCATGAAATAATGGGACCAAGGTGTTAAGTGGTTCATCAAAATGTATATTGAAATCACTCAGGATAACAGTAGGCAACTGAATAGAAAACAAAACAGTGATCCTTAGGGGATGTGTGAGAGTGATGGGGAGGGAGGTCAGTAATGATAATAAGATTGGAAAGAAGGCAGTGTAACCTGATGTCATTGGCTTCAGCTAGCAGCTGAAGCAGAAAAAGCAGAAAAAGAATTTTCTTCTAAATGAGTGCGTTCAATTTATAATTTAACAATTCTCTAGGTAACAAAAAATTCTTAATCTTGCTCTTTTGTTTGGCTATAGTGAGTAAAACATGATAGACCAGAGAAAGGCAACAGTAGAGGAATCAGGGATTTATAAAAGGCAACCAGAAAAAGAGTGGTTTTGGGAGAAATTAAAATTTTTTATTACTATAAGTAGAAGAATAAATAATCACTCTGAAGGAACATACCTTTTAATAGGATTTCCTTAGGTGGCAAAATTATGAGAAACTGTGAGACTCCTGAGCATTTCTCTCTAGAGGGCATTTTAGCTCAACTAGACTTCTTGACCAAAATGTCCCAACTTTAAGAAAGTCTGGGATAATCCTGAAGTTTATCACTGGGAATGTTTGATACATTATCGATATTATGCTATAACTCATTGACTCAGTGCTTGAGAACTTCAAGCTGAACCTTCTCACATTACGGGAATTATGTTTTACCCATTAATTCTTCTTATTACTCAGAGACCTGGGCAAATCTGTGCAACATTTCTAAAAATAAAAGCTAAAAATCAAAGTTAACAAAGTGTGTAAACATTTCTACTTTGAAGCTCTCGAGGATCTTTAATCTGGATCTTTAGTTTATTTGGGGGAGCTGAAAACCTTTAGCTTACCTTGTCTTTCAAAAGGGCACACGCCTGAACAATGTATTGATATGAGAGAAAAAGAAGGAATATAAACTTATTTTTGCAATCAAATCAGATGTTATTTGAAATGTTTTGGCCCTCTCTGTTTCTGAGTTCTTAAAAATGATGTGTCAATGGCAAAACAACAAAAGAAGTGTCCAAGTTCTTAATTATCCCTTTATTTGTGTTCTCTAATAGTGGCATAAGTAGTAAAAAAAAAATTAGTCCTGATACAAAATTTAACATGGTTCCTTATTGTTGTATATCTCTGCACACAACAAAAAGAGCTCCTCTCCTTTGTCCTTGGAGTTGAGGAAATCGTTGGTTGTGGCTAGGTAAGGGTTAGGCAATGGCTGGGAGGTAGGGGGCCAGCACTTTGGAGAGGCAAACTGCTGAGGTTGGGCAGAGAGAGCTGGAGAGAAGTCTTTTGAATAATACAACTCCTTTCAAAGCTGGGCTGATAGAAAAGGGTCCTATATGTAACAAACCTGCATGTTGTGCACATGTACCCTAAAACTTAAAGGATAATAATAATAATAAAATTAAAAAATAAAAAAAGGGTCCTATGACCTACTGTGAATTGTATTGCCTTTACTCCATTGGCTTTGCTTACTAAGGAAAAACAGTCTAGATGTAGCTTTTTCAAATTACTTACATGTATTATAGAACTATTTTTAACAAAGCAGATTTTGTGATACCAATGATCACATCTGGCTAAACCAAACCTTCCTGTAAGCACATGTTACCCTCTTACATATTTCTTTGATGTTAAGTGAAGTTAAGCTTAAGTATTATCTGTCTAGGTGGGTATTTGCAGTGGTTCATTAGTTTTCTTGTAAGTGTGCTTGCTTTGGCTATCACAATGAAGTAGATTTCATAAAAGATTCTTGTCAGAGTGATATTTAGAGACTCTGTCCACAGACTTGACCTCTAAGCATTTGGAGAGTAGAGAGATAGCCATGAAATCTCGGGGTTCTTATTTTTGGTGAACCCTAGTGTGTTGTTCCTAGATATGGTCAGTGCACGTGCTCATTTTGCTACCACCACTCATCTGGCTGTATATTTTCCACACATGCAAATTAGACAACCCTAATGTCCTGGGTCTTAGAGTTATAACTCTCTCTCTCTTTCTGTCTCCCCAACCACAGCTCCTGAGGGGCAGGGAATGATGATCATTTTCTGTGGCCAGGCTGGGGTGGGAAGAAATTGCCTTCAGGTCGGGTTGTCCCAGCCTCTAGAGAGGGATTTCTAGATTTCAAAAGCATACAAGGCATTTAGGTTTCTCATTCCAGCTTCTGCTGCCTGTCTTGCACAACCAGAGGACTTGGAGACATGCATTACTGTTTTTGATATTAATGTAAAATATGTAGCGCAATTATTTATTTACTAGACTGAGTACCTTGACAGCAGGCTTTGCATCTTATTCATCTTTGTCTTTTTACCACCTGCTATAATGCTTGGTACCAATAGGTGTTTAGTAATTTTGCTGAATTAAGTTTAATCCTCTACTCGTTGAGAAGCTGAAGCTGAAGCAGAGGTGATAATGATGATGAAGAAGATGATGATGATAAACTGTTGAATGTGTGCTATGTTCCAGGTGCTATTCCAAATACCATAAATATTGGCTTCTTTGAGACTCATGACAATCCTACACAAGAAGTTATTATTTCCCCCATTTTATAGATGAGGAAGCTGAGGCTAATTACCTTGCTCAAGATTATTCACATAAGTGATAAAGCTGGTCTGGCTTAGTCTGCTTCCAAAGTCCAAGCTCCATACCACACTATATGTTATATTACCTCTCAAGAGGTAGAAAGGCCAGTTGGAGAAGGTAGATGATGAACTTTAGTGTACAACACTTTTTTTTTTCCCACCAGCATAGGATATTTGTCCATTTTCTCTTCCTTTCTCCTATGCTTAAGTTTTTCTCCTTCAGCAAGTGATCTTGAACAAGTCCCTCCCACCTTAAACAGTTAAACTAGCTTCTCTTAATCATACATCCTTCTATGATTTTACAGTTACACCAAAGGAAAACAAAACCCAAACCCCAAAACAAACCTGTTGCTTCTGGGCAGCAGGTTTTACTGAACTGAAATCTAGAGAAATGTCTCTGACCAGTCTTAAAGGCATACTGTGTGAGATAGCAGACAATTACTTCAAGGATGTGAAGACAGAGACCATAATGTAGAACTGTTTAAGGTCCTTTAGTGTAGTCAGAAATTATACAGGCAGGCCGGACATGGTGACTCACGTCTGTAATCCCAGCACTTTGGGAGGCTGAGGAGGGCAGATTGCCCGAGTCCAGGAGTTCAAGACCAGCCTGGGCAACATGGCAAACCCCGTCTCTACTAAAAATACAAAAATTAGACAGGTGTGGTGGTGTGCGGCTGTGGTCCCAGCTACTGGGGAGGATCATCTGAGCCTGGGACGTCAGGGCTGCTATGAGCTGAGATTGCATCACTGCACTCCAGCCTGGGCAACAGAGTAAAACCCAGTCTCAAAAAATAATAATACTAATAAAATAAAGACAAAGTATTGTTCATTAAAAGCAATTTTAAGGTGGGATAAAAACAATGCGTTCTGAATTTGTAACTCAGTGTTGATTGCTTGAACTGAGTGCCCAGTTCTCAGGTAACCTACCTGGGTGTGCTGTATTGCTCTGAATGCCTGCAACATTTAGTATTTTCTCTTTTGTTTTGGAATTATCATACAAGTGCCAATGCAGGCCCTTTAGTTCCTGGTTTCAATTAAGATAGAGATCAACTAGGGAGATTCTATTGGCTATGTGGCATCCTCCATGCAATGAGACTCTAGAAGTGTGTTAGACAAATATGACATGGAAATAGGACTTTTCTGTATTTTTTTGTCACCTCCAAAATTAAAATCATAACTGAAAGTTCCTCCCAGTAGCTTTCTCGCTGTCCCAACATGGTACCAAATTCACATATGTGTGTGTGCTTAAGGGCAAAGGGGATGGTATTATGGGGGGATCATGAGAAGATATTATCTACTGTTATAACATTCAAAGGCTTAAACAAGTAATGTTTATTTTTCCTATTAATAAGATGAGTAGAGGTAATTGATAAAGGAATATTTATCAATTAATAAAGGAATTAATAAAGGAATATTTGAAGGCAAGAAAAAGAAGAAATTTCTATGAAAATAGGCTGTGGTGTTTCTAATTTTAATGTATATATTTTTTCTTTTAAACTTATTTAGAAGATCATTGTGTGGAATTGAAAAACTTCATATAACTGGTTTAGTTAAAAAGCATATAAAAGCTGGGCATGGTGGCACTCGCTTGTAAGTCCCAGCTAGTTGAGAGACTGAGGCAGGAGGATACCTTGAGCCTAGGATTTCAAGTCCAGCTTGGACTTGAAGCGAGACCTCAACTCTGAAAACAAACAAAGAAACAAAACACTTCTGCCTTCAAAGGCATATGGAAAGTAGCTAAATGTCAACCCCAAACTGTTATACCTCAATTTAACGTCAATATATTGAAAACAATTGTCAATTAAGAGACAATGTGATAGAGGAATAAACCCGGGATTTAGAATATCTGGGTTTTGGCCTTGATTTTACTACTTTTTGTTAGTTTGGTAAAGTGACTTAACTTTCCTGGGACTAAATGTCTTCATCTGTAAAATAAAGGTGTGAGTTAGATCATTTCAAAGGGTCCTTCCCAATTGAAAATCTCACATTTTCCACTGAGAAAAATATTATAACTTCTACTAGTTAAGCAGTTGATACTTCAATATTCAATCCACAAAAATTGAAAAAAATAAATTAGCTTAAAAAGGCAAAATTAGGTAAATTATACAGTATAAATATGCTTTAATAAGTTGGAAACCAATCTTGTATTTCCCAGCTAGAGCCTCTGCCACCCATATGTTCATAAAAAACACTGTGGTTGTTTTATTGTCCTCTCTGGCAGTGCCAATCATAGTTAGCACTAATTAATGAAATTCCAGGGCGTTGTTTGCCAGGAGGTTCATGCAATGGGTGAAGCAGACTAGAGTGGCAAAGTTTCCATCATTTATATTGCTGTGACAATATTGGCTCAAGTTTCAGAAACAGTAATTCCAGCTCCCAGTCCCTGTGAGAACAAATGTAGATTGATTTATGTTCCGAGCCTCTCTAGCATATTGTCAACACTGAGATGGCTGCCAGAGCTCATCCTACGAAGTGCTGACATTTTCTGGGAATCCACTTGCCTTTACACATATTCTCTCTAGTCACTTACATTTGCACACATTGTTGGTTTTTAAAATTTTATTTTAAGGCCTAAGGCATGGGTTATTGATATTAAAATTAGCCTCACATTATAAACGCAGTTTATGCCAATACAAAATCTTTTGGGATCTAGTCACGCTCAGGAAAGACCATAAATCTCCTTTAGTCCATGTTGGAATTACCTTAAACAGGGTTCATATTGAGTGAACTTTCCTTAGAAATGCTTTTTGTAAACTCCCCACCCCACCCCATCCTACCCCATCCCACTGTACTCTTTATTTTATTTTATTATATTTTAGACATGGTCTCGTTCTGTTGCCGGGGCTGGAGTGCAGTGCTACTATCTCAGCTCACTGCAGCCTCCACCTCCTGGGCTAACGAGATCCTCCTACCTCAGCCTCCCTAGTAGCTGGGACTATAGGTGCATGCCACCACGTCCAGCTAATTTTTGTATTTTTTGTAGAGACAGGGTTTTGCCATGTTGTCCAGGCTGGTCTCGAACCCCTGGGCTCAAGTGATCTGCCCGCCTCAGCCTCCCAAACTGCTGGGATTACAGGTGTGAGCCACTACACCCAGCTTTCTGGATTTATTAGTCATCTACTTTCATCAATGAGAGAACCTCTACATTCGGTCCATTTCTCCTTCCCTAACCCATTTTGTCACTGCTGCAGTATCTAGGTCTTTTGGGCTCTGTGATCGATTTCTGGTTTCAGTCATAGTCATAGGCAGTCATAAACATAGATTATTAAATAAATAAATAAAAAATATAAGTTTTTGGAGAAGAAAAAGAGCCAAATATCCCAATTGATTATTATGGTGAAAGATAGGCACATAAGTTTAACAATGAAACATCTCTGTATGGATTTGAGCAAATAAAGTTTATCTTCAATTGTATGGTGGGAATTCAAAGATTGTTATGTTGCAGATTTCTATAATACCACATTGTTTTTCTTATAAATATACAACATTTCAGTGCTTATTTAAACAAATCATTGAGATAAACTATGGATTCCACATGATCAGTGTTATGTCCCATGATTCTGAATGAGGAAACATTGTTTTTCCAGTTTTGAAAAATAGAGACATAATTTAGGTAACCTATAATCTTAGAGGTATAGCTTGATGGATTTTTGCAATCTCCCTCCCATTCTGATTAAAATATAGAATATTTCTCACCCTTTGGAAGGATCCCCCACTTGCTCTCTGCCTAAAGGCCCATCTCTGCTTCTGCAGAATGGTAACAGAAATCATTATTTTTCAAATGAAAATCATTGAACATTTTAAAATTTGTATTTTAGATTTTCCCTCCATTTTTTGTCATTGCAGATTTGCTTTCTTTTTAAGGTATTTTTTTCAGATTTTTCCTCTGAAGGATAGGGTAGAAAATGGCCACTGAACATTGCAAGTTTTGTTTCCTATCAGTTCCTGCTGGATGTATCTCTACAGTTGAATTTTGTTGTTGTCATTGTTGGTCGTTCCTTATTTGATTATTAATCAACAGACCGAATATTTATCTTTTTTTTTTCTTTTTTAAGGATTCCTGAAAGATTTCTTACATGTATGACAGGGTAGAATGATTTTACATTTGTCTGCCAGAGGAGATTTTTCTCATTCACACAGTTAATTTTTATTGTTCAGTTTCTGGAAAGGGACCAAACTATCAAGTTTTCCTTTGGATCTTCATTTTGTTTGCAATCAGCAACATTGCACTTTTAAGGCCTACTCAGATGCAGAGAAAAGGATGAAGTGAAAGAACAATACAGTCAGTCCTTTGTATTCAATTCAACCAACAGCAGATAGAAAATATTTGGGAAAAAAATTCCACAAAGTCCCAAAAAGCAAAATTTAAATTTGCCTCATGGCAGCTATTATGTGGAATCCATGAGAATGAAGTTATATGTAGGCATTATATAAGGTATCATAAATAATTTAGAGATAATTTAAAGTATATAGGAGGATTTGTGTACATGATATACAAATATTATGCCATTTTTTACAAGGGACCTGAGCATCCATAGATTTTTATATCCACGGGAGTCCTGGAACAAATCCCCCATAGATACTGAGGCACAACTGTATTGTATTAGTGATCTTTGTAGAGGTGCTTGAAGCATTATCTTGAGATTCTAGCAAATAATGAAATACCGTGATACAGTAGCAGCAGGTTTACAGAAGCCACAGTAAGGCTTATCTACTGCTAAAGTTTGACTTCCCTTGGTCTTCAATGCAGATTCCTGGCTCCCCATGTTAAATTTCTGGCAGATTCAGACCCTGGTTGTCCCTACATATCACCAATAATCCTGATAGTATTAATACCAAACATTTATATTTTTATAGTTAATAAAATCCATCTTCCTATTTTATCCTAGTATTTATTATGACAGCCTTATAAAGTAAGTACTATGAGCCTGTTTTCCCTTTCTATATTGTTATGAAACTGAAATTTAAAGAGATGGAGAGTCTTTCTTAAAGAATATGTCTTCCTTAAATAGTTTGATTTCTTACAATCTGGCACCACAGTGAAAACCCTGAGGGATTTCTAATTTTAATAATGACTCCAAAGTGTATATTGGTTATACCCATATTTTCAGGGAATAGGATAAAACTTGCAAGGTTATGCACATGATCCTTCTATGGTTTCAAGTCCTAATAAAGTCCTCATAAATGGGATTGAGTAGGATAGTTCAATCCAGGACAGGTTCTTGCTACCCATTCTTCATATGATTAGTATTGAATTACTTCAGTCTGTGGTTTCAGAAATCACTTTTCCATGTAGATGTTACTTTCCCTTAGGTCTTACAGCACTTCAGGCTAAGAGAATCTTTAAAACCATGAGTTTTTCAAATTGGATGCTATTAGGATTTAAGACTGTCAGGAGCCTAGATTAAAACAGCACTGGCTATGGAGGGGGGTGACTGACAAATATTTATTGAATGATTGAATAGTTCTAAATATAGTTCACTTGTTATTTATTATTGCTCTATAGCAAGAATAATAAATTTGTTAATTTAAAAATGCCATTAAAATTAAAATGGATTTTATAGATTAACAATTTTATTTCAATATTATTTATATGATCAGTAACTGCAGCCCCTCTGAACTGTTCTGAAACTCTTGGAATAAACAAAGTGCTGTGTTAAGAGCAAAAAAATGAGGATGTGATATTCTTTTTGTTAGTAGATTAATGATATCAATAGGTTATTAAAATTATTAACAGAAAGAAAAATTGTGACTAAGATCCTTTTTTTTATTCATTTTACAGAAATGTCATAGTTGATTTTTTTGTCAGTCACTGGGTCTTAAAAACTGTAGATGGCAATCCAACTACAGAAATGATAGGCTTTGCTAAACTTAGTGGTGAAATCTGCTTTTCCTAGCGGCACAAATTATGTTGCTCTAGGAGGGAAGCATATCAGGAAAAAGAACCATAAAAACAAAAGCAAATTTCAAAAAAATAGAAAACAAGATAATTTTTTTTTGCAACCATTGCTTTATAAGTTCGACTGCATGTAAGTTTACAA
Source organism: Homo sapiens (assembly GCF_000001405.40). Classification (NCBI taxonomy): domain Eukaryota; kingdom Metazoa; phylum Chordata; class Mammalia; order Primates; family Hominidae; genus Homo; species Homo sapiens. The sequence goes on from NC_000004.12 coordinate 57,554,059, forward strand.
AATGCAATATTGGTCTCACGAGTTAATCAAGAAATACTGTGAAGTCATTTCAAACTATGGATAGTAGAAAAATCTCTGTTACCATAGAAACAAAATACCATACATGAGAATAGGCCACATCATATAGAAGATTTAATTACAATGAAATGATAAATGAATAAAGACAATTTTTTAGCCTATCTGTAGCTAAAGTCCATTAGAAGTCCAGTTTCCAAGGAAACCTATGTCTAAAAACAGTAATAAGAAAAATAGTGGAATAAGATAAACTGCATTCGAAAGAGATTTGGAAAAGATAACAGCAGCCCCACCAATTAGGAAGAATATTTCTAATTTTAAAAGAATCACATTGGGATGAGCTTAGATTTCTTATGAGAATGATGAGCTATTCATAACAATAACCTATGCAATGTCTACACAGAATAATAAAATACATGTTTGATTGAAAAGTGTTCAAGAATCTAATTTTAAAAATGCAATTGCAATGGCATATTTAGACATGTTTTTATTTTGAAGTGAGTTTTGCTATGATTTAAGAGATCAAAGCATGGCCGGGAAACACGGCATGGTGGTGTCAGTGGATCATTTTGATTCCAAATGTTGTGTCCTATTACCAAATTTGCTGCTGATTTATGCATGTGTGTTTGGGCTGAGCCAACAAGAAATAGACCATCTGGAGGGCCCTTTTAATGTAAGAATGTGAGTACAAAATATTCACTAACCAATATAGTCTTACTAAAGAGTGGATTTAAATCTAGGGTACCCAGAGAGTTCTTAAAAGCACAGTATGTTCCAAATTTTAGGCCACCAACAGTAAGCATATCAGCAGGGGGCATTAGTGTGGTGGCAAGCATTTATTCTGTGCACTGGTATTTTAAAGAAGCAGAAAATTACCTCCGCTTCTCTCCCATCCTGGAACGTGAATACACAAAAAGCTGGAGATGGATGAGTGATAAGAGAAACAAATCTGGTGGGTTCATCCGCAGGTCTACAATGTCAGGGAGCTATTGTTTGACCAGAGTGGTCAGTTTCTGTGCGTTCGGTGCTGCCACACCTACTTTAAGCATTCACAACAGCAGTCTCTGCTGATTTGAACTCTTGTAAAAATACAATTTGAAGGACATCGGTTTCGGAGTGAGACCAGCACGGATTTGAATCCAAGCTCCACGCTTTCCTCACTGCCTGGCCTTGGAAAAGTTAGTTGTTTTTTTTGAGACGGAGTCTTGCTCTGTTTCTCAGACTGGAGTGCAGTGGCACTGTCTCGGCTCACTGCAACCTCTGCCTCCTGGGTTCAAGAGATTCTCCTGCCTCAGCCTCCTGAGTAGCTGGGCTTACAGGCGCGCACGACCACCATTCCCGGCTAATTTTTGTATTTTTAGTAGAGACAGGTTTCACCCTGTTGGTCAGGCTGGTCTCGAACTCCTGACCTTGTGATCCACCAACCTCGGCCTCCCAAAGTGCTGTGATTACAAGCGTGACCCATCACGCCCAGCCGGAAATTTCGTTTTTTAATGAGGAATAATACTCACTGCTGGCTTGTGACTATTAATGTCAATATACATAAAGCAGTGTTTCCCAACCTCAAATATCAGTGCTACTGATATTTGGGCCAGATAATTCTTCATTGTGAAGGCTGTCCTGTGTGTTGTAAGTTGTTTATTATTATTATTATTATTATTAATATTATTATTATTATACTTTAAGTTTTAGGGTACATGTGCACAATGTGCAGGTTTGTTACATATATACACATGTGACATGTCGGTGTGCTGCACCCATTAACTCGTCATTTAGCATTAGGTATATCTCCCAATGCTAACCCTCCCCCCTCCCCCCTCCTCCCAGCCCACAACAGTCCCCAGAGTGTGATGTTCCCCTTCCTGTGTCCATGTGTTCTCATTGTTCGATTCCCACCTATGAGTGAGAACATGTGGTGTTTGGTTTTCTGTCCTTGTGATAGTTTGCTGAGAATGATGGTTTCCAGCTTCATCCATGTCCCTACAAAGGACATGAACTCATCCTTTTTTATGGCTGCATAGTATTCCATGGTGTATATGTGCCACATTTTCTTAATCCAGTCTATTATTGTTGGACATTTGGGTTGGTTCCAAGTCTTTGCTATTGTGAATAGTGCCGCAATAAACATACATGTGCATATGTCTTTATAGCAGCATGATTTATAATCCTTTGGGTACATACATACCCAGTAATGGGATGGCTACATCAAATGGTATTTTAGTTCTAGATCCCTGAGGAATCGCCACACCGACTTCCATAATGGTCGAACTAGTTTACAGTCCCACCAACAGTGTAAAAGTGTTCCTATTTCTCCACATCCTCTCCAGCACCTGTTGTTCCTGACTTTTTAATGATCGCCATTCTAAGTGGTGTGAGATGGTATCTCATTGTGGTTTTGATATGCATTTCTCTGATGGCCAGTGATGATGAGCATTTTTTCATGTGTCTGTTGGCTGCATAAATGTCTTCTTTTGAGAAGTGTCTGTTCATATCCTTCGCCCACTTTTTGATGGGGTTTTTTTTTCTTGTAAATTTGTTTGAGTTCATTGTAGATTCTGGATATTAGCCCTTTGTCAGATGAGTAGGTTGGGAAAATTTTCTCCCACTTTTTAGGTTGCCTGTTCACTCTGATGGTAGTTTCTTTTGCTGTGCAGAAGCTCTTTAGTTTAATTAGATCCCATTTGTCAATTTTGGCTTTTGTTGCCATTGCTTTTGGTGTTTTAGACATGAAGTCCTTGCCCATGCCTATATCCTGAGTGGTATTGCCTATGTTTTCTTCTAGGGTTTTTATGGTTTTAGGTCTAACATTTAAGTCTTTAATCCATCTTGAATTAATTTTTGTATAAGGTGTAAGGAAGGGATCCAGTTTCAGCTTTCTACATATGTCTAGCCAGTTTTCCCAGCACCATTTATTAAATAGGGAATCCTTTCCCCATTTCTTGTTTTTCTCAGGTTTGTCAAAGATCAGATAGTTGTAGATATGTGGCATTATTTCTGAGGACTCTGTTTTGTTCCATTGGTCTATATCTCTGTTTTGGTACCAGTACCATGCTGTTTTGGTTACTGTAGCCTTGTAGTATAGTTTGAAGTCAGGTAGCGTGATGCCTCCAGTTTTGTTCTTTTGGCTGAGGATTGACTTGGCAATGCGGGCTCTTTTTTGGTTCCATATGAACTTTAAAGTAGTTTTTTCCAATTCTGTGAAGAAAGTCATTGGTAGCTTGATGGGGATGGCATTGAATCTATAAAGTACCTTGGGCAGTATGACCATTTTCACGATATTGATTCTTCCTACCCATAAGCATGGAATGTTCTTCCATTTGTTTGTATCCTCTTTTATTTCATTGAGCAGTGGTTTGTAGTTCTCCTTGAAGAGGTCCTTCACATCCCTTGTAAGTTGGATTCCTAGGTATTTTATACTCTTTGAAGCAACTGTGAATGGGAGTTCACTCATGATTTGGCTCTCTGTTTGTCTGTTGTTGGTGTATAAGAATGCTTGTGATTTTTGTACATTGATTTTGTATCCTGAGACTTTGCTGGAGTTGCTTATCAGCTTAAGGAGATTTTGGGCTGAGACAATGGGGTTTTCTAGATATACAATCATGTCATCTGCAAACAGGGACAATTTGACTTCCTCTTTTCCTAATTGAATGCCCTTTATTTCCTTCTCCTGCCTGATTGCCCTGGCCAGAATTTCCAACACTATGTTGAATAGGAGTGGTGAGAGAGGGCATCCCTGTCTTGTGCCAGTTTTCAAAGGGAATGCTTTTAGTTTTTGTCCATTCAGTATGATATTGGCTGTGGGTTTGTCATAGATAGCTCTTATTATTTTGAGATATGTCCCATCAATACCTAATTTATTGAGAGTTTTTAGCATGAAGGGTTGTTGAATTTTGTGAAAGGCCTTTTCTGCATCTATTGAGATAATCATGTGGTTTTTGTCGTTGGTTCTGTTTATATGCTGGATTCGTTTATTGATTTGTGTATGTTGAACCAGCCTTGCATCCCAGAGATGAAGCCCACTTGATCATGGTGGATAAGCTTTTTGATGTATTGCTGGATTTGATTTGCCAGTATTTTATTGAGGATTTTTGCATCAATGTTCATCAAGGATATTGGTCTAAAATTCTCTTTTTTGGTTGTGTCTCTGCCAGGCTTTGGTATCAGGATGATGCTGGCCTCATAAAATGAGTTAGGGAGGATTCCCTCTTTTTCTATTGATTGGAATAGTTTCAGAAGGAATGGTACCAGCTCCTCCTTGTACCTCTGGTAGAATTCGGCTGTGAATCCATCTGGTCCTGGACTTTTTTTGGTTGGTAAGCTATTAATTATTGCCTCAATTTCAGAGCCTGTTATTGGTCTATTCAGAGATTCAACTTCTTCCTGTTTTAGTCTTGGGAGAGTGTATGTGTCGAGGAATTTATCCATTTCTTCTAGATTTTCTAGTTTATTTGCATAGAGGTGTTTATGGTATTCTCTGATGGTAGTTTGTATTTCTGGCTTCCCTGACTTCTACACATTTAGATGACGGTAGCAACTCATTCCTGACCCTTAACCAGTTGTGACAACCGAAACCTGTCTCCAGACATGTTTAAATGTCTTTGAGGGGTTGAGAAGCATTGATGTGAAGTGACGTGCTAATAGTAGATGACAAATAACTGGCAGTTAGGCATGATAAGTTTTTGTGAGTATACTGCATGTAGCATAGTGGTTAACAGATGCAGCCAAGTAATGTGTCTGATGACCGGTGTTTTCCCATTCCTTTTTTCAATTCAGAAAATTTCTCAGCCAACATTTTTTCAAACATTTACTGTCTTCTATTCTGTCAATATTTCTCTCTAGTATGCCAATTAAATGAATGTTGAAACTTTTTTGTGTGTCTTCCACACCACTTAACCTCACATATCTTTCTCCATATCCCACCATATTCTGTTCTGAATGATTTCTGCCAAGCTCTTTTCCATTTAGGGGTTCTCTTCTCAGGGAATTCTTTTATCTTAGCTGAGTAATTTTTAAAAATTGCCATGAATTTAATTTTTATTTTAAAAATTCGGTTTGTTTTCCACATCTGCTTTCTTTAATATTCTTTCTTTCTAATGTTGCTTAATTTTTATTCCTTTCATTGGATCATAAAATAACAATAATATTTTAAAGTCTTTTAGATTGCTCTATTGTTGATGATCCTTCAGTCTCTGCTGTTTTTTTAATTAATTAATTAATATATTTATTATCCTTTAAGTTCTGGGGTACATGTGCACAACGTGCAGGTTTGATACATAGGTATACATGTGCCATGTTGGTTTGCTGCACCCATCAACTCATCATTTATATTAGGCATTTCTCCTAATGCTATCCCTCCCCAGCCCCCGACCCCCTGACAGGCCCCAATGAGTGATGTTCCCCGCCCTGTGTCCCGGTGATCTCATTGTTCAATTCCCACCTATAAGTGAGAACATGCAGTGTTTGGTTTTCTGTCCTTGTGATAGTTTGCTGAGAATGATGGTTTCCAGCTTCATCCATGTCCCCGCAAATGACATGAACTCATCCTTTTTTATGGCTGCATAGTATTCCATGGCATATATGTGCCACATTTTCTTAATCCAGTCTATCATTGATGGACATTTGGGTTGGTTCCAAGCCTTTGCTATTGTGGATAGTGTTACAATAAACATACATGTACATGTGTTTTCATAGTAGCATGATTTGTAATCCTTTGGATATATACCCAGTAATGGGATGGCTGGGTCAAATGGTATTTCTAGTTCTAGATCCGTGAGGAATCGCCACACTGTCTTACACAATGGTTAAACCAATTTACATTCCCACCAACAGTGTAAAAGTTTTCCTATTTCTCCACATCCTCTCCAGCATCTATTGTTTCCTGACTTTTTAATGATTGCCATTCTAACTGGTGTGAGATGGTATCTCATTGTGGTTTTGATTTGCATTTCTCTGATGACCAGTGATGATGAGCATTTTTTCATGTGTCTGTTGGCTGCCTAGATGTCTTCATTTGAGAAGTGTCTGTTCATATCCTTTGCCCACTTTTTGATGGGGTTGTTTGTTTTTTTCTTGTAAATTTGTTTGAGTTCTTTGTAGATTCAGGATATTACACTTTGTCAGATGGGTAGATTGCAAAAGTTTTCTCCCATTCTCTAGGTTGCCTATTCACTCTGATGGTGATTTCTTTTGCTGCACATAAGCTCTTTAGTTTAATTAGATCCCATGTGTCTATTTTGGCTTTTGTTGCCACTGCTTTTGGTGTTTTAGTCATGAAGTTCTTGCCCATGTCTATGACCTGAATGGTATTGCCTAGGTTTTCTTCTAGGGTTTTACGGTTTTAGGTCTAACATGTAAGTCTTTAATCCATCTTGAATTAATTTTTGTATATGGTGTAATGAATTGATCCAGTTTCAGCTTTCTACATATGGCTAGCCAGTTTTTCCAGCATCATTTATTAAATAGGGCATCCTTTCCCCATTTCTTGTTTTTGTCAGGTTTGTCAAAAATCAGATGGTTGTAAATGTGTGGCATTATTTCTGAGGACTCTGTTCTGTTCCATTGGTTTATATCTCTGTTTTGGTACAAGTACCATGCTGTTTTGGTTACTGTAGCCTTGTAGTATAGTTTGAAGTCAGGTAGTGTGATGCGTCCAGCTTTGTTCTTTTTGCTTAGGATTGTCTTGGCAATGCAGGCTCCTTTTTGGCTCCATATGAACTATAAATCAGTTTTTTTCCAATTCTGTGAAGAAAGTCATTGGGTCATTGGTAGCTTGATGGGGATGGCACTGAATCTATAAATTACTTTGAGCAGTATGGCCATTTTCATGATATTGATTCTTCCTATCCATGAGAATGGAATATTCTTCCATTTGTTTGTGTCCTCTTTTATTTCGTTAAGCAGTGGTTTTTAGTTCTTCTTGAAGAGATCTTTCACATCCCTTGTAAGTTGGATTCCTAGGTATTTTATTCTCTTTGAAGCAATTGTGAATGGGAGTTCACTCATGATTTGGCTCTCTGTTTGTCTGTTATTGGTGTATAAGAATGCTTGTGATTTTTGCACATTGATAATATATCCTGAGATTTTGTTGAAGTTGCTTAACAGCTTAAGGAGAATTTGGGCTGAGATGATGGGGTTTTCTAAATATACAATCATGTCCTCTGCAAATAGGGACAATTTGACTTCCTCATTTCTTAATTGAATACCCTTTATTTCTTTCTCCTGCCTGATTGCCCTGGCCTAAACTTCCAACACTGTGTTGAATACAAGCGGTGAGAGAGGGATTACTTATCTTGTTCTGGTTTTCAAAGGGAATGCTTCCAGTTTTTGCCCATTCAGTATGATATTGTCTGTGGGTTTGCCATAAATAGCTCTTATTATGTTGAGATACATTCCATCAATATCTAGTTTACTGAGAGTTTTTAGCATGAAGCGTTGTTGAATTTTTTCGAAGGCCTTTTCTGCATCTATTGAGATAATCATGTGGTTTTTGTCATTGGTTCTGTTTATGTGATGTTTTACGTTTATTGATTTGCATATGTTGAAGCAGCCTTGCATCCCAGGGATGAAGCCTTCTTGATCGTGGTGGATAAAATTTTTGATGTGCTGCTGGATTCAGTTTGCCAGTATTTTACTGAGGATTTTTGCATCAATGTTCATCAGAGATATTGGCTAAAATTCTCTTTTTTTGTTCTGTCTCTGCTAGGCTTTGGTATCAGGATGATGCTGGCCTCATACAATGAGTTAGGGAGGATTCCCTCTTTTTCTGTTGATTGGAATAGTTTTGGACGGATTGGTACCAGCTTCTCTTTCTACCTCTGGTAGAATTCGGCTGTGAATTCTTCTGGTCCTGGACTTTTTTTGGTTGGCAGGCTATTAATTATTGCCTCAATTTCAGAGCCTGTTATTGGTCTATTAAGAGATTCAACTTCTTCCTGGTTTAGTCTTGGGAGTGTATGTGTCCAGGAATTTATCCGTTTCTTCTAGATTTTCTAGTTTATTTGAGTAGAGTTGTTTATAGTATTCTCTGATAGTAGTTTGTATTTCTGTGGGATCGGTGGTGATATCCCCTTTATCATTTTTTATTGCGTCTATTTGATGCTTCTCTCTTTTCTTCTTTATTAGTCTTGCTAGCAGTCTATCAGTTTTATTGATCCTTTCTAAAAACCAGCTCCTGGATTCACTGATTTTTTTTTTTTTTTCTTGAGACTTTTCCTTTTTTTTTTTTTTTTCATGATCTTTTTTTTTTTTTTTTTTTTTATTATACTCTAAGTTTTAGGGTACATGTGCACATTGTGCAGGTTAGTTACATATGTATACATGTGCCATGCTGGTGCGCTGCACCCACTAATGTGTCATCTAGCATTAGGTATATCTCCCAATGCTATCCCTCCCCCCTCCCCTGACCCCACCACAGTCCCCAGAGTGTGATATTCCCCTTCCTGTGTCCATGTAACCTCATTGTTCAATTCCCACCCATGAGTGAGAATATGTGGTGTTTGGTTTTTTGTTCTTGCGATAGTTTACTGAGAATGATGGTTTCCAATTTCATCCATGTCCCTACAAAGGATATGAACTCATCATTTTTTATGGCTGCATAGTATTCCATGGTGTATATGTGCCACATTTTCTTAATCCAGTCTATCATTGTTGGACATTTGGGTTGGTTCCAAGTCTTTGCTATTGTGAATAGTGCCGCAATAAACATACGTGTGCATGTGTCTTTATAGCAGCATGATTTATACTCATTTGGGTATATACCCAGTAATGGGATGGCTGGGTCAAATGGTATTTCTAGTCCTAGATCCCTGAGGAATCGCCACACTGACTTCCACAATGGTTGAACTAGTTTACAGTCCCACCAACAGTGTAAAAGTGTTCCTATTTCTCCGCATCCTCTCCAGCACCTGTTGTTTCCTGACTTTTTAATGATTGCCATTCTAACTGGTGTGAGATGATATCTCATAGTGGTTTTGATTTGCATTTCTCTGATGGCCAGTGATGATGAGCATTTCTTCATGTGTTTTTTGGCTGCATAAATGTCTTCTTTTGAGAAGTGTCTGTTCATGTCCTTTGCCCACTTTCTGATGGGGTTGTTTGTTTTTTCTTGTAAATTTGTTTGAGTTCATTGTAGATTCTGGATATTAGCCCTTTGTCAGATGAGTAGGTTGCGAAAATTTTCTCCCATGTTGTAGGTTGCCTGTTCACTCTGATGGTAGTTTCTTTTGCTGTGCAGAAGCTCTTTAGTTTAATTAGATCCCATTTGTCAATTTTGGCTTTTGTTGCCATTGCTTTTGGTGTTTTGGACATGAAGTCCTTGCCCACGCCTATGTCCTGAATGGTAATGCCTAGGTTTTCTTGTAGGGTTTTTATGGTTTTAGGTTTAACGTTTAAATCTTTAATCCATCTTGAATTGATTTTTGTATAAGGTGTAAGGAAGGGATCCAGTTTCAGCTTTCTACATATGGCTAGCCAGTTTTCCCAGCACCATTTATTAAATAGGGAATCCTTTCCCCATTGCTTGTTTTTCTCAGGTTTGTCAAAGATCAGATAGTTGTAGATATGCGGCATTATTTCTGAGGGCTCTGTTCTGTTCCATTGATCTATATCTCTGTTTTGGTACCAGTACCATGCTGTTTTGGTTACTGTAGCCTTGTAGTATAGTTTGAAGTCAGGTAGCATGATGCCTCCAGCTTTGTTCTTTTGGCTTAGGATTGACTTGGCAATGCGGGCTCTTTTTTGGTTCCATATGAACTTTAAAGTAGTTTTTTCCAATTCTGTGAAGAAATTCATTGGTAGCTTGATGGGGATGGCATTGAATCTGTAAATTACCTTGGGCAGTATGGCCATTTTCACGATATTGATTCTTCCTACCCATGAGCATGGAATGTTCTTCCATTTGTTTGTGTCCTCTTTTATTTCCTTGAGCAGTGGTTTGCAGTTCTCCTTGAAGAGGTCCTTCACATCCCTTGTAAGTTGGATTCCTAGGTATTTTATTCTCTTTGAAGCAATTGTGAATGGGAGTTCACCCATGATTTGGCTCTCTGTTTGTCTGTTGTTGGTGTATAAGAATGCTTGTGATTTTTGTACATTGATTTTGTATCCTGAGACTTTGCTGGAGTTGCTTATCAGCTTAAGGAGATTTTGGGCTGAGACAATGGGGTTTTCTAGATAAACAATCATGTTGTCTGCAAACAGCGACAATTTGACTTCCTCTTTTCCTAATTGAATACCCTTTATTTCCTTCTCCTGCCTGATTGCCCTGGCCAGAACTTCCAACACTATGTTGAATAGGAGTGGTGAGAGAGGGCATCCCTGTCTTGTGCCAGTTTTCAAAGGGAATGCTTCCAGTTTTTGCCCATTCAGTATGATATTGGCTGTGGGTTTGTCATAGATAGTTCTTATTATTTTGAGATATGTCCCATCAATACCTAATTTATTGAGAGTTTTTAGCATGAAGGGTTGTTGAATTTTGTCAAAGGCTTTTTCTGCATCTATTGAGATAATCATGTGGTTTTTGTCTTTGGCTCTGTTTATATGCTGGATTACATTTATTGATTTGCGTATATTGAACCAGCCTTGCATCACAGGGATGAAGCCCACTTGATCATGGTGGATAAGCTTTTTGATGTGCTGCTGGATTCGGTTTGCCAGTATTTTATTGAGGATTTTTGCATCAATGTTCATCAAGGATATTGGTCTAAAATTCTCTTTTTTGGTTGTGTCTCTGCCCGGCTTTGGTATCAGAATGATGCTGGCCTCATAAAATGAGTTAGGGAGGATTCCCTCTTTTTCTATTGATTGGAATAGTTTCAGAAGGAATGGTACCAGTTCCTCCTTGTACCTCTGGTAGAATTCGGCTGTGAATCCATCTGGTCCTGGACTCTTTTTGGTTGGTAAACTATTGATTATTGCCACAATTTCAGAGCCTGTTATTGGTCTATTCAGAGATTCAACTTCTTCCTGTTTTAGTCTTGGGAGAGTGTATGTGTCGAGGAATGTATCCATTTCTTCTAGATTTTCTAGTTTATTTGTGTAGAGGTGTTTGTAGTATTCTCTGATGGTAGTTTGTATTTCTGTGGGATCGGTGGTGATATCCCCTTTATCATTTTTTATTGTGTCTATGTGATTCTCTTCTCTTTTTTTCTTTATTAGTCTTGCTAGCGGTCTATCAATTTTGTTGATCCTTTCAAAAAACCAGCTCCTGGATTCATTGATTTTTTGAAGGGTTTTTTGTGTCTCTATTTCCTTCAGTTCTGCTCTGATTTTAGTTATTTCTTGCCTTCTGCTAGCTTTTGAATGTGTTTGCTCTTGCTTTTCTAGTTCTTTTAATTGTGATGTTAGGGTGTCAATTTTGGATCTTTCCTGCTTTCTCTTGTAGGCATTTAGTGCTATAAATTTCCCTCTACACACTGCTTTGAATGCGTCCCAGAGATTCTGGTATGTGGTGTCTTTGTTCTCGTTGGTTTCAAAGAACATCTTTATTTCTGCCTTCATTTCGTTATGTACCCAGTAGTCATTCAGGAGCAGGTTGTTCAGTTTCCATGTAGTTGAGCGGCTTTGAGTGAGATTCTTAATCCTGAGTTCTGGTTTGATTGCACTGTGGTCTGAGAGATAGTTTGTTATAATTTCTGTTCTTTTACATTTGCTGAGGAGAGCTTTACTTCCAACTATGTGGTCAATTTTGGAATAGGTGTGGTGTGGTGCTGAAAAAAATGTATATTCTGTTGATTTGGGGTGGAGAGTTCTGTAGATGTCTATTAGGTCTGCTTGGTGCAGAGCTGAGTTCAATTCCTGGGTATCCTTGTTGACTTTCTGTCTCGTTGATCTGTCTAATGTTGACAGTGGGGTGTTAAAGTCTCCCATTATTAATGTGTGGGAGTCTAAGTCTCTTTGTAGGTCACTGAGGACTTGCTTTATGAATCTGGGTGCTCCTGTATTGGGTGCATAAATATTTAGGATAGTTAGCTCCTCTTGTTGAATTGATCCCTTTACCATTATGTAATGGCCTTCTTTGTCTCTTTTGATCTTTGTCGGTTTAAAGTCTGTTTTATCAGAGACTAGGATTGCAACCCCTGCCTTTTTTTGTTTTCCATTGGCTTGGTAGATCTTCCTCCATCCTTTTATTTTGAGCCTATTTGTGTCTCTGCACATGAGATGGGTTTCCTGAATACAGCACACTGATGGGTCTTGACTCTTTATCCAACTTGCCAGTCTGTGTCTTTTAATTGCAGAATTTAGTCCATTTATATTTAAAGTTAATATTGTTATGTGTGAATTTGATCCTGTCATTATGATGTTAGCTGGTGATTTTGCTCATTAGTTGATGCAGTTTCTTCCTAGTCTCGATGGTCTTTACATTTTGGCATGATTTTGCAGCAGCTGGTACCGGTTGTTCCTTTCCATGTTTAGCGCTTCCTTCAGGAGCTCTTTTAGGGCAGGCATGGTGGTGACAAAATCTCTCAGCATTTGCTTGTCTATAAAGTATTTTATTTCTCCTTCACTTATGAAGCTTAGTTTGGCTGGATATGAAATTCTGGGTTGAAAATTCTTTTCTTTAAGAATGTTGAATATTGGCCCCCACTCTCTTCTGGCTTGTAGGGTTTCTGCCGAGAGATCCGCTGTTAGTCTGATGGGCTTTCCTTTGAGGGTAACCCGACCTTTCTCTCTGGCTGCCCTTAACATTTTTTCCTTCATTTCAACTTTGGTGAATCTGACAATTATGTGTCTTGGAGTTGCTCTTCTCGAGGAGTATCTTTGTGGCATTCTCTGTATTTCCTGAATCTGAACGTTGGCCTGCCTTGCTAGATTGGGGAAGTTCTCCTGGATAATATCCTGCAGAGTGTTTTCCAACTTGGTTCCATTCTCCACATCACTTTCAGGTATACCAATCAGACGTAGATTTGGTCTTTTCACATAGTCCCATATTTCTTGGAGGCTTTGCTCATTTCTTTTTATTCTTTTTTCTCTAAACTTCCCTTCTCGCTTCATTTCATTCATTTCATCTTCCATTGCTGATACTCTTTCTTCCAGTTGATCGCATCGGCTCCTGAGGCTTCTGCATTCTTCACGTAGTTCTCGAGCCTTGGTTTTCAGCTCCATCAGCTCCTTTAAGCACTTCTCTGTATTGGTTATTCTAGTTATACATTCTTCTAAATTTTTTTCAAAGTTTTCAACTTCTTTGCCTTTGGTTTGAATGTCCTCCCGTAGCTCAGAGTAATTTGATCGTCTGAAGCCTTCTTCTTTCAGCTCGTCAAAATCATTCTCCATCCAGCTTTGTTCTGTTGCTGGTGAGGAACTGCGTTCCTTTGGAGGAGGAGAGGTGCTCTGCGTTTTAGAGTTTCCAGTTTTTCTGTTCTGTTTTTTCCCCATCTTTGTGGTTTTATCTACTTTTGTTCTTTGATGATGGTGATGTACAGATGGGTTTTCGGTGTAGATGTCCTTTCTGGTTGTTAGTTTTCCTTCTAACAGACAGGACCCTCAGCTGCAGGTCTGTTGGAATACCCTGCCGTGTGAGGTGTCAGTGTGCCCCTGCTGGGGGGTGCCTCCCAGTTAGGCTGCTCGGGGGTCAGGGGTCAGGGACCCACTTGAGGAGGCAGTCTGCCCGTTCTCAGATCTCCAGCTGCGTGCTGGGAGAACCACTGCTCTCTTCAAAGCTGTCAGACAGGGACACGTAAGTCTGCAGAGGTTACTGCTGTCTTTTTGTTTGTCTGTGCCCTGCCCCCAGAGGTGGAGCCTACAGAGGCAGGCAGGCCTCCTTGAGCTGTGGTGGGCTCCACCCAGTTCGAGCTTCCTGGCTGCTTTGTTTACCTAAGCAAGCCTGGGCAATGGCGGGCGCCCCTCCCCCAGCCTCGTTGCCGCCTTGCAGTTTGATCTCAGACTGCTGTGCTAGCAATCAGTGAGATTCCGTGGGCGTAGGACCCTCTGAGCCAGGTGTGGGATATAGTCTCGTGGTGCGCCATTTCTTAAGCCGGTCTGAAAAGCGCAATATTCGGGTGGGAGTGACCCGATTTTCCAGGTGCATCTGTCACCCCTTTCTTTGACTCGGAAAGGGAACTCCCTGACCCCTTGCGCTTCCCAGGTGAGGCAATGCCTCGCCCTGCTTCGGCTCGCGCACGGTGCGCACACACACTGGCCTGCGCCCACTGTCTGGCACTCCCTAGTGAGATGAACCCGGTACCTCAGATGGAAATGCAGAAATCACCTGTCTTCTGCGTCGCTCACGCTGGGAGCTGTAGACCGGAGCTGTTCCTATTCGGCCATCTTGGCTCCTCCTCCCGGATTCACTGATTTTTTGAAGGGTTTTTTGTGTCTTTATCTCCTTCAGTTCTGCTCTGATCTTAGTTATTTCTTGCCTTCTGCTAGCTTTTGAATTTGTTTCCTCTTGCTTCTCTAGTTCTTTTAATTGTGATGTTAGGGTGTTGATTTTAGATCTTTCCTGCTTTCTCTTGTGGGCATTTAGTGCTGTACATTTCCCTCTACACACTGCTTTAAATGTGTCCCAGAGATTCTGGTACGTTGTGTCTTTGTTCTCGTTGGTTTCAAAGAACATCTTTATTTCTGCCTTCATTTCATTATTTACCCAGTAGTCATTCCGGAGCAGGTTGTTCAGTTTCCATGTAGTTGTGTGGTTTTGAGTAAGTTTCTTAATCCTGATTTCTAATTCGATTGCACGGTGATCTGAGAGATAGTTTGTTGTGATTTCTGTTCTTTTACATTTGCTGAGGAGTGCTTTACTTCCAATTATGTGGTCAATTTTAGAATAAGTGTGATGAGGTGCTGAGAAGAATGTATATTCTGTTGATTTGGGGTGGAGAGTTTTGTAGATGTCTATTAGGTCTGCTTGTTGCAGAGCTGAGTTCAATTCCTGGGTATCCTTGTTGACTTTCTGTGTCGTTGATCTGTCTAATGTTGACAGTGGGGTGTTAAAGTCTCCCATTATTAATGTGTGGGAGTCTAAGTCTCTTTGTAGGTCTCTAAGGACTTGCTTTATGAATCTGGGTGCTCCTGTATTGGGCGCATATATATTTAGGATAGTTAGGTCTTCTTGTTGAATTGGTTCCTTTACTATTATGTAGTGGCCTTCTTTGTCTCTTTTGATCTTTGTTGGTTTAAAGTGTGTTTTATCAGGGACTAGGATTGCAACCCCTGTGTTTTTTTCTGCTTTCTATTTGCTTGGTATGTCTTCCTCCATACCTTTATTTTGAGCCTATGTGCATCTTTGCACATGAGATGGGTCTCCTGAATACAGCACACTTATGGGTCTTGACTCTTTATCCAATTTGCCAGTCAGTGTCGTTTAAATGGGGCATTTAGCCCATTTATATTTAAGGTTAATATTGTTATGTGTGAATTTGATCCTGTCATTATGATGTTGCTGGTTATTTTGCTCATTAGTTGACGCAGTTTCTTCCTAGCCTTGATGGTCTTTACAATTTGGCATGTTTTTGCAGTGGCTGGTTCTGGTTGTTTCTTTCCATGTTTAGTGCTTCCTTCAGGAGCTCTTGTAAAGCAAGCCTAGTGTTGACAAAAATCTCTCAGCATTTGCTTGTCTGTAAAGGATGTTATTTCTCCTTCACTTATCAAGCTTAGTTTGGCTGGATATGAAATTCTGGGTTGAAAATTCTTTTCTTTAAGAATGTTGAATATTGGCCCCCACTCTCTTGTTGCTTGTAGGGTTTCTGCTGAGAGATCTGCTGTTAGTCTGATGGGCTTCCCTTTGTGAGTAACTAGACCTTTCTCTCTGGCTGCCCTTAACACTTTTTCCTTCATTTCAACCTTGGTGAATCTGACAATTATGTGTCTTGGGGTTGCTCTTCTCAAGGAGTATCTTTGTGGTGTTCTCTGTATTTCCTGAATTTGAATGTTAGCCTGCCTTGCTAGGTTGGGGAAATTCTCCTGGATAATATCCTGCAGAGTGTTTTCCAACTTGGTTCCATTCTCCCCATCACTTGCAGGTACACCAATGAGACATAGATTTGGTATTTTCACATAGTCCCATATTTCTTGGAGGCTTTGTTCATTTCTTTTTACTCTTTTTTCTCTAAACTTCTCTTCTTGCTTTATTTCATTAATTTGATCTTCAATCACTGATACCCTTTCTTCCATTTGATTGAATTGGCTATTGAAGGTTGTGCAAGCATCATGAAGTTCTCGTGCCATCGTTTTCAGCTCCATCAGGTCGTTTAAGTTCTTTTCTACACTGTTTATTCTAGTTAGCCATTCATTTAATCTTTCTTCAAGTTTTTTAGCTTCCTTGCAATGGGTTCGAACATCCTCCTATAGCCAGGAGATGTTTATTTTTACTGACCTTCTGAAACCTACGTCTGTCAACTCATCAGAGTCATTCTCCATCCAGCTTTGTTCCATTGCTAGTGAGGATCTGCGATCCTTTGTAGGAGAAGAGTGCTCTGGTTTCTAGAATTTGCAGCTTTTCTGCTCTGGTTTCTCCCCATCCTTGTGGTTTTTATGTACCTTTTGTCTTTGATGTTGGTGACCTACAGATGGAGTTTTGGTGTAGATGACCTTTTTGTTGATGTTGATGCTATTCCTTTCTGTTTGTTAGTTTTCCTTCTAACAGTCAGGTCCCTCAGCTGCAGGTCTGTTGGAGTTTGCTGGAGGTCCACTTCAGATCCTGTTTTCCTGGGTATCACTAGCGGAGGCTGCAGAACAGCAAATATTTCAGAAGAGGAAATATTGCTGCCTGATCCTTCCTCTGGAAGCTTTGTCCCAGAGGGGCAGCTGCCTATATGAGGTGTCTGTCGGCCCCTACTGGGAGGTTTCTCCCAGTTAGGTGACACAGGGGTCAGGGACCCACTTGAGGAGGCAGTCTGTCCATTCTCAGAGCTCAAACACTGTTCTGGGAGAACCACTGCTCTCTTCAAAGCTGTCAGACAGGGACGTTTAAGTCTGCATAAGTTGTCTGCTGCCTTTTGTTCAGCTATGCCCTGCCCACAGAGGTGGAGTCTAGAGGCAGTAGGCCTTGTTAGGCTGTGGTGGGCTCTGCCCAGTTCAAGCTTCCTGGCCACTTTGTTTACCTACTCAAGCCTCAGCAATGGCGGACACCCCCCCCCCCGCCAGCCAGGCTGCCGCCTCACAGTTCAATCTCAGACTGCTGTGTTAGCAATGAGCAAGGCTCTGTGGGCGTGGGACTCACCGAGCCAGGCACGGGAGAGAATCACCTTGTCTGCTGGTTGCTAAGACCTTGGGAAAAGTGCAGTATTTGGGTGAGAGTGTCCCATTTTTTCCAGGTATAGTCTGTCATGGCTTCCCTTTGCTAGGAAAGGGAAATTCCCCAACCCCTTGCACTTCCCGGGTGAGGCAACGCCCTGCCCTGCTTCAGCTCACCCTCCATGGGCAGCACCCACTGTCCAACCAGTCCCAGTGAGATGAACAAGGTACCTCAGTTGGAAATGCAGAAATCACCCGTTTTCTGCATCAATCATGCTGGGAGCTGCAGAGCAGAGCTGTTCCTATTCGGTCATCTTGGAACGCCCCCCAGTCTCTGCTAACTATTTATGACAATGTATTTTCTTATGTACTTTATAATTTTTGTCAGCTCATTTTTGATGGGATTATTTACTTTTGTGGTTTTATATATAGAGTTGACCCTATTAATAATTTCATGGTTACTTCTGAGGTAGACTTATATATTCACTCATTCTGGATGTGTTTTTATGTTAGTTTTTTAGCTCAAGGCCTCCATGCAAGTAATGAAAGAATTTGTGTCTCACACACTTATGAGATGTAAGCAGGGAAATCTTATTTCCTGAGTTAGATTTTTTGCATTCAAGGCTCAGGGTAGGTAGCTTATTTTGTGTTATGTCCTTAGTGAGTGAAACTTTTTCAAAGATATTTACTTATTTGACTTCTGATTTTAT
The DNA here is from genome assembly GCF_000001405.40 of Homo sapiens. Classification (NCBI taxonomy): domain Eukaryota; kingdom Metazoa; phylum Chordata; class Mammalia; order Primates; family Hominidae; genus Homo; species Homo sapiens. Next base: position 57,571,950 of record NC_000004.12, read on the forward strand.
TCAGAGACCCTAATATCAGTTTCTTATTTGTATATTAATACCTCAGACACTGTCGTAGTCTGCTTTGTGCTGTTATAACAGAATAGTGCAGACTAGGTAATTAACAATGAACAGAAATTTATCTGGCTCACAGTTCTGGAGGCTGAGAAGTCAAAGAGCATGTTGCCAGCATCTGGCAAGGGATTTTGGGCTGCATCATCTCATGGCAGAGGTGGAAGGACAAGAAAGGGTGAGAGCAAGAGAGAAAGAAGGCCTAGCTCACTTTTATAACAATCCTCCCTAAGATAATCTGCTCCTGCAATAATAACATTAATCCATTCGTGTAGGCAGAGCCCTCATGACCTAATCACCTCTTACTGGGTCATATCTCCCAACACTATTGCAATGGGGATTAAGTTTCTAACACATGAACTTTGGGGAACACAGTCAAACATAGTAGACACTAACAATTCCATTATACTAATCTGACTTCAATACCCTGTTACAACTGTGTATCTGCTTTTTATTTCTGATACCTGCAGAATAATTATATTTCTTGATTTTGATCTTTACTATTCATTTACTTTTTAAAACAAAACTTAGATTTTTGACCTTTGGCCAAAGGATACAAAATTTCAGTTGGATAGGAGAAATAAGTTCAAGAGACCTATTATACATCATGGGGTGACTACAGTTAATAACAATATAATTTATGCTTAACAATAGCTAAGACAGTAGATCTTAAGTGTCACCACAAAAAGGTAAGTGTGTAAGGTAATATGTGTGGTAATTAGCTTGATTTATCCATTTCATAATATATACATATATAAAAACTTTATGTTATGCATCATAGATATTTTTGTCAACTAAAACATAAATATTTGAAAACTGCTTTTTTTTTTTCAAATCCAGAATTTCTATGTTTTTGTAGGAGTAGAGATGTTGGTTTCCTATATCAGCTTAGCCTACCATCTTGACTAATGTTCTTATTTAATCTTAATAAACCTCAGTTTTCTTATCTGCAATACTGAGATAAAGATGGCATCTACATTGTAGGGTTGTCATGAGGATTAAATGAGATAACAAATTTAAAACACTTATTTACTGAACACATAGTAATTGCTTAGCACATTATATTATCATGTAAATCAGCTGCTATTATCATGTAAATAATGTACATCAGCCAAATTTCAGATACTCAATAATTTATCACTATAATCTATAATTATGGTTATTAGTAT